>NC_000014.9:18862644-19187178 GCF_000001405.40 Homo sapiens | reverse complement strand
GGGACTAAATGCTCCAATTAAAAGACACAGACTGGCAAATTGGATAAAGAGTCAAGACCCAACAGTGTGCTGTATTCAGGAAACCCATCTCACGTGCAGAGTCACACATAGGCTCAAAATAAAAGGATGGAGGAAGATCTACCAAGCAAATGAAAAACAAAAAAAGGCAGGGGTTGCAATCCTAGTCTCTGATAAAACAGACTTTAAACCAACAAAGATCAAAAGAGACAAAGAAGGCCATTGCATAATGGTAAAGGGATCAATTCAACAAGAAGAGCTAACTATCCTAAATATATATGCACCCAATACAGGAGCACCCAGATTCATAAAGCAAGTCCTGAATGACCTACAAAGAGACTTAGCCTCCAACACAATAATAATGGGAGACTTTAACACCCCACTGTCAACATTAGACAGATCAACAAGACAGAAAGTTAACAAGGATACCCAGGAATTGAACTCAGCTCTGCACCAAGTGGACCTAATAGACATCTACAGAACTCTCCACCCCAAACCAACAGAATATACATTTTTTTCAGCACCACACCACACCTATTCCAAAATTGACCACATAGTTGGAAGTAAAGCTCTCCTCAGCAAATGTAAAAGAACAGACATTATAACAAACTGTCTCTCAGACCACAGTGCAATCAAACTAGACCTCAGGGTTAAGAAACTCACTCAAAATGGCTCAACTACATGGAAACTGAACAACCTGCTCCTGAATGACTACTGGGTACATAACGAAATGAAGGCAGAAATAAAGATGTTCTTTGAAACCAATGAGAACAAAGACACAACATACCAGAATATCTGGGACACATTCAAAGCAGTGTGTAGAGGGAAATTTATAGCACTAAATGCCCACAAGACAAAGCAGGAAAGATGCAAAATTGACACCCTAACATCACAATTAAAAGAACTAGAAAAGCAAGAGCAAACACATTCAAAAGCTAGCAGAAGGCAAGAAATAACGAAAATCAGAGCAGAACTGAAGGAAATAGAAACACAAAAAACCCTTCAAAAAATCAATAAATCCAGGAGCTGGTTTTTTGAAAGGATCAAAAAAATTGATAGACCACTAGCAAGACTAATAAAGAAGAAAAGAGAGAAGAATCAAATAGACACATTTTCTTAATTCAGTCTATCATTGTTGGACATTTGGGTTGGTTCCAAGTCTTTGTTATTGCGAATAGTGCTGCAATAAGCATACATGTGCGTGTGTCCTTATAGCAACATGATTTATAATCCTTTGAGTATATACCCAGTAATGGGATGGCTGGGTCAAATGGTACTTCTAGTTCTAGATCCCTGAGGAATCGCCACACTGACTTCCACAGTGGTTGAACTAGTTTGCAGTCCCACCAACAGTGTAAATGTGTTCCTATTTCTCCACATCCTCTCCAGCACCTGTTGTTTCCTGACTTTTTAATGATTGCCATTCTAACTGGTGTGAGATGGTATTTCACTGTGATTTTGATTTGCATTTCTCTGATGGCCAGTGATGATGAGCATTTTTTCATGTGTCTTTTGGCTGCATAAATGTCTTCTTTTGAGAAGTGTCTGTTCATATCCTTTGCCCACTTTTTGATGGGGTTGTTTGTATTTTTCTTGCAAATTTGTTTCAGTTCATGTGGCACATATACACCATGGAATACTATGCAGCCATAAAAAATGAGTTCATGTCCTTTGTAGGGACATGGATGAAGCTGGAAACCATCATTCTCAGCAAACTATCGCAAGGACAAAAAACCAAACACTGCATGTTCTCACTCATAGGTGGGAATTGAACAATGAGAACACATGGACACAGGAAGGGGAACATCACACGCCAGGGCCTGTTGTGGGGTGGGGGCAGGGGGGAGGGATAGCATTAGGAGATATACCTAATGCTAAATGACAAGTTAATGGGTGCAGCACCCCAACATGGCAGATGTATACATATGTAACACACCTGCATTTTGTGCACACATACCCTAAATCAAAGTATAATAAAAAAAAGGTAGGTATCAAAAACATCACAATTCAAACTCTCTTTTAATTAAAGTTGGTTCTTGTATTAGTAGTAAGCAGGGAGCTTGGCTGGAGAGATGTGTACAAGTGTAGATGGAAGTCCCCGGGTAAAGCTCTTGTTTGGGAAGATTCATTTGATTGTATGACATGTTCCTCCATTCTCTCTCTCTCTGTCTCTGTCTTTTGTTGTTGTTGATGTTGTTGTTGTTGTTGTTGTTGTTGTTCTAAGAATCTAGAATGAAAACCACAAGGCCAGGGTTTGCTACCATGGACCACTCTCTCCTTTGCAGAAAGAGCTGCTTCTGAGTGAAATAGAAGGACAAGGGTGCCAAATTAACTCCTCTCCACAAAGTGACCCCACGTGGAAAAGTACTTGAGAAGCTCTGTAAAGACGTGGTAAAAGCTTACCAAAGACAGTAGCATTATCCTTTCCTTACACACAAAGTGGAGGGAAAGCGTGGGTAAGTGGTGTGTCTAAAAGCATTGCTTTAAATTATACATCCATTTGTAAACATTCATTTTTTCTTAACTACATGTCGTTTGTAAATTGGACAAAAAATGCATATTTGTCATGGAAAAATTAGGAAGTAAAGATATTAGCATAAAAGAGGAAACAACGAATCTTAATTATCCATAATCCCATGACTTCATGTTTGTGTGAGATTATATAATAATATTGTTTCATGATCTGCCATTTTCACTCAGTGACATACTTTGCACGTGAAATACATTTTACATAAATATTTGTATAATTTGAGTAGTTATTACCTTAAGACTACTGGAAAGAAATCCCTTAGTTCTTCTACTGCACTCATTTCTTCTCTACAGCATTAATTTCTGGGGTAAATCCAGCTCTTTGGCTTGCATGGCCGTGTAGTTCTGAAGTTAGCTACGCAGGACTTAGCCACATTTCCCAGAATAGGATGTATGGTACAGCAGAATTCTTATTGAACTTGAAGTCAGAAGAACTTGCCCCTTCACTTACTATGGGTGACCTTGGACAGTATACTTGATTTCTTTGAATCTCATCAGTGAAATGAGTATGGGAATGTCTACCTTAACTGTGTGATGACAGAATTTGTGAGGATGAACTGAACAACTATATAAAAGTGGGAAATGCTGAAGAGCTCTACAAATGGAAGACATTAATAATATTAACTGAAATAGATTCCATAAATACTATGTGTAAGATCCTACCTTGATTTACCTCATTTATTCATCAAATCCACTGTCTGACAGAAGTATTATCATTAGTTATATTTTATAGTCTAAACAAATCTAGGCAGAAAGGTCAAATAATTTGCATAAGCTCACACAATCAGTGACTTAGATTTGATCCAATCTATTTCATTCTATAGTGTTGGTCCTTTCCCCCGATAGTAGTAAAAACTGTGGGCTCCATTGTTAGCCTGCCTGAGATCAGACGCCATCTCCAACTAGGCAAGTTACCTTTTCTGCCTGTTTCACTCTTCAAAAATTAGAGATACAATAATACCGACCTGATTTCTTTGGGTTTCATAAGTAGGAAATAAAATAATACATAGAAAAGACTTGGAATATTGCCTGACACAAAATAGTTGCCTTAAAACGTTAATTATTATTATTTTCAATGTTGCCAAGAGAACAAACCCTGTGGTGGTGAATTTGCATATGCAAACCTGTTAAACTAATACACAGTCTTTCTTTTCTCATAATATTGTCGCACTTGCACCTTATGTCCTAAGTTTTCTAGTAATCTTGAATGTACATAACGTTTGGTTGTACAAATAAATTTTCCTTTGTGAGGGAATTAGTTGTAATTGAGGGTAGAGTCAAAGTTTGTTCAGCTTAATGAGCATTTAAAGGGAGCTAATAAACACCATGACTTGTATTTGAAAGTAGAAAATACCGACTTTCAATTGTCATTTCCCCCAAGGAAACCATTAACCAGCACAATTATTTTTAAATATCAACCTGAAATAACACTGTATTTTTATTGCTATTCTTTCTCTCTCCTTCTCTCTCTTTGGGATACAGTTTGGCTTTGAAAAAATATGGTATATATGCAGTGTTTGGTCAAATAATTTAGCACTATGGAAAAGGTTGTGAACCAGTCATAGTATTTGAGGTTGTAAGAAGAAACCTTTGCAAAGGTAGTGGCTGCACAAATGTATTAACTTAGTAATACAAAGTAGGGAGTTCTGAAACTGTGGTGGAAATATTGCCTGCCTTGACTACCTGTTCTTCTTGAGTCCGTTTGCTGATCAGAACTCAGGTAACTTAAAAGTCATATACCCTGGAAAGGAGTAAAGAAACAGGAAAGATCCTCAGCGGCTATACAAGTGAGAGATATGGCAGAGTTCTAATAACATTGAGTAAAAGCTTGATACTGTCTTACATGAAAGGAGCAAATAATTGTTCTACCTGGAATGTCCGGGCCCCAATTCACAAATGCATTCTTACCTTTTGAACTGAATAATGATCTCTTTCCCAATAAACTGTTCTAAGACAAAAAATCTGAAAGGAAAATTGTTGCACACACATCATATTCTTATATTCTGTATTTTCTGGGACAGTCTGTTTCAGATTAGATGATGAGTCCTAATTTAGGTTTGCAAAATATTATCAAGGCAAATCTTTATGAAGATTTTATTGAGATATTATTTTATAACAAAAAATGGGATAACTGTAATGTTCAACAAAAAGATTGGTGGTAGAAGGAAGGAAGATGTTGGAGTGTTCAGTAACCTTACCCCAGAATGCTGCAGTACAAATTCTGTGAGAAGTCATTCTTGTGTAGTAGAGGCATTCGTTTTTCTCCTAACATCCCTTCTGAAAATTCCCTTTTACTAGTCAGCTCTTAGCTTCTTGGAAGGAAGGCCCTTCGTCTAGGACAATGTTCATCTCACCACATAAAAATTCACAATTCATGGCACGTTAGTTCAATAAAATATTATGCTTTCTATGAATGATAATTATAAAAACTTGCTATAAACAGGAGCGAGTTTAACATTAAATCACATGAAACAGACATATTAACAAAAATAGATACATTAGAGCAATTGAATTATAAATGCTTTTTTCCTTCAAAAATTTTCCTTCATGTTATTTTCACATTCTTTTAGCAGCAAATGACAATGGACTGCCATTGATTTTATTTTATTTTTTGAACTTAAGTAGTGTATCCACAAGTATACCATTGCCCTGTCCAATCTTTAGGGGAGATATTCTATTATCTAAAACTCGGTAAATTGACCTATCATGTTGTTGGTGATATCTTATTTAGGTAAAAATATTAGGTATTTAGAATAATGCATTTCTGAATATTTTGACTGATATTATTATAGATGGATTTAGAATCTGCCCTTTAGGGGTGCAGAAGGAGGTAATGTTTGGATATCATTAGGCTAGAATATTTTATTGTCCTACAAAAATGTTGATAAATTGCTTATAAGGGCTTATGTATTAGTAATGACCATGTCACCAAAATAATAAACCCAAATATGATAAGAATCACAATCAGAAAATATAGTTTTTCTTCTTTTATTTACAACCAACCAAACAAAATAACATAGCTATAATTTTGTCAATCTCAGAACAATAAATTTAAGTAAAATAGAACATAAAGAATTTTTATCACAGATGAATCAGATGGAAACTATCCAGAAAACACCCAAATATGTGTATTCCTCAGTTAATACTCAGTCTAGGTGCCAAAGGGAAACCACACGCTTCCATTTATCTATATGATTTGGCAACTTTAATTTGTAAGGGGTCCAACAGGTGTTTAATTTCATAGGCTGATATAGTCAATATCACTAGGTCCATATTTTTTAGATTTCAATAACTATATAATTCTGATTTCTCTTTGTTAGACTGTACTGATCTGATCATGGAGGAATAATCTAATATGCCTTAGATTATGTTGGAACTCCCCAGAACTTTCCTCAGGGCTGCCTTTATCTCCTTATTCTGGAGGCTATAGATAAGGGGATTGAAGAGTGGGGTCACCATAGCATAGAACAAAGTTACAATTTTCTGCATCCCCGTAGAATGTCCGAGTCCTGGGCTCACATACATGACCATAAGAGAGCCATAGCACAGTGATACCACAGCCAAATGAGACCCACAGGTAGAGAAGGCCTTATGTCTCCCAGTGCTTGAAGGCGTACCCAACACAACTTTCAGGACAATAGTATAGGATCCAATAATAAAGAGGAAGTTACCAAAAATAACTAATGAGCTTAGAGTGTAGCAAAACAGTTGGATTCTTGGGGCAGAAACACAATCCAATGCAAATAGTGGCCCTGGGTCACACACAACATGGTCAATAATGTTTGGGCCACAGAAGGGCATCTGAGAGATGAGAAAATGGGGATCAGGAACCACAGAAAGCCACAAACCCAGCACAGTATGACCAGTTTGGCACAGAGATGCCCAGTCATGATATTAGGATAGTGCAAGGGACGGCAGATAGCAAGGTACTGATCAAAGGCCATCACAGTCAAAAGCAAGCATTCTGATGTACCCAAAGAGAAGAAGAAATAAAACTGGAGAAAACAATCCAGCAAAGGAGATGTTTGTTTTCTCTGAAAGGAAGTTGACCAACATCTTGGGAACTGTAGAAAAGACATACCATATCTCTAAAAAGGAGAAATCTCCCAGGAACATGTACATGGGAGTGTGAAGTCGCCGGTCACACCACAGGGCAAAAGCAATGGCTCCATTCCCTGTTATAGTCAGTGCATATATTGTAGTAAAGAGTGAGAAGAGGAAGATCTGAATTGTCCACTCACAAGAGAAACCTTGGAGTATAAATTCATTTACAAAAGCAAAGCTGGAATTTGGCTCAGAGACATTCATTAGGCCAGTGACCTGCAAGGTCAAGGGACACATTATCAGTCAGGACTCTTTTATAAAATGTGTTCCTTTTTTAAGAATGAAGAGAAGATAATGAACATGAAGTCATTTTTCAAAAGAATAATTAGGAAGAGAATGTAGTTTACTTTTTCTCGGCTATACAGTATATGAGTTTTGGGCTTCGTAGGTAGCTGATTGAACAAAAACAAACTTCTGCCATCTTCTAAATCTCTCCTTAATATGCAATCGTGATAGAACTAGGTAAAGTTAAATTCCTTTTGTAAGGTCATTATTTTGAGACAGAAATGATTTAATATAGTTTCTGGATAGCATACAACTCAAAGTTAGTACTTTGAGAAGGCACAAATGTGTTAGTTTCTTATTGCAAACCCAACTTATGGTGCAATAGACTCAGTAAAGAAAGTTTTGACCATTTACATTTCAGCTAAACATATTACTTAACATTATTTACATATGCAAAAGAAATGCACATATTTTAAAATAAATTGGTAGCAATCACGTTAAAGCCATTATCTCTGAATTTCTATTGCTGCTGTTGTTAGCTTAAGTGATTATCTAATGTTACTCACCAATATTGATTTTTAATATTAATATTGTAAAGCTGCAATGTTTTCTGTAGAAAGCAAAGGCTTTAAGCTTCTGATTAATCTTTTACCTTAATTTCATAAACTGATATAGTGATTATTATATTGATAAAATCAATATAATATTGATTTAGTCATTATGTACAAAAGTTTGCAAAGATCTAGACATTAAACTTTACTTTTGAAGGCATTTCATAAAATTTTGAGATTGATTTTCCTTATATGCTTTTTTTAAAATTGAAAATTTTTACCAGATGACAGAAATCAAACACTTATTTTGTTATAGGTAAACTTCCTTCTTCCTACATTCTTATAAAAATATATTAGGGATTTGCGTTACCTGGAAAAAAACTTTTCTTTTCCTCAGAAATATGGAGGGATGTGAGTCCTAGATGTCAAGAGGACATTTTGAGCAGAAACACAAATTTTCAAAAGTTTTTCTTCCAACTTGCTCTCTACACCAGTGCTCTGGGAAGTCTTTTGGTATGACTAGTTAGAAGTTATGTTTGTGCTTCTTTTAGTAATATATGTCTCTTTAATAGGCTTCCAACCAGAATCATTAATAAACCAACATTAAGAAATTATGGAATGAAAAGGGATTGACACAGGAGTGTCATGATTCTCAGCAGTGCTCAAAAGGTGAAGCCATCAACGTTTTGACAGGAACCAAATCTCTAAATGATTTATTTTATAAATCATATTATGTCTCCAGCTAGACAGAGTTTTATGTGACCCCAAAATTAAAAATGCACTTTATGAAACTCACATTCTCCTGGGATGTAGCCTCTATAGCATTAGGAAAGTTATCTTCCAAGATGAATCTTTAAAAAGTTAATGATTACATATTCTCTGAAGAATCAGTAAAGAGTAATGACAACTATTCTAAGGCATCATTATTTACAAAGAGCTTGCCCACCAGACGGATTCCAGAAAATCTTCTGGAAGACAAAGTCTGAGGAGAAATAAGATACCAAATGTTACCAAAACTTTTGACATAATGTTTAGGAACATTTCAAGTGTTACTGTGCATATATTGGAGGATATACAGCCCAGTGAGGAAAATACTGAGGTTCCAACATTGTCACACATTGAACAAAAACTTACAGAATTTAGAAATAACTTTTAGAAGGATGGCACTTTTTTGCCAGAATCCTTTAGATATGAGAAGAAAGTATAAGAAGTAGCAACATTTAAGTTAATTAACAGAAATACTTCAGAGGAACATGTGACTTCCCAATTAATAGAGAGAAGTATTTACTTGTATTTATTAGTATCTCTTCTATTTTTACTTTATGACATTTAGGGGCCAACATAGCGTAACTAAACACTCATGTGTGAGTGAATGCTCATACCAAGTGCTGTGAAGTAGTTGAGGACATCAGGGATGTATGCCCTAGGACCACAGACATCTGTCTAAAAGCAAACTTCCACTTTGAGAGACTACAGAGGAAAATGTTTATTCAGACCTTTATTATCACTTAGTCATAATACTTAGAAACTTCTAAAACATAGCTTTGATATTCTCGTCTGCTCAAAAGCTGTCAATGATTTCAAGTTCCCAAGTTCTCCACAAATTGACTTCAAATGACTTTCTTGGTGTTATTTTTCCCTACTCTCTTTTGCAGATAAATTAGACAGTAGACAGCATTTCATTCTCTGAATAGCTTCAGTTTCTTATGTTCTCTTCTTTGTGATCATTTTCTGTATTTGGAATTCTATTTATCTCCATCTACATCTGTACAAACCCTCCTTCAAGGTCCAGTTCAAAAGACATTTTTTTTTCCCAAAATGTTTTCCTCTCTTCCCCTAACCAAAGCACATTTTCCATTGTTGCGTGTTTTTTTTTTGAGACAGAATCTCGCTCTGTCCCCAGGCTGAATGCAGTGTCATGATCTCAGCTCACTGCAACCTCTGCCTCCCAGGTTCAAACAATTCTTCTGCTTCAGCCTCCTGAGTAGCTGGGAATGCAGGCATGCGCCACCACACCCAGCTAATTTTTGTATTTTTAGTACAAACGGGGTTTCACCGTGTTGACCAGGATGGTCTCTATCTCTTGACCTTGTCATCCACCTGCCTTGGCCTCCTGAAGTGCTGGGATTACGGGCGTGAGCCACTGCGCCCAGCCCCATCCTTGCATTTTTATTTTACCATCTTTGTGTCTTTGTCATGATACTAATCACAAGCTGCCTTATATCAGTATTCATCCATGATATTGGCTTGAAGTTTTTTTTGTTGTTGTTGTGTCTCTACCAGGTTTTGGTATCAGGATGATGCTGGCCTCATAGAATGAGTTGGACAGGGGTCCCTCCTCCTCAGTTTTTTTGGAATCATTTCAGCAAAAATGGTACTGGCTCTTCTTTGCATATCTGGTAGAATTTGGCTGTGAATCCATCTAGTCTTGAGCTTTTTAAAATATATATATTTTTTGGTTGGTAGGCTATTTATTACAGATGCAATTTTGGAGCACGTTATTGGTGTGTCCAGGAAGTTCCCCATCTCTTACAGGTTTTCAAGTTTGTGTGCATAGAGGTGTTTGTAGTAGTTTCTGATGGTTATTTTTTATTTCTGTGGGGTCAGTGGTAATATGGTCTTTTTCATTTCTAACTGTGATGTTTCTTTCAAAAGATTAGAATAACTAGTAAAAATTATACTTATTCTGAATATGGCTTCTAGGTGTTATTAAATGTTTACACCTTTAATTTACTCTGGTCAACAATATAAGTTACCTTTGGGGCTTTTTTCTTAATCTTGTCACTAAACCACTATACTTAATAAACAGCCTAGTTAAATGAACATGCATTTGAACATTAGACTCTAGAGAGACAAGATTAATTAACCTTTGACACAAGAAGCTCACAGTGCAACAGGCCACTGTGATAGGACAAAAGTCCTAGGAAGTCGATGTCGGCAAAATCCCACCTAAGGGCTAAACTTTAAGCTCTATTCACGTTTAGCTAATTAAGTAAATATACCACCATCCCATGCTGATAGTGATGGGCAGTCTAGTGGGAGGTTGAGTTCTACAGGGAGGTGGGAGGAGGATGTGTTTCTGCACTTTGCTTCTTCAATCAGGCACTCTGTGACTTCTTCATTTCCTTCCTCTCCTCTTTAAGCCCTGGCACGTTGGCTCAGAAGCACAAGAGGGCAGGATAATCCTCATTGTCTCATTCACACTGACTGAAGCCCTGGGCTTTGAAATACACACTCACTCCTCCCAAGCTCTACTCACTGATGCTGGGAGCAATTTAGAGCAAATGTTATCCAAAGTGACATTACCTAGATCACTAGGTTCTTTCTTTCACCCACCTCCAATCCTGCTGTTCTTTCAGTTCTAAGTCAAGGATACTACAAGTTTACACTTTGCAGGAGCCCCTGGAATATTTGAGGTTTCATACTGCACATCAAAACTATTTCTCACTGACACAATCATCTATTAAAAATTTTGTTGAATTTCTGCCATTTTAATGGCTATCTATCTGCCTTCGTACGAACTTCTTGGTATTATAGTAGTCAGTGTGCTTCCAAATTAATCGCAATTCGTTTACTTTTATTTTAAGATGAAATGTAGGCCAAGCATGGTGGCTCACACCTGTAATCCCAGCACTTTGGGAGGCTGAGGCGGGCAGATCATGAAGTCAGGAGTTCGAGACCAGCCTGGCCAACATAGGGAAACCTGGTCTCTACTAAAAATACAAAACAAACTAGCCAGGCATGGTGGCGGGTGCCTGTAATCCCAGCTACTTGGGATGCTGAGGCAAGGAGAATCATTTGAACCTGGGAGGCGGAAGTTGCAGTGAGCCGAAGTCGCACCACTGCACTCCAGCCTGGGTGACAGTGCGAGACTCCGTCTAAAAAAAAAAAAAAAAAAAAAAAAAAAGATGAAATGTAGCTTAGAAACCATTCTTCCATAAAACCAAAACCATATCTCTTTAAGAGGATGTTGGAAAATCAGCCTTTCTCATAAAGTGGTTTCCCCCACAAATTTAAACACATTACTCCATTATAAGTTTAGAGACTATTTTAAAAAACTATTATGCTTCAGCTTTTCCTGCACCTTTCTCTTTCTTGTCTCTTACTTCCTTCTCTGTGATCTGGTCCAACAATTATTGCCATGGCAACAAAGGCTCTGTGACATCTCTAGTAAGCTCATTGTCTTCTGCCGTATTAAACTTTAATGGGTAGCTGGTAGACAGTAACACTCTGGGAGGGCTCAAACCACATAACCAAATGTGCCAAGATAATCCTGAGCTCACTCATTGTCAGGTAAGACAAAGTATTTTAGCGCAATAGCAAACAATTAATTAAACAAACAAAAACAGGAAGGCTTTCTTGGGCCAGGAAGCCATTAATTAGCTAAGCTCAGAGCCACTCATTGAAACTAGGTGCTGACTGGGTTTCTGGATTTGACCACTGGGCAGAAACTAGGACCCGAAACCAATTAGAATGAAATGGTCCCCAGATATTGTTTTCATGTAAGGATAGGTTTGGAAGTATCCAGACTTAGTGGTGGGCCAGGCCTCCCCTGTGAGCAGTACAGTTCAGGACACCTGGACTGCCCTTTCCCTCTGCCTTCCCTGGGGTAATGTGAATGGCTTAGTCTTTCGTGTTCCCATCTGTAACATGGAGGAGGAAGAGAAGAGCCTCATTGCACATATTGGGTCATTAAGATTGATCTTAGAACCATAATTTACAATATTTTGAAGTTAGGTTTGATTTTTACCATTCCACTACTCCTCTCTCCCAATATGTTGTGCCAAATTGTAAGTAATTTGCAATTAGAACACATTGAAGACATATATTTGAGCTGTTAGAGAGTCTCACCTACCTTTGAGGTAACTTTTTGTACTTTAGGTTTTCTCAACTCAGAGTGTTGAGTCCTTAAATCAGTGTTGGGTACTGATAAAATTTTGACACATAAAGTTAATTGCCTAAGCTTAGTAAATGGGGGACAGGCTTGCTTATCAACAGTCTTTGCGGTGTTGTATGCTGAAAAAGCCTTGAGGCTCAGACTCAGCCCGCAGCTCTCTGCATTCCCTCCACCTCCCTTCTATGTCTTTCGTGTGTATCCTTTACAGCAATTTATTTTTGTGTGTGTGAGTTCTTTTCCTTTTTGAGATCTCTCTTAAGGTTAATGGTGTACAGTAGATATCCAGAACTTATTCATCCTTTTTAGCTGAAACATTGTACCCTTTGACAAATGTCTCCCCATATCCCCTGGGCGCAATTTTCAATAGGTAGTTAGGGAAAGCCTCAATGAAAAGGTTGGGATTTTGGGATGCTGATAATATTCAGTTTCTTGAACTAGGTACCTTTACACAGGAGTATCAGTTGATAACAATTCATTGAGAAATATACTTATGAGCAGAGATATATTTGACTGTTTGGTGAGACATTCTGGAGTTTAAGCTGTCACTTAAACCAGTTACAATTTTCCATAGGGAGCTACTCTGTCACTTGGGTCTTTTCCCAATTAAGCAAGGCTACTTTCCATGGAATCATTATCCAGTATATGAGATTAACTTGGCACTTGTTCAATATGTGCTTGCTTTATAATAGGTGATTGAATATTTTTTATTTTATATTTTAAAAACTGTATGTATTTGTGGCATACAAGATGATTTTTTGATATGTATACATGGTGAAACGATTAATTCAAACTAACATATTTATCACTTCCACATACTTTCATTTTATTGTATGAGAACATTTAAAATCTCTTCTAAAAACTTCAAGTATACTTTTGGCCCTATGTTTCCATGAGTTCCACATTCAGGCATCCAACCAACTGGATAGAAACTATTAGGACAAAAACCCCACAAAAAATACAATAAAAGCAGTAAAAATAAAAAAATACGTTATAACAACTATTTATAAAACATTTATGTTTTATTAGTATTATAAGTAATCTATAGATGATTTAAAGTGTATGGAAGAATATGCATAGGTTACATGCAAATATAAAATTACATCATTTTATATAAGGGACTTGAACATTCCAGGATTTCGGTGTCCTTGGGGAGTCCTGGAACAAATCGCCCCCCAGATATTGCAGATATTTAGGGACAATGGTATAACACATGACTATTAACTACAGTCACTATGCTGTACAGTAGATCTCCAAAACTTATTCATCCTGTTTAGCTGAAACATTGTACCTTTTGACCGATATCTCTCAATTCCCCTGGGTGGAATTTTCAATAGCTAGTCAGGAAAGGCCTCACTGAAAAGGTGATATTTGGTCAAAGATTTGAAGGGAGTGTGGGGGAAAGAAATATAAATATCTGGGAAAAGAGCATTCCAGGCAGAGGAGATGGCATGCATACGGGCCACAAGGCAGGAGCATGACTGCCATACTTGAGAGACCGTAAGGAATCTTCATCTTTTCCTCATGTCTTTCTCACCTCCAATATATTTAAATATGGCTTCCCCCCACCACACCCTTAAAATGGCCATTGCATAAATCACCAATAACATTTGTTTTAGTCCATTTTACATTGCTATAAAGGAATACCTGAGACTGAATAATTTATAAAGAAAAGAGGTTTATTTGGCTCATGGTCCTGCAGTCAGTACAAGCATGGCATCAGCATCTTCTTAGCTTCTGAAGCCTAAGGAAGCTTTTACTCATTGAAGAAAGCAAAGGGGGAGCAGGTGTGTCACATGGCAAGAGAGGGAGCAAGTTGGGGAGGGGGTTGTCCCACACTCTTTTTAACCAACAGATCTGATGGTAACTCTACTATGGGTAAAATGCAAACCCATTCCTGAGGGTTGGGTTGGATACCATCACCATCCCATGAGGGATTCACCTCCATAACACAGACACCTCCTACCAGGCACCCCCTCTGACACTGGGGATCAAAATTCAGCCTGAGATTTGGAGGGTACATTGAGTATAATGTGAGCTGTAGGCTTGTAATACATGGTCTTTATTGTGTTGAAGTATATTTCTTCTAAACCAACTCTGTTGAGAATCTTTTCATGAAACAGTGTTGAATTTTTCAAATGCCATTTCTGCATCTAATTAGATGATTATATAATTTTGGGGCTTCATTTTGTTAATGTTGTATATCACATTTATAGATTTATGTATGTTGATCCACCTTGTATCCTTGGGGTAAATCCACTTGAGCATGGTAAGTTATCTTTTTAATGTGCTGTTGAATTCAGTGTGCTAGTATTTGATTGAGGATTCTTGCATCTATGTTCATCAGGGATATTGGCCTGTAATTTTTCTTTTCTTTTCTTTTTCTTGTTCTTGGCTGACTTTGGTATCAGAGTAATGTTGGCCATGTAAAAAAAGTTTGGAAGTGAAGTATTCCTTCCTCTTAGATTTTTTTTGGAAGAGTTTGAGGATTGCTAATTATTTAAATGTTTGGTAGAATACAACAGTAAAGCTATTCTGGGCTTCTCTTTGATGGGAGACTTTATTACAATTCAATCTTACTCATTTTTGGTCTGTTCATACTTACTTTTTCTTCATGATTCAGTCTTGGTATCTTGCATGTATCTTGGAATTTATTTATTTCTTCTACTTTATTCAATTTGTTACTGTACAATTTTTCATAGTACTCTCTTATGAGCTTTTTTTTCTTATGAGCTTTTATATTTCTGTGGTATCAGTTGTAATGTCTCCCTTTTCACTTTTGATTGTATTAATATTTGAGTCCTTTCTCCTTTTTCCTTGGTCTGGCTAAAGGCTTGTTGATTTGTTTATCCTTCTGAAAAAACACTCTTTATTACATTGGGTTCTTTTCTATTGTAGTTTTAGTCTCTATTCTGTTTATTTCTATTCAGATCCTTGTTATTTCTTTCCTTCTGCTGACTTTGGGTTTAGTTTGTTCTTTTTTTATTAGTTACTAGAGTTGTAATATCAGGTTGTTTATTTTATATTTTCCTTTTTAAATTTTTATGGGTACACAGTAACTGTATATGTTTTTGGGGTACATGAAATATTTTTCTATGGGCATACGATGTATAATAATTACATCACGGTAAATGGGGTATCCATCACTTCAAACATTTACCCTTTCTTTGTGTTACAAACAATGCAATTATGCTCTTTTAGTTATTTTTAAATGTACTATAAATTATGTTTGGCTATAGTCACCTTGTTGTTCTATCAAATACTAGATCTTACTTATTCTATCTAACTGTATTTTTATGCCGATTATTCATTCTTCCCCTTAACCCTACTATTCTTCCATCTCTGGTAACCATTACTCTATTCTCTATCTCCATAAATCCAGTTATTTTAAGTTTTAGCTCCCACAAATAAGTGAGAACATGGAAAATTTGTCTTTCTGTCCCTGGCTGATTTTATTTAACATAATAACCTCCAGTTCTATCCATGTTGTTGCAGATAACAGGATCTCATTCTTTTTCATGGCTGTATATTACTCTATTGTGCATATTAACCACATTTTCTTTATTTATTCATCTGTTCATGGACACACAGGTTGCTTCCAAATCATGGCTATTGTGAATAGTGCTGCAATATGCATGGGAGTGCAGGTATCTCTCAGATATCCTGATTTCCTTTCTTTCGTGTATATACCTACCAATGGCATTGCTGGGTCATATGGTAGCTCTATTTTTGTTTTTTTTTTTTTTTTTGAGAAACCTCCAAACTGTTCTCCATAGTAATTGTACTAACTTACATTCCCACCAATAGTGGGTTCCAATTCCCCACATCCTAGCCAGTATTTCTTACTGCCTGTCTTTTGGATATAAGCCATCTTAACTAGGGTTAGATGATTCGTCTTGTAGTTTTGGTTTGCCTTTCTCTGATGAGCAATGATGTTGAGCACTTTTTCACATGCCTGTTTGCCATTTATATGTCTTCTTTTGAGCAAGATCTTTTGCCCATTTTTAAATTGGATGATCAGATTTTTTCTGTAGAGTTGTTTGAGCTCCTTATATATTCTGGTTGTTAATCCCTTGTCAGATGGATAGTTTACAAATATTTTCTCCTATTTTATGATTGTCTTTTCAACATCAATTGAAATGATCCTGTGGTTTTTGTTTTTAACTTTATGTGATGAATCACATTTATTGATTTGCATATGTTGAATCATCCTAGCATTTCTAGAATAAAACTCAATTGATCATGGTGAATTAAATTTTTAATGTGCTGTTGGATTTATCCAACACAATATATATAGATATATATAGATATATATAGATATACATATATATAGATATATATAGATATATATAGATATACATATATATAGATATATATAGATATATAGATATATATAGATATATATAGATATATAGATATATATAGATATATATAGATATATATAGATATACATACATATATATATATATATATATATATACATACATATATATAGATATATATAGATATATATATCCAACACAATATATATAGATATATATATAATATATATATATAGAGAGAGACTGGTTATTCACCTGAGGCCTGATGCGCACCTGGGGCCGAATGTCCCCCTCAGGGTGAATTCCACCTCAGGCCTGTACGTCCACCTGGGGCCTGATGCCTGCCTTAGATCTATGTCCCACTGGGGCCTTGTGATCACCAGGGACTGGTATCCAGCTGTGGCCTTTTGATCTACTGCATCCTGTTGCTCACCTATGGCCTGGTGTCTACCTGGGGCTTGGTGATCACCTGGGAGCCAGATATCAACTTGGGGCCTGGGTGTCCACTTAAGGCCTGATGTGTGCCTGGGGCCTGATTGTCCACCTGGGGACTGGGTGTCCACCTGGGGCTGATGTCTACCTGAAGTTAGGTATCTACCTAAGGCTTGGTGTCTACCTGTGGCCTGATGTCCACATGAGTCTGGGGTTCAGTTGGGGCCTGCTGTACATCTGGGACCTTGGTGTCTATCTGAGGCCTGATGGCTCCCTGGTGACTCCTGTCCTGTGGTACCTGGGGGGGGGGGGCTTCTGCCAAATGGCCAGAGGCATCTGGGGTGAGGTATGAGCCTACGAGGGCGTCATCAGCAAAGAAAGGCTCTCACTTCTGCCATTCCTGAAGCCAGAGCCTGGAGATGTGGGGATGCAGCACAAGAACATCTTGCTCTCTTGAGTGTCTCCCACCAAGTGAGCTGGCTACGCGGCTAACTCTAGGATGTGGGTGCCTGGTTATTGGAATTCTTTTCTTTTTTTTTTTTTTTTTTTGAGACATAGTCTCATTCTGTTGGCCAGGCTGGAGTGCAGTGGCATGATCTCGGCTCAGTGCAACATCCGCCTACTGGGTTCAATCACTTCTCCTGCCTCTGTCTCCTGAGTAGCTGGGATTACAGGCATGAGACACGCACCACCACACCTGGCTAGTTTTTTTGTGTTTGTTTGTTTGTTTGTTTTTTGGTTTTTTTTGTTTGTTTTTTTTTTTGAGACAGAGTCTCGCTCTGTCCCCCAGGCTGGATGGAGTGCAGTGGCGAGATCTTGGCTCACTGCAAGCTCTGCATCCCGAGTTCATGCCATTCTCCTGCCTCAGCCTCCTGAGTAGCTGGGACTACTGGCACCCACCACTACGCCCGGATAATTTTTGTATTTTTAGTAGAGACGGGGTTTCACTGTGTTAGCCAGGATGGACTTGATTTGCTGACCTTGTTTGTTTTTTGTATTTTTAGTAGACATGTGGTTTTACCATGTTGGTCAGGCTGGTCTCGATCTTCTGATTTCATGATCCTCCTGCCTCAGCCTCCCAAAGTGCTGGGATTACAGGTGTGAGCCACCGTGCCTGGCCTGGTTACCAGAATTCTTAGTTCTGTTAGGGTCTGTTGGCAAGGAAGTGAGGTCGCTTCTTTAAGTTTCCATGCCCTCAGCCTCCTCCTTCCAGAAAACCTTCTCAGGACCCCAGTGGGCTGCTGACTGCTCACCCTCCCCACAGGTCAACTCCTTACCTGTACACAGTTATGTCCACCCAGGACCTGCTTGGACACCTGCACCTGATGTTCACCAGGGGCCTAGGAATCCACTTGCAGCCTGGGATCCTACAGGGGCCTAATGTTACCCTGCAGATTGGGTAGCCACTTGGAGATCAGGTATCAACCTGGGGACTGTGGTTGACCTGCAGGCTAATGTCCACCTGGGGACTGGTTATTCACCTGAGGCCTGATGCGCACCTGGGGCCGAATGTCCCCCTCAGGGTGAATTCCACCTCAGGCCTGTACGTCCACCCGGGGCCTGATGTCTGCCTTAGATCTGTGTCCCACTGGGGCCTTGTGTTCACCGGGGACTGGTATCCAGCTGTGGCCTGATGACCTACTGCATCCTGTTGCTCACCTATGGCCTGGCGTCTACCTGGGGCTTGGTGATCACCTGGGAGCTGGATATCAACCTGGGGCCTGGGTGTCCACTTAAGGCCTGATGTGTGCCTGGGGCCTGATTGCCCACCCGGGGACTGGGTGTCCACCTGGGGTCTGATGTCCACCTGAAGTTAGGTATCTACCTAAGGCTTGGTGTCTACCTGTGGCCTGATGTCCACATGAGTCTGGGGTTCAGTTGGGGCCTGCTGTACATCTGGGACCTTGGTGTCTATCTGAGGCCTGATGGCTACCTGGTGACTGCTATCCTCTTGAGGCCTGATATCCACCTGGGAATGGTTTATCCATGGAAACGGTTATGTCCACCTGGGGCTGGATGTTGCCCAGCGGCTAGATGTCCACCTGTGGCCCCGTGTCCACCTAGGACCTGATGTCCATCTGTGGCATGGTGTTCACCTGAGACCGGGTGTTTACATAGGGCCTCATGTCCAGCTGGTGCCTAGGTGCCCACCGGGGGCCTTGTGTTAACCTGGGGACTGGTATTCAGCTGGGTCCTAATGACCACCTGGGTTGAATTATTCACCTAGAATTTGGTATTCATTTAGGGCTTGAGTGTCAGCCTTGGACCTGGTGTCCACCTGGGCCTTGGGTATCAAACTAGGGGTTTGGTGTCCAGTTGAGACATCATGTGCACCTGGGGTCTGAGTGTTCGCATGAGGCCAGATGACCACTGGGGGCCTGAATGTCAACCTGGTGTCAAATTCACTGTGAGCCTAGGTATCCACCTGGGGCCTGATGTCCACCTGGGACTAGGTGTCAACATGTGGCCTGATGTAAACCTCTAGTTCAGTGTCCACCTTGGGCCTGATGTCCACTGGGGGACTGATGTTCCCCTTTGATCTGATGTCCACCTGGAAACCGTGTATTCACCCATGGCCTGATGATCACCTGGGGTTGAATGTCCAACTGTGGCCAGATGTGCACCCGGAACCTGGGCATCCACCTGGGGCCTGATGTTTAGCTGGGGCCTGGAGTTCACCTGAGGCATGATGTCTACCTGAAGCTTAACGTTCATCTGAGTGCTGGATGTTCACCTGGCGCCTGATGTCCACCTGGAGCCTGAGGACCCTTCTCAGGCCTGATGTCCACAATTGGCCTGGTATTCATCTGGGGCCTTCGTGTTAATGTGGCCTAATGTACTCCTGGGTTCTAGGGTCCTCTTGGGACCTGATGTCTACCAGGATCCTGGTATCCACCTGGGGCCTGGTATCCACCTAGGGCTTGATATTCACCTGGGGCCTAGGAATCCACTTGATAACTGGTGCCCATCGGGGTCCTGATGTTCACCTTGGGACTGGGTAACCACCTGAGGCCTGATGTCCACTTAGGGTATAAGTGTTTATCTGGGGTCTAGTGTTCACATGGGGCCTGATTTCAACCTTGGGCCTAGGTATTCACCAGGGGACTAGTGTCCAGCTGGGGCCAGATGTTCACTTGGGGCCTGGTGTCAACTTGAAGCATGGTTGTCAACCTGGGACCTGATGTCCAGTCCAGTGTCCGCCTTGGGACTGTTTTCTACCCAGGGCCTGTGTGTCCACATAGACCCTGGTGTCAATGTGGGGCCTGGGTATTTACCAGGGGCCTGGATATTCATTGGTACATTATGTCTACTGGGGTCTTTGTGTCAATCTGAGCTCTGATGTCCACCTAGAGATTGGGTATCCACCTAACGGTGTTTACATGGGGCCTGTAACACGAGGTTCCAGATGAACTCAGATGTCCACCTGAGGCCTCATGTCCACCTGAGTTCTGAGTGTTCACATAGGGCCTGCTGTCAACTTGGAACCTAAGTATTTACCTAGGGCCTGGGTGTCCACCTGGGGCCTGACTTCCAACTGGATCTTGTGTCAACATGGGGCCTGATGTCCACTTTGGGCCTAGGTAACTTCCTGACGACTAATGCCCACATGGCTCCGAAGGACCATCTGAGGCCTGGTATTAATTTAGAGACTGGTATCCACCTGGGGTCCAGGTATCCACTTGGGACCTGATGTTCACCTGGAGTGTAGGAATTCACGTGGGCCCTGGTGTCCACCTTGAGTGTGTGTATCCAACTGAGTGCTGGTGTCCACCTGGAGTCCAGTGTATACCTGGGACCTGATGTACATATGGGACCTGGGCATCCATCTAGGACCTGATGTTCACATAAGGGCTGGCATTCTCCTGGCCTGGTTCCCATATGGAACCTGGGCGTACACTTGGAGCCTGATGTCCCAGGTGGATCGCTGGGCCCCAGTTGTCATCAGATCCTAGGAAACTCTCAGGCCCCAGGTGCACATAAAGCTCCAAGTGGCCACCTAGGCCACAGGTTGATACACAGGGTCCAAGTGGACACTGGGTGCAAGATGAACACCAGGTCTCTGGTGAACGCCAAGCCTCAGGTGTCTACCTAGTCCTCAAGTGAACACCAGGCACTAGATTGACACACAGGTACCAGGTGGATATCAGGCCACAGGTGAACACCAGGCCCCAGGTGGTTGGGTTACTTATAGCATAGGTGGCCATCAGGTCCCAGGTCTATAGCCACTCCCCACCTGAAAATCAGGATCCAAGTGGATACCCATGTCCTAGGTGAACACCAGGTTCCAAATGAACATCAGGCTCCAAGTGAACACACAGGCCCCAGTTCAATACCAGCCTCAGGTAGACATCAGGACCCAGGTGGACCCCAGGCCCAATGTGCATGCCTAGTCTCTTGGAATACATCATTTTCAAGGTGGACACCCAGATTCCTGGTAGACCTCTGGTGCCAGGTGGATATCTGGCTGCAGGTGGACATCAGGCCACAGGTGGAGACCCAGTACACAGGTGTAAATCAGGCTCCAGTATTTCATCAGGCCCCAATTAAACACCTGACTAAAGGTGTGCATCAAGACCCAGGTTGACACCCAGGCTTCAGGTGCACACTAGGCCCAAAGTGTACACCCATGCCCAGGTGGGCATCAGGCCCAAGGTGTACACCAGACCCCAAGTGGACATCAGGTTCCAGGTTGACACCAGTCTCTAGGTAGATCCTTAAGCCCCAATTGGTCATTAGGCCCAAGGTGGATACCTTGACCCCAGGGGGTCACCAGGTCCCAGGCAGGCCTCAGGTGGACACTAAGCCCTAGGTTAACACAAGGTGTGAGCTGGTTTCAGCCCCCATGTGGGCTTTAGTCATAAGGAGCTTACCTAGGCCCTAAGTGGACATCAGGTCCCAGGTTGACACAATGAACCATGTAGAAGTCAGGCTCTAAGTAGACACCCAGGCCCTAGGTAAATACTTTGGTCCCAAGCCATCATCAGGCCCTATGTGGACACCCAGACTCCAGGCAGATGTCAGGCCCCAGGTGAACACTGAACTCAGGGTGGTCTTCAGGCCCTAGGTTGACACATAGGCCTCAGGTAGACAACAGGCATAGGTGAACTTCAGGCTCCAGATGAATGTCAGGCTCCAGGAAGAAGTCTGTGCCCCACTTAAACACCGGGTCTTAGGTAGACATCAGGCCTCAAATGGATGCCCAGGCCCCAGGTGGATATCAGGCCTCAGGCAAACACCAGGCCCCAGGTAGACATTAGACACGAGATGGACACTCAGGCCACAAGTGAACATCTGTCCCCAGGTGGACATCCATCCCAAGGTGGACATCAGGCCAGAGATGTACACCCAGGCCCCAGGAGAACCCCAAGCCCCAGGAGGACACTCAAGGGTCAGAAGGACACCCAGTCCCTAGGTAACTACAAGGCCTCAAGTGGACATGATGTTCCAGATGGATATGAGGCCCCAAGTGGATACTAGGCCCAGGTGGACCCCAGGTCTCAGGGGTACACCAGGCCCCAGAGGAACACCAGACCCTAGGTAAGCATGCAGTCCCAGGTGGACATCAGGTTCCAGGAGGACACCAGGACCCAGTTGGTCATCAATCCACAGCTGAACACCAGTTCCCCAAGAACACCAGTCCTCAGGTGGGCACCTAGTCCTCTCGTGTGCATCAGGTGCCAGGCTGACATAGGCAGCAGCTGAACTCTGGGCCTCAGGTGAACATCAGATCCCAGGTTGTCACCCAGGCCCCAGGTGAACACCAGGTTTTAGGTGGACACGAGGTCCTAGGTGGGTGTCTATGCTTCTGGTGAACCTCAGGCCCTAGTGGACACTCAGGCCCTTTATAGACATCTGGCTCCATGTGCACTCCCAGGGCCCAGGTAGACATGAGGCCCCAGAGGAACACCAGTCCTTAGTCACCTAAGACTGAATTCCCCTAGGCCTGGAGACTGAGTATTCACCTTGGGCCTAGGAATCTACCTGGGCCAGATGTCAATCTGGGGCCTGAAGTCTACTCAGGTTCAGCTGTCCACCTAGGGCGGGGTGTTTTTCTGGGACCCAGAGTCTACCTGAAATCTTAGTGTCAACCTGGGGCCTATGTGTCCACTTGGAGTCTGACGTGCACCTGAAGACTGAGTTTTCACCTAGGATCTGATGAGCACCTGGGGCCCAGGTTTCCATCTGAAACATCAGGCTCTAGTTTTACATCTGAGCCCCAGGTATACACTAGACACCAAAAGAACTCCAGCCCCTATCTTAACATGAGGTCCTAGGTGGATGCCCAGGCCTCATGTCTACATTAGGCCTCAGGTAGACACGACTCCAGGTGGGCATCAGGCCTGATATTGGCTCTATGTCTCCACCCAAATCTCATGTTGAATTGTAATCCACATGGGTTGAAGAAGGGGTCTGGTGAGAGGTGATTGAATCATGGGGGCAGACTTCCCACTTGCTGTTCTCATGATAGAGTTCTTATGAGATCTGTTTGTTTGAAAGTGTGTAGCACATCCCCCTTCTCTCTCCCTCCTCCTCCCCCATGGTAAAAAGGGCTTGCTTCCTCTTGGCTTTACATCATGATTGTAAGTGTCCCGAGCATGCCCAGTCATGCTCCCTATTAAGCCTGAAGAACTGTGGGTCAGTTAAACCTCTTTTCCTCATAGGTTGCCCAATATCAGGTAGTTTTTTATAACAGTGTGAAAATGGACTAATACAAGGTCTTAGGATAACAACCATGCTTCAGGCCATAGGTGGACATCTGGCTGCAACTGGACACTATTCCCCAGGTGGATACCTAGGCTCAAGGTTGACATTAGTCCCCAGGTAAACAACAAGCCCCAGGTGAATACCTATGCCCTAAGTAGACATCAGGCCTCAGGCTGACACTCAGTCTAACCTCAACATTAGGCTCCAGGTGGACACCCAGACTCCAGGTGGATACTAGACCCCAGGGGTACACCAGACTCCTGGTAGGCATAAGGCCCCACGAGGACACTAGAATCCAGGTGTACGTAAGGCCACTGGTTGACACCAAGCCCTCAGATGAACACCAGGCCAACTAGTGGACATTAGGCACATGAGAATACTTGGGCACCAGGCAGGTATCAGGTCCCGGGTAAACATCAAACTTCAGGTGGACATCATTCTCCATGTAAACTCTAGCCCCTGCTAAACATCAGGCTCTAGGTGGAAGCCCAGACCCCAGGTGCACTTCTGGCCACAGTTGAACATCTGTCCCCAGGTGAATATCAGACCATGGATGCATAGCAAGTCCCCAGGTGGACATCAGGTCAAAAGTGAATATAAGTCTCTAGGAAGACATCTGGCCCCAGGTGGATACTGAACTAGAGGTTTACATCGGGCCCCAGGTTGACAGCAAGGCCCAGGTAGACAGCAGGCCCCAAGTGAAGACCATGCCCAGGTGTATACTGAACTAGAGGTTTACATCAGACCCCAGATTGACATTCAGTCCCCAGGTGGTCATGACACCTCAATTGGACACCAAGTCCTCAGGTCAATACCCAAGTCCCAGGTGGACACCAGGTCAAAGATGAACACAAGACCTAAGGTTGACACTCAAGCCCTAAGTGGACACCAGGCCCTAGGTGAATAATATGACCCAGGGGATCATTAGGACCCAGCTGCATACCAGTCCCCAGGTTTACACGAGGCCCCCAGTAGGTTCCTAAGCTCTAGTTGGACATGAGGTCTCCAGTAGACACCCAGGACTAAGGCGGACATCAAGCATCAGATGGACGTCTGGCCGCGGATGAACATCAAGCCTCACATGGATACCTAGTCCCCAGGTAGACATCAGGTCCCAGTTTGACATCAGTTTCTGGATAGATCCCTAAGCCCCAGGTGGATATCCAGTCTCCAGCTGAACATCAGCCCTTCGTGGACACCCAGGCCCCAGGTGGATATCAGGTCTCAAGTGAACACAAGTCCCCAGGCAGACATCAGGCACCAGGTGCACACTCAGACCCCAAGAGGACAACTGTCCCCAGGTTGACATCACTCTCAAGGTGTACATTAGGCAACAGATGTACACCCAGGTCCAAGGCAGACACGAGTCCCCAGTAAAACTCAAGGCCCCAGAAGGATACTCAAGCCCTAGGTGGATGCCCAGACCCCAGGTAATTACAAGGCCCCAGGTGGATACCAGATTCCAGATGAACATTAGGCCCCAAATGGATACCTAGGCACCAGGTAGACATCGGACCCCAGGTGCATCCCCCAGTCTCAGGTGCACACTAGGCCCCCAGTGAACACTGGCTCCAGGTGAGCACCCAGTCCAAGGTAGACACCATGACCCAGGTGGTCATTAGGCCACAGCTGAACACCAATCTTGAGGGAACACCAGATCCCAGGTGGGTACCTAGTCTCCAGGTGGATATTGGGCCCCAAGTGGACACCCAGCCCCCAGATGAACATCAAGCTTCAGGTGGACATCATGCCTCAGGTGAACTCCGGGTCCCAGCTCAGCTGAACATCAGGCTGCAGGTGGATGCCTAGGTTCCAGGTGCACAACAAGTCACAGTTGGACATTCAGCCCCATGTGAACATCGGGCCATCGGTGGATAAACAATCCACAGGTGGACATCAGGTCAAAGGTGAACATCAGTACTCAGGTGGACATCAGGCTCCAGGTTGACATCAAGCCCAAGGTGGACACTGAACGAGAGGTTTACATCAGGCCCCAGGTTGACACCCAGGCTCAGGTGGACATTAGGCCCCAGGTGGATACCTAGGCCCCTAGTAAACCTCAGAGTCTAGGTTGATATTCAGGCCCCCAGTAGTCTTTTGGCCCCATGTGGACACTCAGGCGCCAGGTTCACATGATGTCTTAACTGGACACCAAGGGGCCAGTTTGATACCCAATCCTATGTGGGTGCCAGGTCCAGGGTTACACTCAAGCCCCAAGTGGACACCAGGCCCTAGGTGAATAACACAACCCATGTGGTCATTAGGCCCCAGAATGACACCAGTCCCCAGGTTAACAGGAAGCCCCCAGTGGGCACCTAGGCCCCAGCTGGACATCAGGCCTAAAGTGGACACCCAGGATCAAGATGGACATCAGGACTCAGGTGGACATCTGGTGACAGGTGGACATCAAGCTTGGTGTGTACCTTGTCCCCGGGTAGTCATCAGGCCCCAGTTCAACACCAGTCCCTGGGTGGATTCCTCGGCTCCAGGTGGACATCCGGTCTTCAGCTGAACATTAGACCCCAGGTGAACACCAGGTCTTAGGTGGACATTAGGCCCCTGGTGGACATAAAGTACCAGTGGACATCCATGTTGCAGGTGGACACCCAGCGCCCAGATGGGCATCAGGCCACATTTGGACATTGAGGCCCCAGGTGGATATCAGGCCTCAGGTGAACCCTAGGTCCAACATAGACATCAGGCCTTAGGTCGACACTCAAGCACCAGATGGACTGCTGCACCTAAGTAGAAAACAGACCCCTATCTGGATATCTAAGATACAGGTATACAACAAGCCCCAGGCTGACATCCAGACCCCAGGGGGACACCATAGCCCAGGTGAACAGCAGGCAACAGTTTGGCACCAAGTACCTAAGTGAAACAAAGCCTTAGGTGATTACCAGGCCATAGGTAGTCATTAGTCTCCAGCTGGACAATAGTCCCTAGGTGGATACCTAGGCCCCAGGTGGACACTAGACCCCAGATTAACACAAAAACCAAGTAAAAAATCAAACCCCAAGTGGAAAACCAGTCCCTAGGTAAATACACAAATCTCAAGCTGACACCAGGCCCTATTTGGACACCCAAGCCCTAGGTGGACTTCAGGCCCCAGGTGAACACTGAACTCTAGAAAGTCTTCAGGCCCTGTGTTGACTACCTGGCCCCAGGGGGACACCAGGCATTCATGAACTTCAGGCACCAGCTGTACATCAGGTTCCAGACAAATGTCCAGGCCCCAGGTGGATATCAAACCTCAGATGAACACCAGGCCCCAGGTAGACATCACAAACCAGGTGGACACTCAGGCCCCTACTGAATATCCGTCCCCAGGTGGACATCCATCCCAAGGTGGACATCAGGCCACAGATGTACACTTAAGCCTAAGGCAGACCCCAGGCCCCAGGAAAACTCCAGGCTCCATGAGGGCACTCAGACCCCAGGTGGATGCATTGGTCCTAGGTAAACACATGGCCCCAGGTAAGACATCAGGCTGCAGTGAACACGGGAGCCCAGGTGGGTACCTAGTCCCCAGGTGTGCATCAGGCAGAAGGTTGACCCAGTCCCCAGCTGAACTCTGGGCCCCAGCTGAACGTCATAACCCAGATGGTCACCCAGGCTCCAGGTGAACACATAGTCTTAGGTGGACATCAGGCCCCACATGAACACCCAAGCCCCAGGTAGATATCAGGCCTTAGGTTTACACCAAACCTCAGGTGGGCATCTGGCTCCAGATGGCCATAGGTGGATAACTAAGCCTCTCCTGGATATCAGGCCCCAGGTAGACACCAGGCTCCAGGCGAACATCCAGCCCCAGGGGGACATCCAGCCCCTGGTGAACATCAGGGCTCACATGGATAAACAGTTTACAGATGGACACCTGCCACAGGTGCCTCACCTCTACTCCCTGAAACCTCACTTCCCCTCATGGGCCTTCTGTCCGACGTGGGGTACACCTAGCGGCCCCAGGCAGGTGTTGGGCTCGAATAAGGGTCGCCGGGACCCCGGGGCCCAGCGCAAGGGTCGATGGGAAGACACTTTCACTGGTGGGGGACCAAGGTCCCGCTTCTCCGCAGCGCGGTTTTTTTTTTTTTTTTCCTGCCCCAGGTGATTCACCTTTCCCTCATGGGCCTTCTGCCCGCTTTGGGTAACCCCTAGCAGGCCAGAGGCGCACCCTGGATTCGGGCCAGGGATGACAGGGTCCCCGGGGCCCAGCGCAGGGGCTGCTGAGAAGGCACTTTCGTCCGTGGGGGACCCTGGCCCTGCTTCTCTGTGGCGCGGTTTTTTTTTTTTCTTTTCTGCCACAGGTGCCTTACCTCTCCTCCCTCAAACCTCACCTTCCCCTCATAGGCTTTCTGCCCACCATGGGGTACCCCAAGAGTCCTGAAGTGCACCCTGGTCTTGAACCAGGGATGCCAGGGTCCCCTGGGCCCAGCTCAGGGGCTGATGGGAAGACACTTTCGTCCGTGGGGGACACAGGCCCCGCTTCTCCGCGGCAGGGTTTTTTTTTTTTTTTTCTCTGCCCCAGGAGCCTCACCTTCCCCTAATGAGCATTCTGCCCGCTTTGGGATACCCCTATTGGTCACGAGGCGCACCCTGGGCTCTACCCAGGGTCGCCAGGGTCCACGGGGCCTAGCGCAGGGGCTGCTGGGAAGGCACTTTCGTCCCTTGGGGACCCAGGCCCCGCTTCTCCGCGGCGTGGTGTTTTTTTTTTTTTTTTCTGCCACAGTTGCTTCACCTCTCCTCCCTCAAACCTCACCTTCCCCTCATGGGCGTTCTGTCAGACTTGGGGTACCCCTAGTGGCCAGACGCACACCCTGGGTTCGAAACTGGGACACCAGGTTCCCTGGGGCCCAGCGCAAGGGCTGATGGGAAGACACTTTCTTCCTTGGGGACCCAGGCTCTGCTTCTCTGCGGTGATTTTTTGTTGTTGTTGTTTTGTTTTGTTTTTTGCTTTTCCCCAGGTGCCTCACCTTTCCCTCATGGGCTTTCTGCCCGCCTTGAGATACCCCTAGCGGTCCAGAGGCACACCCTGGTTTCGAGCCAGGGACGCTAGGGTCTCCGGGGCCCAGTGTAGGGCTGATGGGTAGGGACGTTGGTCCGTGGGGGACCCAGGCGCCACTTCTGGGCGCCGCAGTTTTTTATTTTTTTTTCTCTGCCCCAGGTGTCTCACCTTTCCCTCATGGGCCTTCCGTCTGCCTTGGGGTACCCCTAGCAGGCCGAGGCGCACCCTGGGCTCGAGCCAGGGATACCAGGGTCCCCGGGGTGCAGCGCAAGCGCTGATGGGAAGACAGTTTCTTCTGTAGGGGACCCAGGCCCCGCTTATCTGCGGCGCGGTTGTTGGGTTTTTCTCTGCCCCAGGTGCATCACCTTCCCCTCATGGGCCTTCTGTCCGCTTTTCGGTACCCCTAGCGGCGCCTGAAGCGCACCCTGGTCTCGAACCAGGAACGCCAGGGTCCCCTGGGCCCAGCGCAAGGGCTAATGGGAAGACACTTTCGTCCGTTGGGGACCCAGGCTCCGCTTCTCCGTGGTGCGGTTTTTTTTTTTTTTTTTCTGCCCCGGGTGCCTCACCTCACCTTCCTCAAACCTCAACTGCCCCTCATGGGATTTCTGCCCGTCTTGGGGTACCCCTAGCGGGCCCAAGGCGCACCCGGGGCTCGAACCAGGGTCCACAGGGCCCAGCGCAGGGGTTGATGGGAAGGCATTTTCTTCCGTGGGGGACCCAGGCCCAGCTTCTCCTAGGCGCGGCTTTTTTTGTTGTTGTTGTTTTGTTTTGTTTTCTTTTCTTTTCTTTTCTGCCACAGATGCCTCACCTCTCCTCTCTCAAACGTTAACTTCCCATCATGGGCTTTCTGTCCGACTTGGGGTATTCCTAGCGGCCCAAGGCGCTCCCTTGACTCGAACCATGGACGCCAGGGTCGCCGGGGCCCAGCGCAGGGGCTGATGGGAAGGTACCTTCGTCCGTGGGTACCCAGGCCCCGCTTCTCTAAGGTGCGTTTTTTTTTTTTCTCTCTGCCCCAGGTCCCTCACCTTCCCCTCATTGGCCTTCTGCCCTCCTTGGGGTACCCCTATCAGGCCCGAGGCACACCCTGTGCTCGAAACAGTGTTGCCAGTGTCCACGGGGCCCAGCGCAGGGGCTGATGGGAAGGCATTTTCGTGCATGGGGGACACAGGCCCCCCCTTCTCCGTGGCACTTTTTTTTTTTTTTTTTTTCCCTGCCACAGGTGCCTCACCTATCCTCCCTCAAACCTCACCTTCCCCTCATGGGCCTTTTGTCCGCCTTGAGGTACCCCTAGCGGCCTGAGGCGCATCCTGGGGTGGAACCAGGGACGCCAGGGTCCACTGGGCCCAGCGAAGGGGCTGATGGGAAGGCACTTTCGTCTGTGAGGGACCCAGGCCCCACTCCTCTGCACGCGAGGTTTTTTTTTTTTTTTTTTTTTTTTTTTTTTCTCTGCCCCAGGTGCCTCACTAGCTACTTGGGAGGCTGAGTCAGGAGAATTGCTTGAGTCTGGGAAACCGAGGTTGCAGTGAGTCAAGAGATCACAGCACTGCACTCCAGCCTGGACAAAAGAGTAAGAGTCCATCTTAAATAAATAAAGAAAGAAACTAAAGACGTAATAGGCATCACTGAAAAAGTTGGAATTAGTTAATACAGGGAAACATTAGGATGAATGATATAAAAGAACTAAAATCAAAATGAAAATAAGTATGCTGACTCCTCACACTCTCTTTTATCTCCATGATGAAATAAATACAATTTAAATACCAAGATATGATATACCTATTAAATGAGTTTTGAGGAAGGACAGTAAAAAGTAACCATGCATCTTGTATTAATGAACCAGATAACCTATTACATATGGTTTTAGCAGTAAGATTTGATAATATATGTATTTCATATTATTTCATAAGAAATATTTAAATTATACATGGATTTTTCTAGTGGCTACTTCATCTCCCACTTCTTTTCATAGTACTGACTAGATTTTAAATTACTGATCATAATGTGTCTTAGTTCACTGAGATGATAAATAGCAAAACATTTCGAGTTTAAATAAAGGAAAGAAATTTTAAGTTTGATTTTTCCACTAAGCTGAGCTACCTTCCAATTAGATTATTTGAGATCTCACAAACAAAATAGTATCACAGCAGGACATAACCTCAGGATTCCTTTTCACATCAAAGTTTTTTACTTTCAAAACTCCAACCTTTACACAATATTGATATAAACGGCGGCAAGACCCGTAGATGGGAGGTAATGTTATAAATGTACAAATTTCTTATCTATATTTAGATTTATACTTTACATAAAGATGTTCCCAAAACAGAAATAATATTATTAGAAATACTAAAATTGAATTTCATTAATACCTAATTTAGATAATAATTATGAGAAAAAGCATGTATTACACTTCATTGTACCTTAAATTTTTCCCATACCTTCATTCACTAGATTCACCATCAATTCAAAATTAGATAACCCATGAAGGAGCTCATGTATATGTATATATACTGATGAAGCACTACTATGTTACTTTTGGAATAAAAATTAATGCTTATCTATATAACTTGCCCATTAAAATCCCCAAGCATGGCAATGTGTATAGTCAAAATAGCTACTAGAGTTCATTTTTAAATTCTTGTATATATAATTCTAAGATATAACAGTAAATTAGAGTCTGGCACATAAGGTTTTTTTAAATAAAAGAGAAGCTATAAAAATGCACATGAAATTACACTCATTAGAAGAGATTTAATTTTTACATAAACTTGGATTTGCCACTAGTTAGATTTGAGTCCTCAAACATAAACTATATATAAATAAGGGTTGATGTCAATTAATATTATGCTAGAGTTATGCCACGACAAAAGCATCATAAAATAATACCAGTCTTTATGATATAAATTATGTAATTGCTAATAAATATTATTCTTCTGAATAATTTTACCCTAGTAATTTTCTTCAACCTGACAGGGTTTCATGGACAATTCGAACCATGAGTATATGCAAATGATAAGGTCAGGATTCATATTTTACCTCAACTACATATTATAATCACTATGCTATCTTTGTTAAGGATTTTCTATTTATTGTCACAAAAGGCATTCCTTTATGGTATAACAACCTAAATGTCAGGGTTTTCTTTATTTATTGTATAAATATCTATCTGCATTAGTTCTAAAAAATGTATTAGCACTTTAAGGGCAGAACCCAAATACTGTAATACATTTACACAGCACTGAGTACATCATGTATAGTCTAAGTGTGTATAAAATACCAGCAATTGTACATGTAAAGAAAACTTACCAGACAGTTGTTTCCACTTGACTGTCATTGAGCTGCCAATTATCCAACTGGGGAAACAGTGGAAAAAGCACTTGAATCTGTCCAATTGAATGAATTGCACTATGAATTGAATGTGTTACTATCCCTTTCACATCCTATGTCTAAAAACAAAAATGTTTATTAAACTTCTATAGAATGATTTTCATCACTATTTCCTTGGTCCAAATACGTTTATAAGGGAATTAAATAACATAGTTGGAAATTTTTTAAGCCTTCAATTATAATTTTTATACACATGTAAGACAAAAAAGTGAGTACCTTTGCTAATCACTTTTAAATTTCAAATCTTAGGTCAACCTAAGATTTTTTTTTACACTAAAAATATGAAGTTAAAATCAAATGTTATTTTAAAATCAGAAATACTATTGATGGATTTAAAGACAAGTAATTTTAATGTTACAGAATATTAGTAATACAATCTTAAAGCAAAGTATGTTTTTATATCTAACAACTAACTGATTCAGTTAATTGATTTAATTTGAAAGGCTGTATAATATATAAGATAATAGGTATGACAGATTTCCTACTAAGGAGACAAGGCCAGGGTAGAGCATATTGCTACAGAAAAGATAGACATTCTTTAAAGTTTCACTTAAAAGATCTGCAAAAGCCAAAAAGAAACAAAAAGTCACAGATTTATAGATGAGCAATGTTTGATATATAAAATAAAAATATTGTTAAATTCTGACAAGAACATGAAAACAAAGCCATGATTCACCCACCGGAAGCATTAGAGCATGTTGGGAATGCACAAAAATTGATGCATCCTCTTTTGGTGATGATTCCAGGCAGAGTTGAGTATCAGTGGCCTTAGCAATTATATGTAAAGGCAATGCTACTTGCAAGTTTCCCATCATATAAAACCTGTTTATGATGTTCTGCCAAATGAATATCACTCTTAGATTTAAACTTGAAGGTACTCTGAAAAAATAAAACTAAGTTAAACAGTGTTTTTAAAAGCAACAATTAAAAAGCCAAAGTTTTAAAGCAGAGAAACATTTGCAATAAGAAAGTACTTGTGTACCTTTCATGTGTCAGGGACTATTCAGTGGTGTTACTTACTTCGTTATAGTCACTTCAATTCAATGAGAGTTAAGTTTTATTATGCCAATAAAGATGCTCAGATCTTCATTTTCTAATTTAAAGTTTTTGATTACTGGCAAAATCATTTCATTAGAAAAAAATATCAAACCTGATTTTATATATAATAGGATTGTACTTGACTACATCATAGCATAAGTTTAATTTTTCTTGTTAATACTTTAAAAAGTATTTATGTAAATAAACAGTGCCTGACACATGAATTACTTACAAAAAAGACTATCATTTGAGGCTATAAAAAGTTAATATGCAAAAATATTCATATCTTTACTAAAAATAAAATCAACCTATGAAATACCAATGCTACTCAACAATAATATCACAATATACATACTAAACTCAGAAGATAAGTTTGTTAAAACATGTTATTACTTTTTATGAAAGACAACTAAACATATGCCATCTATAACAAGAAAGGTATTGTTAGACGTGGTTAAAATTGCTCTGCAGATATGAGTCTAATAATGATAAATGATATTTAACCTTTGCAATCATCACATATCAATATTACTATTACTTTCAACTTACAACTATGAAAGCTTAATGTTAAGAAATTAAGATTTAGAAGGGAAGGGGCCAGCATGTAATTCTAAGTCTTTTGATTTATAGTCCATATTCAATGTATCACTAGTGAAATCATCTTAAAATCCTGACTCTGCCACTAATCTTTTTCAGCTTAGGAAGTCTTTTAGCTGATGTGGCTCCAATTTTCTCACTCAATGTTATAATAGGGTTAAATCAAATGTCCCAAACTCAAGTTCTCACAGGAGGCACACAGATATGCATGTAAGCGAATTTGGCCAGATGGGGACTTCCTCAAACTAGAGAATGTTTGTCCTTTCTAAAAGTGGCCCCTACTCCTCAGTTCAAGTCAGTTGTTCAATGTTGCTAGTTCTTCCATATTTTTCAAGAGAAACATGAAATCCGAATTTTTATCTAAAAGCACTATATTTTACAATTTAATTAAAACATTTTAACACTGTGAAGACCAATCATGTCAGTTTTTACTTCTGGACTAGTGTGTAGAGACTAATACAAAACTGGATGCAAACTATTAATTATTAGGCATGTGCCAAGACAAGAGCAACATGAATAATTAAAAATTTGTGTATGCTGTAGTCTGAAGTATTTCATTGATAATACTTTTTTTTTGAATGAGGAGGGTAGTGTTATCACTAGAATGCTTAAGAACTCAGCATATCTGCATTCAAAAAAACAATGACTGAATTAAAACACACAAGATATGTTGTTAAACACTAAATCAGCTTTCCGTGTCTGCATTTTACAAATGCTGAAACATTTGTACATCCCATTGTCTAGAACAAAACTCCTGCTTTCATTTTGTTCATCTTGCTTACACTGGAATTAACAAGTTTTAATATATTATCTTAAAGGATTTAAAATACCTTTGTGGAAATGTAAGATGTTTAATAAAACCTATTCTTATTTGGAAATACATTGGTCTTAGTTTTTCTGAGTCCATGATACATACCATACCCTATTTTGGTTTGTAGGAGGAAAACAAGTTTATGTAATGAAATCTAACACTTTCAGGTTAAAAAAGTGTATAATGTAATTTAAATATAAACATGGAATCCATTAAATAAAACTAATTTTCTTATCTCCCCTTCTTTGTAGTATTAGGTTATTTCTATGTCTTTAAATTTATATATAAAGGCAGATGTGCACAATGGCACACACCTGTAATCTTAGCACTTTGAGAGGCCAAGGTGGGGGACCACTTGAGGCCAGGAGTTTGAGATCAACCTGGGCAACACAGAGAGAGACCCCATCTCTACCAAAAAATTAAAAATTAGCCGAGTGTGGTGTCACATGCCTGTAGTCCCAGCTCTTCAGGAGGTGAAGTGGAAGGATCACTGAGCCCAGGATTTTGAGGCCACAATGAGTCATGATCATACCACTGCACTCCACCCTGGGTGACACAGTGAGACCCTGACTTTAAAAAACATTTAAAAAGAAAAAATTTTACATAAAAATATAAGCCTTTATATAAATATCAATATTTATTGTATTATTTCTTTCAAAAGGGTTTTCAGAGGAAGAATTGTTATCTAAAACTGTATGAATAGGACACGGATGAGAATGAAGAGTGATTGCAAATAGGCAGGTAGGATCCTTCTGGGGTGATAGAAATGTTCTAAAATTAAATTGTAGTGATGTCTGCACAACTTTGTAAGTTTATAAAAAATAATTGACTTGTACACTTAATATTAATGAGTTGTATGGCATGTAAATTACACTTCATTAAAACTGTTATAATTATTTCAAAAGAAGAAAAGAAGGTATGAATATATTTTGTACCAATTATACTCAAATGAGTAGAGTATTATGCATGCTTTTCAATACGGACCACTTCAGCATAACAAAGAAGGTGGATGGAAGCAAAGTTATACTGAGCTAAGGAAATGACTCCAAGTGGTAATTGAATCTGCAGAAACAAATGAAGAGATTCATAAATGATAAATCAGAAGATCAATATAATAAAATCTACAAACATATACTGTATCGCCTTTCTTCTCTCAGCTTCTTTAAAATACACAATTATATGAAGTAATAATTATGTCATGTTGGGTTCATAACATATACAGATACTATATGTGTAACAATGTCACAAAAAACGGAGAAAACAAATAGAGCTATATAGAAGTAACATTTATATAACTCACTAGGATAAAATTAGTATAAATCTGAGGCTGATTCCAGTGAGTTAAGATGTATATGGTAAGCCCTAGTGCAATCACTAAGGAAATGTTTTTTTCAGTGAAAAAAAATTATTTAAAAATTGAAAATGCTGTATAAGAAAATAAGCACATAATCCAAAGAAAGTGGTAAAGAAGAAATAAAGAAATAAAAAGAACATGAGACACATAGCTAACAAAAAGTAAAATGACACATGGAAACCTATCAATAATCACATTAAAGATCAATGAAATAACCAATCCAATCAAAAGGCAGAGATTGTCAGACTGGATAATAAAGTAAGATTCAATAACATACTGTTTATAGAATATTCAAAGATAAAAACATATTTAAAGTAAATTAAATGGGAAAAATATCAATAAATCACAAGAAAGCTGGAATGGCTGTGCTAATATCACACAAAACAGACTTTAAAACAAGATATATTACTAGATATTAAAAAGACATTGGATAATGATAAAAGGGCCAATCATGAGGAGGATATAGCAATTGTAAACATATATGCACCTAACAGCAGAGTGTCAAAATACGTGAAGCAACATCTGAAGAAATGAAGGGAGAAATAGACAAGTTAACAATAATAGTTGGGCACTTCAATACTCAACTTTCCATTCATAAAATCAAGAAGGAAACTGAAGACTTGAACAAAAACCAAACAGAACTAACAGACAACTCTAGAACACACCATCCCAAAGCAGCAGAATACACATTCTTCTAAAGTACACATAGCTTGGCTCAGTGGCTTATGCCTGTAATCCCAAGACTTTGGGAGGCTGAGGTAGGAGGATCACTTGAGGCCAGGAGTTCAAAACTAGCCTGAGCTAGCAAGACCCTGTCTCTGTAAAAAACTGAAAAATTAGTCAGACACAGTAGCTTGTGCCTATAGTCCCAGATACTCAGGAGGCTGAGGCAGGAGGATCACTTGAGCCCAGGAGTCTAAGGCTCCAGTGTGCTAGGACTGCACCACTGCACTCCAGCTTAGGTGACAGAAGGAGAGACCCTGTTTCCAAAAAATACGTACACACAAAACATTCTCCTGGATAGACCAAACTCAGGTCATAAAATAAACCTCAATAAATTTATGAAGACAGATATAATACAAAGTATATGATCTGTCCAAACTGGAATGTTAGAAACCAATAATATATGGGAATTTGAGGAATTCACAAATATGTGGAAATAAACACATTCCTAAATAACTGATGTGTCAAAGAAGAAATAATCAAAAGGGAAATTACAAAATATTTTGAGATGAATAAAGGCACAAATACCAAAATATATGCAGTTAAGGCACTTAGAAACTTATACGTGTAAATGTTTGTATTTAAAAAGAGGACTTCAAATCAACAACTAAACCTCCCACCTTATGACCCTGGAAGCAAAAAAGCAAACTAAACATAAAACAAGCAGAAAGAAAAAAATAAAAAGAATTATAGAAGAACTTAATGAAATAGACAATAAGAAAACAACTGTGAAAACACAATAAAATCAAAAGCCAGTTCTTTGAAAAGGTCAACACTACTAACAAGCCTGTACCTAGACTGATTAGCATATTAATATTATTATCTCAACAGATACACAAAATGTCTTTGACAGAAACTAACACTTTTTATAAGAAGCATTGAACAAACTAGGAATAGAATGGAACTTCTAACTAGCAAGAAAAAAGCATCTATAAAAAACCTACAGCCAACAACATAGTGCAATTTGTTGCAGGACGTCAGAGCATAAGAAGGGTAGGAAGGGTACGTAGGAGAGCTGCCCAGTTCATGAAGTCAGAATTCCAAAAAAGTGATAAGGCGTCTACCTGAAACAACAAGGAAGAGGCAAGTGGGTTGTGCTTTGACATAAAGTTTCTGAGTATGTGCAAGGTAAGGAAGGTTAGGTACACTAAAGGCTTCTCTGTGTAGAGATTCAGAGCCTGAAAAGGGTGAGAAGGCTTCCGCCTGGAGGAGAGGGCAAACCATCGGAGGCAGCTGGACCTAGAGTGGGGGTTGAAACTCATTCATTTGGTGTGTGGCTTGACATGTTGGAGCCTGGGCAGCCAGAGAAGGGCATCCTCACAGAGGGTTGCCTGGCTCAGTTTGTTGTAGCCTGAGGAAGATGAGAAATACGCACAAAGGGAAGCAACCAGGCAAGGGAAGGCACAACACCAGCAGGGCAGGGAGCACATTGCCTAAAGGAGTAAGCCAGGGTGGGGTGTCAAGAGTTCTAGAGAGAAGGTAGCATCTGAATAAGAGGGCTGCCCAGCAGGAGGTAAAGAAACCCGGGGCTCCAGAAGGATATAGGGAAGGCATCAGCTCAACAGCCTAGCTAAGTGTATTGTGCTAGAACTGAGGAAGGGTTAAGAGGGCATCCATGATGGAAGGTAACCAGAAAAGAAGCCAACACCTGCCTCAGGTTAAGAGGGCATCCATATGGAAAATGAAGGAAAGACTGAGAAGCTGTTTGATGCATTATAATGTAAACGCAGTAAACTGGATCTTTTTACTATAAAATATACAACAAATAGCAAAATTTTAACGGGGTCTGAGAATTAAATGGTAGTAACAAATCATTGCTAATCTCTTGATTTTATGTTACAGAATAATTATGTGAAAGAATGTTCTTGTTTGTAGCAACATAACATTCAGGAATGATGGAGCATCATGTCAGTAGTTACTCTCATAGTTCAGGAAAAAAACTGGCATAGTGCTTGTAGCTTTTCTGTAATTTTTATTTTACTTTTAAATTTAAAAATGAGAGAGAAATAAAGAAGGAGATAAAGATTTAAGAGAAAGTGAAATAAAATAAGTGATTTAAGAGGAATATTAAAGATAAGCAAAGTAAATAAACATGCATAGTCAAGTCTCTGGAGAAGAAAACCAAAGCAAGGAAACAGAAGAAATTCTAAAAGTATAGTATAAGAACAATTTCTTAAAATATGAAAAGATGCAAACTACATATGAAAGTGCACACCATATACCTGAGAAATTAACTCAGAACGACCAACACCAAGACATATCTACCAAAATTATTAGATTTAAGGAAAAAGAAAAAAAAGTCCTTTGAACATCTAACAAGACTGAGTGTCTTGTAATGGAGAAGATATTACATTGTCAACAGACTTTCAATACTAATACCTCATGCCAGGGAAAAATTAGTAGCATATTTAAGACATCCAAAGAGAGAAAGAAAAGTCAAGGATTTTATAGCCAGGCAAAATGACTTTCAAGTAAAAAATATAAAGCACCTTACAAACTAGTATCAAAATGCATTTCTCAAGAAATACTGTTTCCATGAACTCTTCCTGAGGAATCTACTACAGAAAGAGCTAAAACACAGCCAAAACACATCAATATAAGGAAATAATATGAGCCCTAAACACACAGGTACTTATAGGACTATGATTAAATAAGAGTTAAGAGAGAATGGTATGTAATAACTGTGTGTGCTCACAATGTAGATAAGACCTTGTATGAGCTTGCTGGATCTGCTATGACAAAGTACCGGAGTCTGGATGGCTTAAATAAAAGTTGTTTATTTTCTCATAGTTCTGGAGGCTGTAAGTCTAACATATGCGTGTAAGCAGGGTTTTCTTCTGAAGACTCTCTCCTTGGTTTGAAGACAACCTAACTACCTTTTCTTCCCTGTGTCTTCACATGGTCTTTCTTTTGCATGTGTCTGAGTCCTAATTTCCTCCTCTTTATAAGGATACAGTTATACTGGATTAGGACCCAATAACCAAAATGACCTCACTTAATCTTAATTACCTCTTTAAAGACCCGTCTCCAAAAACAGTCACATTTCAGGCTACTGAGGGTGAGAATTTCAATGAATTTTAGGGGAACATAATTCACCTTGTAACCTACCTCAACTATTTTAAAAATGGCAAGAGGGAGAATGAAGAGAACGCATGCAAAAACAAATTAACTGTATTTTCAGTAATTATAACAATTGGGCATTATTGATATTATTATTCTGAGGCTGTTCTTTATGTATAATTATGGGATTTTCTAATCTATTATCCTGTGTGTATTTGACAGTATCCTCAATGAAGAAAGGAGATTTAACTTCAAGTAGGTCAAGTTAAAACACCACACTCTCCTGCTTTTTCTCCTTATTCCCTTGCTCTCCTCTTTCTCCTTTGCTGCTTCCTCTGCATCTCCTCAACCTACAAACAGTGGCTTTCCCAAGGACTCATTTCTCAGTTATCTTTTTCTCTGAACTCACTTCATTGGCACGTAAATCCAGTCCTTTACCTTTAAATCCTGTCCATATCCTGCCAATGCCAAATTTCTATCTCCAACCTAGATGTCACCTCTAAACTCCAGACTTACTTCATTTTTCCATTTAGATGTTTATTGGGCATCTCAAACAACTATGCCCATAACCTATGTCCACAACCTAATATTTGATCTTCTCTGCCAAAACTTATTTCTTCATAGTCCTCCCATCTCAGCAAATGACAACTCCATCAGCTCAGTTGTTCAGGCTGAAATTCATGGGGTTACTTGCTCCTGTCAGTCCTCTCTTGCTCCCTTACCCCATGTTCACAGTGACAGAAAATCCTACTGGCACTACCTCCAAAGTATATCCAAAAGCTGACCTTTGAGAGTCTTAGATATTTTAGATATGCTTTATCAAAAATCTAATCAAGTCTCAATACTTTCCAGAGCTCTTTCACTAAATAACTGCAGCAGCCCCCTAACTAGTCTCCCTATTTCCACCTTTTCTCCCTATTTACCATAGTAACCAGAGTGATCCCTTTCAAATTGGTATCAGGCCAGTACACCCAAAACTTTTCAATGGCTGTCGCTCTCACTCAAGAGCAAAAATAAAGTCATAACAATCCTCTGAAAGCATATAGTTGTTCTCTGAATTAATCTTCTTTGACTCTCCCCCTTGCTCCTTCTGTGACAGTCACAGGAAAACATAGTCACAGTGTTCTTTAATCTGTGAAGTAAGCTTCTGCTAATGGCCTTCATTCTTGCTCTGGCATTTACCCTTAAAGCTCTTCCCCAGATATCCACTTGGCTAGCATCAACTTCCATCTTTTTTACCTGCTTTGTGTGTCTCATAGCTCTTATCACCATATACACACTATATATTTTTCTTTTGTTTTGTTATGTCTTCTCCCATGATACTGCAAACCCTACTTCTCCAAAATACAGGCAAGGGGTTTTTGTTGGTTTTGTTTGATTGTTATGTCCCTAGCATCTAGAACAGTGCCCAACTGTTTAATAAAAGAATGAATGGATGAATTAGTGAAGGCTAATTATTTGTATTTAGTTAGCATTGATGTATTTTGTTTTCCTTTCAATTGGGCTTTTGTTATCTTTAATTTGAAAGAGGGGTCTACAGCATATGCTGTGGGTAAATGAAATACCAGATACATACCTATCATTCAAGAAAAGACATGCAATTTTGACTTTGATAATTTTGTTTTAGCCATTGAATTGTCGTCAACATTCTATCAAGACACATTGCAAAATACATAACTTTTCAACTACATAGGTGCATTTATAGCCTCTCCCCAAATCTTTCTGTGAGTTATCATACGTATTACATGTATATACACTGAATCATCCAGGTTTTCTTCTTTAGTCAGTAATGAGAGTCAAATAACAACAAATTTTTAAAATTTTCTTTCAAAAGACCTAAAGAATATTTTCACTGGATAAAAAATTCTAGGTTGACAGATTTTTTTCTTCCTTTCAGAACTTTAAAGATTTTGTTCCACCTCTATGGCTTCCCTGCTTTCTGATGAGATGTGTACAGAAATTCAAATTATTGTTCCCTTATCAGTATCTAGTTTTCCTCTGCCTGCTTTCAAGATTTTCTCTTTATCTTCGGTTTTCCACACTTTGACTGTAAATGCCTACTTTGGTTCTCTTTGCGTTTATTTTGGTTGGAATTTTCAGAGTTTCTTCAATCTATAAACGTAATCCTTTTACCAAATCTGAGAAGTTTTCTATCATCATTTAGTCAAATATTTTTTCTGGCTCTTTCTCTTATACTGTGCCTATTAGACCTTTCAAAACTGCCCCCATACATCTCTATGGTTCTATTTTTTCACCCCAATCTTTCATAAGTCTCTTCAGATTTTCTATCAATCTATATTCAAGTTCATTTACTTCTCTATAATATTAATTCTGCTAATAAGCCCATAGAGCCTATTTTTAATTCTGATATATTTTTCAGCTCTAGAATTGCCATCTGATTTTGTTTTATTTCACGGCTGGTACTTCCTATCTTTTAATTCATTATAAGTAAACTTTTCTCTACCTCGCTAGTTACAATAGACCTCATGTGATATTTCCAACATGTGGGTTATCTTAGAGTTGGTATATGATGATTTTCTCTTCCCTTGAGAATAAGTCACATTTTCCTGACCATTTTTAGAATAAGTACTTTTGGATTATATGCTAAATAGTGTGACTATAACTCTGTACAATATTATGGAGAAACTTTCTGGCCAGAAAATTTCCTATAAAAGCAAAAAATGGGGATATCAGTCCATGTAGACTGACTGTTCCATATTTTGATTCCCCTCCAAAGCTTGCCTGCTTTTATTCAATCTCCACAACCCTCAGATAGATGTTATCTATATTATGTGCAGAGTTTACAAATGGTTATTTGTGAGAAGATCAGTTTGTTAGGAGCTCACCCCTCCACACAAGTATTGGAAATCCTCTGAAGTGATTTTTAATTTTGGAGGTTGTGTTATACTTTTTCTCTTATCAGTTAGAACTTTATTATGATATAGCAAATTATAAAAACCATTATGCTATCATATTCATAAATGAAAGAGAGAACTCAAAGCTAAATTTTCAAATATCTGGCCATGAAGACTAACTGCTTGCTACACGGGATTAAGAGAACAATGAGAAAATGTCTAGTAATAATTATAAAATATAAAAACTTTGTTAAAATCTGATTTGCAAGCTTTTGTCAAAGGGCCACCTCATACAGAATCTTGAAGACATTAAATAACCCCAAATAGAGATCCACAGTAAACCTATCTGGTAGTAAATTTTACTATACTAGACAAATCTACAGTGAGATTTTCTGTATTTTAAATATTTTCTGTATTTCTGTATTTTCCAAACTGAATGGTTTATTTAGTTAATAAGTCATACCCTAACTTATTTACCGTTTCCAGAAAATAACCAAGTACAGAATATTTACTGATAAGATGCAATGCTCAAAACCAAATATTCGACAGAAAAAAATTTACCTAACACTACAGTGACCAACAAGTCAAAATCATTTGTGACAGACTCTATTGAATATTTAGTTTGATGACATTATTTGAAGGTAGAATTAACTTATTTTATTAACTTCGAAGCCCATATGTTGACATGCTATCCACACTAAGCTCAGAATCATAAATTTTGTCTGACCATTACAATGAAAGAAAGTTCCATATAACTTAAGGCAATAAATATAAATACTATGTTATTATACAACACTACGTAATTTAAACTCCATTTGTGATTTATCCAAATGTCCATTAGTTATTATATTATCTACACCTTAAAAATTCCACTGTAGCCCTCCACCCCTTCTCTCACAGAGAGTGACTTTACCAAGATAATTGTGACTATAATGTGTGAACTACTCAGCTTTTCCGTCAAAACACAGTCTGATCATTTGCATTCCTCCTTCTCTATGTTCTCTGAATTTCTAAAAAGAAAAAAAAGCTTTTTAATATAAAAAAAATTTGCTGATGCCTGTCATGGTGCAATTGTACTTACAATATTTACAAATTGAGAAAATGCATGTACCTGTGGATTTATCATCCATCCCCACTTACAACAAGGGTGCAGTAAGCTGAGAACTTTCAAAACGTAATAAAATACTATCTGATGTAATGCCCAAATTTACAGGTATCTCTCTTAAAAGTTCTGACTTTAGGTACTCTACTGTGTGTTAGGATACTAAGGATACTATACTATGTCACATGAGCTGTGCACACATGATGACCGGGTTAAAAAGAATGACAAGATGACTGTTGTTAAAAAGAATGACAAGAAAGACGTGTGAAAAGAATACTACCAACTACAGAGTTTGCAAAACTGTTCAGGACACAGTTTGCTTCTTTGTGAATAGAATTACAAAATTGCTTATATTCAGCCTTTTTCCCTGATGTTGCCAGGAAGCTCCCATCAATTCTGAAATTTCACATTAGCAATCATATTGGATTTGTATCTTCTTGATATTCTACCTTTTTATATTTCATTTGTTTGCTTGTCACTGTATTTAATATCATTCTACTAGAGCTTAAAAAGACACTACAAGTATTTTATGAAACAACTCAAAGAAGTAGGAAAGAAAAGCAGGCAGCATATTAATAAAAAATGTGAATTACAAAAATATTCCTATGCAAGATCAACAATGGAAGAACCAGGATGCAAACCCAACAAAAAGACCCATGAAAGAAGAAGTAGCTGGACAAGCACAAATTCATTTCTAGAGCTAGTAAGACAAAAACAAAAATGATATGGAAAATATATGATAGCAAGTATTGTTACCTTGACATAAAAATAATAGCATTATTATTCTTCAATATTATTATGGTTATTAAAGTCACTGAGAAAAAAAGATCTTTTAATATAGGTAAATTCAAACTTTCCTCTCTCTCTCTCTCTCTCTCTATATATATATACATATGTGTGTGTGTGTGCGTATATATATATATGACATAAAAATAAAAAGAGAAATACCAATGCAAAAATACAAAGGCCAAAGAGGGACTTTTTTAAATGTTTTTCCTTTCCATAACACAATCTTCACATTAATTATTTAAATTGAGTTCAATAAATAAACCAAGCTTCCATACAAGACAAGTACTCCTTCAGAATTATAAACACTTTGAGTATAATGTGTAATTCTCTTTCAGCTCCAAGTAGTTTGAGACTTCACAATTCCCAATGTGATTTAAACAGAACCTTTATATATTTCCCTAGCCAGGTGTACTGCACATTTAAAACTAACTCATATATGTGCATGCTATATCTTACCTAGAGTCTTTGTTCTTAAGAATCAATGAATGAGTTCATATTAAGTGCCCATTTTATAGTTACTGCTGTCAAATAGCATTTTAAGTATCTGTTTTAATATGGATGGTTTGATTTCTGAAACAACCTTTATTCTCTTGAGAGTTAATACCCTAAAATAGAGAATATAGAACTATTTTTTTCTAAAGTATAGAAAAATACAAATGATCTATAAACATTTGAACAAGTATGCTTTCTGAAGTTAAGAGGGGAAAATTAACTGGTTTCTCCCTCCCACCAAAATATAAAATACAAACTTTGTTCTACAGATTACTTGAATGCACTATTCAATTATTTCATATATATTTTGAGAAATAAAAAGTTATAATAATCCTTAATCACTAAAATATTAGTCATTTCAAGGTATCTAAAATACTTTGAGAAAAATTCAATTTTGTCCATTTCAATTTAGAAAATAAAAATAGGCTGGGCACGGTGGCTCATGCCTGTAATGCCAGCACTTTGGGAGGCCAAGGTGCGCAGATCAACTGATGTCAGAAGTTTGAGACCAGCCTGGCCAACATGGTGAAATCCCGTCTCTACTAAAAATACAAAAATTAGCCAGGCGTGGTGGCATCTGCCTGTAATCCCAGCTACTCGGGAGGCTGAGGCACAAGAATCACTTGAACCTGGGAGGCAGAGGTTGCAGTGAGCCAAGACTGCACCACTGCACTCCAGCCTGGGTGACAGAGCAAGACTCTGTCTCAAAAAAAAAAAAAAAAAAAAAAACAAGGAAAAAGAAAAAGAAAAAAAAATAGTGTGTTAAAGAACTCAAAAAAGTCAGTAATACAAAACAACAGTGTGCTTCTATAAAAGCAAGGTCAGGTCCAGACATTTAACTGTCTAAAATGCCCACCCTTTTTTCAGGTTTTTCATTCCAGGTAATCGTTAATTTATTGCAAACTAAGTCTTTTACTTGATTCGAAACTGACATATATGTTAGCCCTGATTAAAATTAGAAGAGAAAATCTTTAAAGTAGTCATTTAACCATTGTTTCTAAATATTACAAAATTATCAAGAAGAAACCATAAAAAAAGAGCTTCAAATAAATTTAAGGAAAATCTTATAGAATTTTACATGTATAAGAATTAAAGTTTGCACATATTACCTTCACTGAGTTTGAAACTATCCAACCAGAATGCTATCTAAATAACACAGAAGACACAATCTTTATATTCTAGAGTAAAAGATAAAGTAGAGTAAAGTAAAATGTAAAGAAAACTTTACATTTCTTTTTTTTTTCAGAGAAAGATATGCCACTTTTATAATAGACAAAGTTAACCTGCCTTAATTATTAGGAACTCTTATAAATCAACAAGAAAAGGAAAGCTATTCATTAGAAACATGAACAGGTGGCCTAAACAAGCAAATTTACAACGAAAAAGAAATACAATGGCTTCTGAACATACTAAAAGATATTTAGCTTGTAATTGTAAATGTTTGTCTAGCATGGAGCTAACCTGCACAACGTGCACATGTGCCCTAAAACTTAAAGTATAATAAAAAAAAAAAAAAAAAAAAAAGAACACAGGCGCTGTCCAACTGCAGCCTGGTAGTAAAGTTGCCCTATTCCACTTCGTTTCTCTTCCTACATTTCTAAAGAGAAGAGACACAAATAAATACCTATATATAGGCAAAGATTTCCTGCCCAAAGACAATTTTAAGATAAATACTAGATGTATTATCATACTTATTGGTGTACTTACAATTAAAAAAGTACTCATTCAAACAATACTTACTGAGTTCTTACTACTTCAGATAACTTAATGTACTGGGCAGGATAAATTTTACTTCCTAAAGACATGAATTGGGTTCCCAAATTACTAGCTCTATGGCTTTTGGCAAATTACTTAGCATCTCTGAACCTATTTTCGTCTCTGAAAAAGGGGAATAATAATGCCTACTTTGTGGATTCCTTGTGAATATTATAAACAGATAATGTATGAAAACTATGAAGAAAAGTTCCCAATGTATTTGGCACCCATAAATAACATACCATTCACTAAACTACTATTTTAATTTTATCTACTATGTCCTCATGATGAGGTTCATTTATGCTAAAGTTGATTATTATTTACCTTTCAGAGTCATTCATTCATTCAAAAAATGGACTAAGAGCCTACTTTATGCCAAGTACCCTGTCCCAACCTTGGATCATGGATATATAAAGACAGACAACATACGCACACTCAAGGAAGTTTCACTAGAGAAACAGTTATGAGAACAATCGAGAATATCTAAAATACAGATTTGAGAGTAATAAAAGTAATTACTATAAGTAACAGGGAAGGAAAGACAAATAGAGAAGAAAGACTATCATAGAAGTATTCACTAAAAGCATAAAATGAACCATAAGACTATGCTTGAAGGATGAAAAGGAATTGTTCAGTAGACAGGGGTAAAAAAAACATTCCAGGTGGAATCTTAATATGATACAGCACAGATGCTTGATAAAACTTTCTTCAGTGTGTAGGTTTAGAAGGAAAAACAAAAACAGGCAAAGACCAGATTATAAACAGACCTTTAGGAAACTGGCCTTTGTTTTTTGCATAATGTGGTATAACTAAATAATTTTGAGTAGGAAAGTTAAACGATCAGCTTCATAGTTAAGGAAAATACCTGGCAGCAATGTGGAGGTGAGATAGGTAGGCAAGTGTGGACAAAGATAAAACTGAAAAACCACTGCAAAGGTTGAGGTAAGACACCATAAGCCGCTGAACTAAGACAAAGTCATTAGTAATTTTAAAATGAGGATGGGAATTAACTAACAGAACTGATAGGAAGTGTTAACATACAACAGGGGAGTCTAAGATGGCTTCCAATTTTCACTTAGAGGGGTAAGGGTAGCATTAACTTAAGATCATTAATACAGAAAAATTAATCAGATTTGGAGTTTACCAAGGTTTGCTTTTGGTTGTAACAATGATATATGATAAAATTAAATGAATAAATAAGTGAATGCACTGGTGAATTAATGAACTGATCTCAGTTAAGACCAGAGTACTTATTTATAAGAAAAGTAACTTTTCTCTTTCCTTGGTACATCAAACTGTACTCTACAGATAACAGACACAAGTGAGTTTTTCAATGGCTAAAAAAAGCCTAACTTTTGACCTTATATATGTCGACTAAAGAAAATAAAAATAAACTTGGAAACTAGCTGTGCATACTGATATTATGTATATATAGTGAAGTCTGCATTTAGTTTGAGACTCAAAAAGAAATTTATAGAAGAAGGACACAACCAGGAATAAGGGGAAAAAAAGATCCATATTAAGAATCCACAAGATATATATTACAAGTTGAAGATATGGAAATAAATTGAAGACAAAAAAGTACAGATGATATCAATAATAGCTAATATGTCTAGAGCACATATTACCATTAGGTAACATGCTAATGGTTTATACCCATTTTCACAAGTTCTAACAGCTGGTAAGTGGTGCAGCTGGGAAAGCAAAAGTTTTAATGTAAAGATTTCTTTTTGAAAGGCCAGTAAATCTCTTATTAGGAAGGATAACAACAACTTAGCTAGGGCATCTGTGGGAAATTAAAGAAAGGAAGAAATAAGAGAATAAATTTATTGTGAATAATGAAACACAATAAAAGCAAATACTTATGACTTTTCAAGGTTTTTGAGAATCTTCACAGAAGACTTTTTAAAATCCACATCATTCTCTGGCCCTGCTCCTAACTAGACCCTTAGTATCATTGCATATTGAGAGCTTTACAAAGGAGAATGTGTTTTCCACAAGTAAACAGTGAAGAAAACACAAAATAGAAAACGTGAGAACAAATGGGTTAAAGCGCTTTTTATTGGCTAATGACAATTTCATTTGGTTATAACTTCACTCTAATTGTTTGCATGTATATTCTTTAAACCACTGTTTCCTAAAACTGTCTGATGAGAAAGTTACCTAGAATATTCATTAAAAACACACAATCCTAACATGAAAATTATAATACCAACAATCTGTACTTCTAATCAATTCCACTGAAATTCAAAATAATTTGGCAATTTTAGCAAACAATCTTGGTCTTATCTTAGTTTTAATAAAACAGAATGTCCAGAGCAAAGGCAATTGTGATTGGTATTAAAGTAATCAAGTTGTATTAAAAAAGAAAGAATACACCATTATAACGAACGAATATATTTATTCAGATCATTGCTTTTTAAACTATTTTCTAAGTATATATTGATGAATTATTGTTAAATTGATATTCTTTAATAGAAACCACAATTACTGACATTAAATATAAAACAAATATTTTCATTAGAATCATATAAAATCTAAACAAATTTTTGAAAATACCACCCAAAATATTTTTTTTTCTGTATATGACAAGACACACATCAGATCATAAGCTACAAGAAAACAAACAAAAAAGATATGAAAAAGATATAAAGACCTCCCCCTCACCACGTTTGGATTCATCATATCTATTATGATTGTACCATTAATCACAAAGGGTAAGGCGATATTTCTGTTAGGAGGAGGCAGTGTGCCCTATAAAACGTTGACAATCTCACTGTCATATACCCAAGAAAGAACCCTGAACCTGGAAGGGCAAAAAAGCCTTAAACATGTGAGATGGGAACTGCTATGCACTCTGTCCTTGTTTTCTTTCATCTGGACTTTCAGATGGTTTGTTACTCTGACACAAAGATGGAGTCCGGTACACAGGCAGGAAAATCTCTCTAGAAAATGCCACCCGATTATGAATGAATTATCTCTTATAATTCTAATTATACAGTTGCACATTTCTCTGCATTTTCTCTTTACAGCAGTTTTTAAAATGTGTTTTGACCTTGTTTTTGCTATTATTTGGGATATTAAGTAAAGACATATTTTACGAGCCAAAACTAACAGTACAGCAACATTCAAATCCTTGAAGCCAGCATTATTAAAGCATCAGAAATTAACAAAACCTCCACTCTTAGGAAACAAGATTCAGAACTACTAGGATTAGGTGAATCTCCCCAACAAAACTATCTGTGCATTGCTTAATCTGGGGGTTTAACATTTAACTTTTTTAAAAAAGAGGCAAAGATTTATAACTCCCTAGTGCCTACAATGGTGTCCAATTCTCAGTAAATAATAAGTATCTATTGAAAGAATGCCATAGAACAGATGAGACTGAGATAATGAGAGAATGTAAGAGAAATACACGCAAGAGATCAAAGCACTGACCTTACAGAAGACAAAAATTAGACATAAAAGTAAAAAGAAAATGCAAACAAGGATAAGAGAAAACCATTAAAAGCATAGGAAATCCAGTGAAAGAGAATACTACAGAGGTCATAAAAGGATAGTTAAGAATTCTGTCATAACAAGTGAGTTATGAAAATATTTACTTTTACCTACCTTACGTGGTTGAAAATCATATTTCACACAATGCTGAAAACATTTTCCTTTGGACTTCGATGATGTGACTATAAAACAGTTGCCAACAAAATGAGCAGAGTAACCAACTCCTTTGCTAGCATGAAAACTGTAAAGACAACTGAGGATAGTATAATATCCTCTGATAAAAAGAACTAAACACCTAATGGCTATTAAACATTCCTATAAAAATAAAACTTATTTCCCTGTATGGTAGAAGGAGTTTAATATGTGTCAAATAAAAACTAAACAAAAATATAAAAGGTTTAGTTATAAGTAAATATAAGAAATTTAAACTAGGAAATAAAAGACTATGGAAGCTTTTAGTATTTCAATCTAAAATCTCAGAAATACATAAAAACAAATTAACTGCCAACAAAACCCTACCACCAAGTAGACTTTATCTACCTTTAAGGACCATTTGCAATCAGCAAATACAGAACACATTTATACAAAGTTCACATTTTAAATAACAACCTGCTCTCTAATTCTGGTATACCTTTGAAAATAGCATACAAATTAAAAAGAAAAAGGAAAAAAAAAACTTGGTCATAGTCAAGTTTGATAAATACTGCAGCTGATCGAGCAAAGCAGTACATTTTTAGTTTAAAAAATTAAAAAGATGTAACTATGAAATATAGTTGTTTTCTTCTACAGAAGCATTCCCTTAGCTGTAAATTTAATCATGAAGTAGAAAAATGTGTAATCATTGAAAAATGAAGGTACCACTGAAGTTAATATATAATCTCCCAAAATGACCACTTTGAAGTTCAACCCCATTTATGTTTGGAAGTTCAGATGCTTATTTAAAACTCGCTCTCATGTTATCCATATATAGTATTTTATAATAGAGCTTAAAAGATAGTAATAGCGCACATATTTCTGTGCTCACATTTCTGACCCAGCCATTACAAAAGGGCTTTAAATATGATTCTCTCATTAAATCCTATGGGATAAGCACTATTCCTATCCTCATTTTATAGTTGAAGACACCAAAAGTACAAGGTGAATAGTAGGTGGTGAAGCCAGAACTTGAACACAGGCAGTCTTATTTCAGTGTATTGCAAGTAGTAAATGAGTACATATGTATAAACACTTACAATGCCTAACATATAGAATGGCAATCAATGAATGTTTGATGTTCTTATAGGTAAGTATGCTGTACTGTGCATTACTGGCATACTAAAATTACAGAGGTTTCAATCCTTACAGATCAACACATTGTTAAGTTGATCAACTCATTCTAGTGGTTTTCAGTAGCAATCCATTTGGTTAAAGGAGATTGAATCCTTAAAGCCAAAAATGACTGAGCTAGTGAATGTTAATGGAATCAATATTGAAGAAATGCAAGCATTAAGAGATAATGTTCATAATGTTAACAACATTGAAACCAAGAAAGGCAAAGCATGACATTTATTACTCAGAAACATAACCACTGATATTTATAACCAAAAAGGATTTAGGTCCATTCATAAGCAGAAAAGGAATAATGTAGGACTCCTTTGAAAATAGCAATCAAATAAAATGTAGCCATTCTAAGGAATAAATGAGAAAGTAGCTGATTATTTCACCTGACTTCAAGAAACATCTGAATGGATTTATTTATTTTCCTAGACTTTATTCAAATTCTACATAAAAGATAATTACCCATTATGACTTTAAAATTAATCTGTTCCCCAAAAAGATCCTTCACGTTGCTGATAATGGCCTTTCTCAAATACAACATGGGCCTTCCATGTCAAAAATCTTCTGCATTCAGAATAAAATTGTAATTTCTTCAGGTTATACAAGACTTCCCACATGCTATGGCTCCAACAAACCCTTTCGATTTTATCCTCCTCTAGTACCCAACCCCACATTCCAAAGTACATCTAAATATACCAGCTGTTGCACTTGTTCTTTTACAGTTCCTCTTCCTATACATCACGCTGCTTCTATCCAAATCATTCTTCCTTCCAACAAAATCTCGATTATTCTTTAATAGCAGACTAATATGTTCCTCATCTGTGAAGCTTTTCTGCACTTCAACCTAGCTTGGTTTCTCTTTTCAATTGTGTCCCCATAGTTTTGAGTACCTAAATCTACAGTATCAGTTATAAAACAAGCTGTATTTGCATGTCTAGCCATCAGAGTTCTTCAAGAATAAGGAATGTAATCTACTCCAAACATAATGGCTGAAGATATAGAAAATACTCTGTAGGTGGCCAATAAATAATTTCAAAGTAGTCAAAGAATTCTAAGTGCTTGCCATGAAAAAAAGTACACATACACACACATACACATGCATGCACACATACACACTATTTCAAATGAGTTAAACCCTATACTAACCTTTCAGATTTTAGTGTGTAAGCAACTATTTCAGGCAGTTTTATTATCATACAATATAACTAGCATTTTATTATCAAACAAGATAGCTTTTCTTATCAATTTGCTATAAATGTTTAATTTAGCCAACTTCTAGTGACACTTTTACTACATTATTAAACAAAAAGTACCCCATTGAACTTAACATACTATAATACATTCAGATGTGAACAGTTAGAAGTGTTTTGGTGGCTACTGGTTCTTCCTTAGTATAATATTTAAAGTTTAATTTCTCTGTTAAAAAGCAAGACAGAGGTATTTTTCTGACATTTATTCTCTTTTCTCATATCCTTCCATCATCAAGCTCTTTTGAAAGGAAATACTAGAAATTACAAAAAGTGAAAAATTTTGTGTTATTAATATTATTACTGAGAAAAAGATAGGAGAATGAAGAAGCTTTATATAATGGCAATGTCAAAATATGAACTTCTATGGTACGATCACCCTCACTGTCACTTTTACATTTCAGTGTTGATGAATTATGTACTAGTAAACTACTATGCATGTAATTTTGGCTCATTCTCTAAACTGCACTCCATAGAGTAGCAGGCAATTTACAAAAAAAAAAAAAAAAATTAAGAGCTTAAACTCAGATATAAGAATTGAAGGATCATATGATGTTCTATAAAACATGTGTACACGTAAGTCTATATTAATAAATTCCTATTAAGTAACTCTAGAATTTATAGAAATGCTACTATTAATATATCTGTATTAAAAAGGTATTTTAAGAAACAGATGTGTGAATCTCATTTTTCACCAAGTTAGCCATCGGTCCCCAGTACAGGGGTGCTAAGTCATTATAAAAAAAGATACTTGCCACCCTGAAGGTAATTACGTATGATTTTTAATATATTTTCTCAGAAAATCAAATTTTGGGAAATATTTAAATTCAAAGCATTCTTTTTGCGATTTTGCATTCTTTTAACCCATTTTTCATTCCATTCTTTCTCATTTAATGTCTTGTTACATAAATTTTAAACATAATTAAATGCGTGAGTCAAAATGTTTAAGAGTATTCTCTGGTATCTGAACTACTTTGCAGGATCAGATATAATACTGTGGAGAGTAATATCAGCACTTTTATAATTATGAAAATGCTTTTATGTCAGAAGATACTTAAGCTGAAGATTCATGGGTTACAAAAAATAAACATTTCAAACTTTAAACTTATTTTCTGGAATGATACTTGCTCTGAAATAATATTCAAAACACTTTTCCGAAATGCATCTAGCCACACAGGAGAATGAGCATGCAAGGAGGTAGAGGGTCGGTGGTGAAAAAATTATAGATTTCAAAGTTATTGTTTGAAATAACCCAAACAAGCAAAACATTAGTATTTTTATCTTGAAATTCTTGGTGAATTTTATGTTCTAGCCCATAATATATTAGTTTATTTTAACACAAAAGTTTCTTCCAAAATGGACATGTCCAAAAGATACACCATGCTGGCGACGGGGGTGGCGGCGGCGGCAGCGAGTTCGGTTGCGCGTGGCGCACCGGGTGGGAGCGGAGACCAGGCCGGGAGCAGGCGCCACCGCCAGCGACCATGGGGAACATGTTGGCCGCCAGCTCGCCGCCCGCAGGGCCGCCACCTCCGCCCTCGCCGCCAGGCTTCACGCTGCCGCCGCTGAGAGGCGGCCTGGGCGCCGGCACCACTAGGAGTCGAGGTTCGGAACGGACCCCCGGGGCTGCAACCGCCAGCGCCTCAGGGGCCGCTGAGGATGGGGCCTGCGGCTGCCTGCCCAACCCGGGCACATTCCAGGAGTGCCACCGGAGGTGTAAGGAGCTGTTTCCCATTCAGATGGAGGGTGTCAAGCTCACAGTCAACAAAGGGTTGAGTAACCGTTTCCAGGTGAACCACACAGTAGCCCTCAGCGCAATCGGGGAGTCCAGCTACCACTTCGGGGTCACGTATGTGGGGACAAAGCAGCTGAGTCCCACAGAGGCGTTCCCTGTACTGGTAGGTGACATGGACAACAGCGGCAGTCTCCACGCTCAGGTCATTCACCAGCTGGGCCCCGGTCTCAGGTCCAAGATGGCCATCCAGACCCAGCAGTCGAAGTTTGTGAACTGGCAGGTGGACGGGGAGTATCGGGGCTCTGACTCACCGCAGCCGTCACCCTGGGGATCCCAGACGTCCTCGTGGGTTCAAGAATTCTCGAAGCCCACTACCTCCAGAGCATCAGGCCTTGCCTGGCCCTGGGCGGAGAGCTGGTCTACAACCGGCGGCCTGGGGACGAGGGCACTGTCATGTCTCTAGCTGAGAAATACACATTGAACAACTGGTTGGCAACGGTAACGTTGAGCCAGGCGGGCATGGACGCAACATACTACCACAAAGCCAGTGACCAGTTGCAGGTGGGTGTGGATTTTCAGGCCAGCACAAGGATGCAGGATACCAGCGTCTCCTTCGGGTACCAGCTGGACCTGCCCAAGGCCAACCTCCTCTTCAAAGGCTCTGTGGATAGCAACTGGATCGTGGGTGCCACGCTGGAGAAGAAGCTCCAGCTCCTGCCCCTGACGCTGGCCCTTGGGGCCTTCCTGAATCACCGCAAGAACAAGTTCCAGTGTGGCTCTGGACTCACCATCGGCTGAGCCCTCCTGGCCCCCGCCTTCCACGCCCTTCCGATTCCACCTCCACCTCCACCTCCCCCTGCCACAGAGGGGAGACCTGACCCCCCTCCCTTCCCTCCCCCCTCAGGGGTTGGGGGGGACATCGGAAAGGAGGGACCCCGCCACCCCAGCAGCTGAGGAGGGGATTCTGGAACCGAATGGTGCTTCGGGATTCTGAGTACCAGGGGCAGTGTGCCCAGTGGGCATGGGGTCCCAGGAGGGATTCCGGAATTGAGGGGCACACAGGATTCTGAGCACTAGGGGCAGAGGCGGCCAGACGACCTCAGGGAGGAGTGTCCTGGCGTCCCCATCCTCCAAAGGGCCTAGGCCCGCCCCGAGGGGGCAGCGAGAGGAGCTTCCCCATCCCGGGTCAGTCCACCCTGCCCCGCCCACTTTCCCACCTCCTCGGTATAAATCAAGTTTATAAGTTATGGAAGAACCAGGACATATAACAGAAAAAAACAAAAAACAACAAAAAATATACGTGGGAAAAAAAAAAGATACACCATGCTTATCTAAGGCTTTTAGTACCTCCTGTCATAGTTGCATATATGCCAGATTGAGGGGCACAGAACTAGGGGAATTTGATAAAATGCTCATTATACAGAACTGTAATACCTATTGTGGCATTTTAATTATGTAAAAGCTTAATGAAATACTACATAAAAAGATACTGTTTATTTTTCTGATAGATTTCATAGCACTCCGTGGTACTGAGATTTTCTAAAATTTAGAAAACAACATTAGTAATTATATTTGTCTACTATAGTAAGTATATTTTTCTTCTTTCACTCTTCAGGTTTTCCATTAATATAAAAAGTAAAATTTCCATACATTTCCATTTATTTTAAATCAAAGTAGTGTCAACAAATCTACATTACCTATAGAATATAAAGAGAAGTATGTGAAACTTTATAAACTTTTAAGTTATACTTTCCTAACAGACAACCCCATACCTGCTCTCATGTCATCTACAGCACTCATTTTCAGCAATACTTGTTTAATTAGCCCAACTTCTGTGCTAGTCTGTACATTCCAAACACTTTTTCATAGAATGGCTGTAAACATGCTCCCTATTTCTGCTTGACATGTTACATCACAGTGCTCTAAAAGCTCTGTCATGCGTATTATACTCTCAGCATCCTGGATAATAAAGTTCATCTCCAGTTCAAATTCTCCACCAACCAGCTGAAAGTAAACAGAAAGAAACAATAGTGTTAACATGGGAGGTTACTGATAACAGTAGAATAAAATAATAACAAGAGTTCAAATCTACTACTCTAAAAAAGTTTCAAGGCTTTTGGTGTAAAATTACTTTTTATAAAAAGTATAAGAGCTACAGATAAATGACAGGCATTGTAAGCATTGAAACTAGCGAACACTGAAGGCGTGGCCTGCCGCTCCACACCTGTGGGATATCTCATCGGGTGGGATGAGAGACTGAGAAAAGAAATAAGACACAGAGACAAAGCATAGAGAAACAACAGTGGGCCCAGGAGACCAGCACTCAGCATACCAAGGATCTGCACCGGCACCAGTCTCTGAGTTCCCTCGGTTTTTATTGATTATTATTTTCATTATCTCAGCAAGAGGAATGCGGTAAGAGAGCAGGGTGATAATAAGGAGAAGGTCAGCAAAAAAACATGTGAGCAGAAGAATCTATGTCATAATTAAGTTCAAGGGGAGGTACTATGCCTGGATGTGCACGTAGGCCAGATTTATGTTTCTCTCTGCCCAAATATCTCAGTGCAGTAAAGAATAACAAGGCAGCATTGCTGCCAACATGTCTCGCCTCCCGCCATAGGGCAGTTTTTCTCCTTTCTCAGAACTGAACAAATGTACAATCGGGTTTTATACCGAGACATTCAGTTCCCAGGGACAGGCAGGAGACAGTGGCCTCCCTCTATCTCAACTGCAAGAGGCTTTCCTCTTTTACTAATCCAACTCAGCACAGACCCTACACGGGTGTCAGGCTGGGGGACGGTCAAGTCTTTCTCATCCCATGAGGCCATATTTCAGACTATCACATGGGGAGAAACCTTGGACAATACCTGGCTTTCCAGGGCAGAGGTCCCTGTGGCTTTCCACACAGTGCACTGTGCCCCTGGTTTATCGAGACTAGAGAATGGCGATGACTTTTACCAAGCATACTGCTTATAAACATTTTGTTAACAAGGCACGTCCTTTCCTGCACAGCCCTAGATCTCTTAAACCTTGATTCCATACAACACATGTTTTTGTGAGCTCAATGTTGGGGCAAAGTGGCTGGGGCAAAGTGGCTGGGGCAAAGTTACAAATTAACAGCATCTCAGTGAAGCAATTGTTCAAGGTACAGGTCAAAATGGAATTTCTTATGTCTTCTCTTTCTACATAGACACAGTAACAGTCTGAGCTCTCTTTCTTTTCCCTACAAACAGAAATCTAATTTTCACATAAATGGGAAAGGGTGATTTCAAATCTAGTAAATCAGAGCAAACTACAGCATGTGATTCCTGGATGGGATTCAGGAAAAATTCCTAAAAAGAGGGTTTGGCCTTTAAAAGTGATAATCAACAGAAAATATAGAATTTACTAAGGATAAATTTTAAGACATGAAATTCATCTTCCTTTTTGATATTACTAGTCTTACAGATAAAGAGATGTAACTGGGGCATAATCTCCATATATAGAAGATGAAGAAACATGAAACTGATACAACTTACAATAAATGTTGCAATAATGAAATGAATGTTAAAAATAAGTTGAACAGAAATATGCAAGGTCTTGTAATGCTTTTTTTTTTTTAAGCACAAATGTGAATTGGGTAAAGAAAGCTGATTTAACAGCAACACATTTGACTTCAATATTATGGTAAATGAGTCCAAAGTCATACTGCCCCTCCCGTTTGGTATTTTAAGTACAGTAATAGACAAATACACACAGAATAAAATAACACAATAATACTCTGTTACTCTCTGTTGATCGAATCCCATAAGAACTATTATATTCAGTTATAAGCATCATTCTTAAAAAAGAACACTGTCAAACTGGATATCCTTTTGGTCTAAAGAATGATAAGATTTAGGAATAAAATAATAATCATATACAACACCTCACAAATTCAAAGTAATTAATTCCTTTGTTCATTCAATAAATAATTTATTAAGGTCTAGAAGTTACTGTTCTGGGAACTAGAATATATGAACATCCAAGATAAAGACCATGCACTAACAGTGCTAAATTCTAGGAACAAAGATTTATATGTATGTATGCATACACTACTTTATTCCAAAAAAACACTGAAGGTGGCTACAAGTTATGTAAAGCATGAAGGAAGGCATAAAATATGAGTAGATGAGAAAAGAGGAAGCAAAGGAAAACAAGATTAGGAACAGACAGGGAGTAGAATTAGGATCAAGAAGTAGAATTAATTTCCTATCACTGAAAGGTATTCGCAAATACAGACAGGTCACCACAGAATATGATATAAATAAGATAAATAGTAACAATACCACCACCTAACCTTACATGGCGTTTAGTCCTGTTTTAAAGGTTTTATATCCATTATGACACTATTCTTATCTTCATTTTACAGAGAAGGAATCATAGGCACAGAGTTATAAGTATGTTGAAGAATGTTACAAAACCGGTAAGAGACCTAGGATCCAAGCACAAGACGTCTGTCTTCGTGCAAGTTCATATAAACATTACAATCTCATTTAAGAATATTTTTTTAGGAGGGAGGTGAGACAAGACGGCAGAACAGAAAACTCCACAGATCATCCTCCTACCCCTACCACAAGGATACTAAGTTAACAAACAACTACACAGAAAAAAGCATCTTCCTAAGAGCTAAAAATCAGGTGAGCACTCACAGTACCTGGTTTTAACCTCGTATCACTGAAAGAGACACTGAAAAGACAGAAAAACAGTTCCGAGTCTCCGGTGCCACCCCTCCCTGACCCCAGCAGCATGGCTTGGTGCCAAGAGCATCTCTGGGTGCTGGTGAAGGGAGAACAGAGCAATTGTGAGGCACTGAACTCAGTGCCATTTTGTTGCAGCAAAAAGGAAAACCTGACCAAACTAAGCTGAAGTCCACCCAAAAGAAGGCATGTCAACCAGCCTCAGCCAGAGGGCAATCACTGATACCAGCAGTCCAAACCTGACTGCCCGCAAACCTCAGTACCAAAGGCCACAGTGCTCTTGTTGTCTAAGTAAATTGGAAAGGTAATCTAGGCCATAAGGACTGCACCTCATAGGTGAGTCCTAGTGCTGAACTAGGCCCAAAGACAATGGACTGAAGTGGCATGGGACATACTGAGATACCAGCTGGGGCAGCTACGGGAATGTTGGCATCACCTCTCCCCTAACCTGAGACTGCACAGCTTGTGGATCCAAAAGAAACCCCTTCCTTCCACTTGAGAAGAGGAGAGGGAAGAGTTGGGAGGAGTTTGTCTTGCATCTTGCTTATCAGCTCTGCCACAGAAGGACAGGGCACCTTGAGGTCATGAGGCCCTTGTGCCAGGTTCTAGCTCTGGGGTGACATTTCTAGATACACCCTGGGCCAGAAGGAAACCCACTGCCTTGAAGGAAAGGACCCAGTCCTGGCAGCATTCATCATCTGCTAACTGAAGAGCCCTTGGGTCCTGAATAACCAGCAGTGATACCCGGGTACTACGTTGAGGACCTTGGTGAGCTTCTGAGACTTGTTGGCTTCAGGTGAGACTATGCACATTACCAGCTGTGGTGGCTATGGGGCAAAACTCCTTCCACTTGATAAAAACAGAAGGAAGAGTAAAGGGGACTTTGTTTTGCATCTTAGGTACCAACACCACCACTGTGGGGTAGAGCACCAAGTGGGCTTTTGGGTTCCCAATTCTAGGACTTGACTCTTGGACAGCATTTCTAGACCTGCCCTTGGCCAAAGGGGAGCCCACTGCCCTGACGGGTGAGTCCCAGGCCAGGCAGTATTCACCACAAGCTGATATAAGAGCCCTTGGTCCTTAAGGGAACATCGGTGGTACTTTGGCAGTACTCCTCATGGCCAGGTGTGGCGGTGGCTACGGGGTAAGGCTCCTCAGCTTTTGGAAAGGGGAAAAAGTGGAAAGAGTGGGAAGGATTGTGTCTTGTGGTTTGAGTGCCAGCTCAGCCACAGTACAACAGAATGCCAAGTAGATTTCTAAGTTTTTTGACTCTAGTCCCTGACTCCTCTATGGCATCTGTGGACCCACTGGTGGCCAGGGGGACTTTGCCACCCTGAAGAGAAGGACACAGGCCCAGCCGACTTTTCTACCTGCCAATTGCAGAGCCCCAGGGCCTTGAGTGAATATAGGCTATAGCCAAGGAGTGATTAAGACAGGCCTTGGGCAAGACCCAGCACTGTGCTTGCTTCAGGTGTGACCCAGTACCTGAAGTGGTGGTGGTGGTCATAGGGGTGCTTGTATCATACATCATACCAGCCCCAGCTTTAGGTGCCTCAGAACAGAGAGAGAGAGAGACTCTGTGTTCTTGGGAGAAAGTAAGGGAAGAGAAAAAGAGACTCTGCCTGGTAATCCAGAGAATCACCCCAGATCTTATCCAAGGCCATCAAGGCAGTACCTCTACAAGTCTGAAAGAACCAGTGTCACTGGAAAGCCTTCCCAAGAAGGATGGCTACAAATAAGCTCAGGCAATGAAGAGTACAATAAATACCTAACTCTTCAATGCTCGGGCCCCGAGGAACATCTACTAGCATTAACACCATCCAGAAAAACATGACCTCAACAAACGAACTAAATAAGGCACCAAGAATCAATCCTCGAGAAACAAAGATATGTGACCTTTCACATGGAGAATTCAAAATAGCTGCGTTGAGGAAACTCAAAGAAATTCAAGATAACACAGAGAAGGGATTCAGAATTCTATCAGATAAATTTAACAAAGATATTGAAATAATTTTAAAAAATCGAGCAGAAATTCTGGAGCTCAAAAATGCAATTGGCATACTTAAGAATTCATCAAGTCCTTCAAGAGCAAATTGGATCAAGCAGAGGAAAGAATTAATGAGCTTCTGAAGAAAGGCTATTTGAAAACACACAGAGGAGAAAAAAGAATAAAAACCAATGACACATGCTTACATGATCTAGAGAATAGCCTCAAAAGGGCAAATCTAAGAGGTATTGGCCTTGAAAAAGAGGTAGAGAACAGGGTGAGAAAGTTTATTTTGAGTAAACCTTCAAATAACAGAGAACTACCCAAATCTAGAGAAAATATCCAAATACAAGAAAGTTATAGAATACCAAGCAGATTTAACCCAAAGAAGACTACCTCAAGACATTTAATAATCAAACGCCCAAAGGTCAAGAATAAAATAAGAATCCTAAAAGCTGCAAGAGAAAAGAAACAATAACATACAAAGGAGCCCCAATACATCTGGCAGCAGACTTTTCAGTGAAAACCTTATATGCCAGGAGACAGTGGCATGACATATTTACATTGCTGAGGGAAAAAAACTTTTACCCTAGAATAACATATCCAGTGAAAATATCATTTGACCATGAAGAGGAAATAAAGACTTTCCCAAACAAATAAAAGCTAAGGGATTTCAACAACAGCAGACCTGTCCTACAAGGAATGCTAAAGGGGGCACTCCAATCAGAAAGAAAAGGGCATTAATGAGCAATAAATGATCACCTGAAAATACAAAACTTACTGGTAATATAAGTACACAGAAAAATACAGAATATTATAAACACTGTTACTGTGGTTTGCAAACTACTCTTATCCTAGGTAGAAAGACTAAATGATGAATTAAACAACAATAATAACTACAACAACTTTTCAAGACATAGGCAGTAGAAGATATAAACAGAAACGACAAAAAGTTAAAAAGCAAGGAAATGAAGTTAAGGCAAGTTTCTACTAGTTTTCTTTTTGCTTGTTTGTTTGCTTATGCAAATAGTGTCATGTTATCAGGTTAAAATAATGAGTGATAAGATAGCATTTGCAAGGCTCATGGTAACCTCAAACCAAAAAACATACAATGGACACACAAAAAAATAAAAATCAAGAAACTAAATCACCAGAGAAAATCATCTTCACTAGAGGAAGACAAGAATGCAAGAAAGAAGACCACAAAACAACCAGAAAACCAAAAACAAAATGGCAAGAGTAGATCCTTACTTAATAATAACAGTGAATGTAAATACACTAAACTCTCCAATCAAAAGACACAGACTAAAAGGATGAAAAGACAAGACCAATTGATCTGTTGCCTAAAAGAAACACACTTCACCTATAGAGACACACAAAGACTGAAAACAAACAGATGGAAAAAAGTTATCCCATGCCAAAGAAAAACAAAAAAAAGAGCAAAAGTCACTACACTTATATCAGACAAAAGAAATTTCAAGACAAAAACTAACTATAAAAAGAGACAAAGAAGGTCACTATATAAAGATAAGGGGGTCAATTAAGCAAGATGATATAATAATTTCAATATATATTCACCCAACACTGGAGCACCCAGATATATAAAGGAAATATTACTACAGCTGAAGACAGCTATAGGCTCCATAATATCTGCAGACTTCAAAACCTCACTTTCAGCATTGGACACATCTTCCAGAAAGAAAACAAAGAAACATCAGAATTAATCTTCACGACAGACCAAATTGAGCTAATAGATATTTACAGAACATTTCATCCAGAAGCTGCAGAATACACATTATTTTCCTTAGCACATGGATCAGTTGAAAAGACAGACCATATGTTAGGTCACAAAACAAATCTTGAAACATTCCAAAAAAATGAAATAATATAAAGCATCTTCTCTGACAACAATGGAATAAAACTAGAAATACCAAGAGAAGTTTCAGAAACTATACAGAGACATGGAAATCAAACAATACGCTCCTGAATGACAAGTGGGTCAATGAAGAAATTAAGAAGGAAATTGAAAAATTTCTTGAAACAAATAATAATAGGAACACAACATACCAAAATCTAAGGGATACAAGAAAAGTTGTACTAAGAGGGATGTTTATAAGTGCCAATATCAAAAAAGAGGAAAAATATCAAATAGACAATCAAATGCTGCATCTTAAAGGACTGAAGTATCAAGAGCACACCAAATCCAAAATCAACAGAAGAAAAGAAATAATAAAGATCAGAGCAGAAATACATAAAATTGAAATAAAAAAATACAAAAGATCAAAGAAATGAAAAGTTTATTTTTTGGAAAGCTAACGAAAATTGACAAATCTTTAGCCAGACTAAGAGAGAAGATCCAAATAAAGAAAATCAGAAATAAAAAAGGAGACATTACCACTGATACTGCAAAAGTTCAAAGGATCATTATCAGCTACTGTGGGCAACTACATGCAAATTAGTTGGGAAATCTAGAAGAAATTTATGAATTGCTACAGACATAAAACTACCAAGATTGAACCAGGAAGAAATCCAAAACCTGAACAGACTAATAACAAGTTACAAGACTGAAGTTGTAATAAAAGTCTCCCAGTAAAGAAAAGTCTGGGAAATGATAGCTTCACTGTTGAATTCTAACCAAACATTTAAAGAACTAATATTAATCCCACTCAAACTATTCTGAAAAATAGAAGAGAAGGGCATCCTTCCAAATAGAGGAGGAAGGAATACTTCCAAACTCATTCTATGAGGCCAGTATTACCCTGTTACCGAAACCAGTCACAGACACAAATTTTTAAAAATATATTTATTGACTGACCAAAAAATAGAACAAATGAGGGATTCTTACCCCAATTTTGTTCGTTATAAATATTTATAATATGTCTCTAGTTCTACAGTAAGGATATAAGCTTGGTTAGTTACATGGCTTTAACAAGTTTACATCAAAAAATATCTCATAAGCCACTGGCACTCTGAAAAAGGTACTGTGATGCATTTCATTGGTTTCATTATAATAAGGTCTCTTGTAAAAATTGTCACTAAGCAAAAAATAACATAACTCTGGGCTACTAGAAAATCCTTAGTTCTTCATAAGTACAACAAACAAGCACCTAACAGTAGAATTAAATTGGACATACTGCCAGAAATTACAACAATGAATGCAAATTTGAATACTAGCTTCATAGTTCTCAGCCTCAAAAGTGAGAACCTTAAAAGGTAAAAAGACTTTGGGATGACAGTTTCAGTAACACTTGGTTGGGAAAAGATTAGTAAAAATACAAAGAATAACTTTATTCTTAGTTTTTCCTAAAAATGAATTATTAGGCAAAAATATAATGGATATCATGTCTGTAACTCATAAATTACTGACATTACACAGCATAAATATTTTTAAACAACTACATTTACATGTAAGAGTTTTTGAGATATTAGCTTGCTGGTCTAGAAGCAAAATAATTACCACTTGGGGAATAATCGTAAGGAAGAATGAGTTCATATATCAATGTGCAATGGAATCAGAGTATCCACATTTTAAAACTGAAAAAGATGTTACAAACCATCTATTTGAATTGCTCCCTTCATGGAGAGCCTAGCTAGGCTTTTATAGAGACAAATGGATACTGTTTAAGTGACTTTTAATATTTCAAAAAGTATCACGTATCATATCTCACTGGAAAACAAAGTCATATTTATTTAATAGAAATAACAGTAGAAACTGGAGAAGAAGGTAAGGTAAGAAATAATTTTAAAAATTAAATGTTGGTAATCATGGAATCCCTACACCAAGGTCAAAAACTAAGGTAACAGACAGGTAGAATATTCAAATTTCCTGACTAGTCCAGTGATCTTGCCTACCTCCACACTACTTTGAATACAGGACATAAATAATAGATTTAACAAATGTCAAATATTTACAATAGTGACCATGGAGCAATGAGATTACTGGCGACTTTCCATTTCTTCTTCACATGTATTTTTAAATGATTTGCAATGAGCACATATACTATTATAATAAAAACATACACACACATGCACACACACATTCACACACATTTAATAGTGAGTCTTCCTAAAGCAAAACCTATAATTGGACAAATCATGTTCAGAAATATGATTTTCCCATGTTTCCTTTTCCATTCACATAATCTTGGAGTATGTTTCGTCATTTATAAAACAAGGGTAATGGTTGGTTCTTACACTATGTTTCACTAATTATTGCTGGGACCACTCAAAAGATAGATGTAAAAGTAAATCTACTAACCGATTATGCAATGAGTGCCACTCATGTGGTATCTAATAAACAGTCTTCATTCACTAGAAACATAAGAGATTTTTTTTTTTTTTTTGAGACGGAGTCTCGCTCTGTCACCCAGGCTGGAGTGCAGTGGCGCGATCTCGGCTCGCTGCAGGCTCCGCTCCCCGGGGTTCACGCCATTCTCCTGCCTCAGCCTCCCGAGTAGCTGGGACTACAGGCGCCCTTAAAAGCCTAAAGGAGAACTAACATTTTATTCCTTACTACACCTATCTATTGAATGTATTTTGCAAGCCATGTGTAGTTTCAAGGTACAGGAAATGTAGCGGTAAATGAAACAAAGTCCCTGTCCTCATATAGCTTATGTTCTAATACAGGTCACAGACAATAAACTAGTAAAATGTATATAAACAATATGATTTCAGAAAATGATACTTTTTTATGGTATTTATTTTTATGAAAAAAATATAGTCTTGTAGTAATTTGTTATACAATTTTTTCCTGACTACCTTAGCACTACTTGAAGGCAGGGACTATAGCTTATAAATAAACTCTGCAGCAATAAGCTATGCTCATTGATTGATACATGGTAAATACTTGATAAATGTCTCAATTAAGGAAAGAAAGGAGGAAATAACTTAAAGGTAAAAATTCAATACATTCAATAGTTTGATACAGATTACTTACATTACAAGGCAATGTCACATATTAAAGGAAGAAAAACAAAAGGTTTTAAAGTCAGAATAAAATCATTCCTCTAAAGGACTGTTAAATTCCCTAAAACATGATTTTGGGGGAATAATAAGGTCCTCAAAACTAGCATTCAAAGTATTAAACCATCATTGTTGTGTTAAGTAAATTATTTGGCCTCTTGGAGTCTTGATTTTCTTGCCAATGAAATAGGAATGAGAGCATAGGAATGAACAGCTCTCATTATAGAAAGGGGTTGTAAGCACAAATGAGATAAATTATGATCCTTTGAAAAGTACAAAGTATTACAGAGAAAGCAATAGCATTAATTCTGGCAGCAGTCTGGAATGGAGCAGTAATTCCAGTCATCTGGAAATACAGGCAGTAGTGAGTCATGGCTATAGACTCAGAGCAGGGAACTGGTTTGGATAAAGTGTGTGACAAGTTGTGGGGGATATTAAAAGGAGCTAGGCAGGGTCAGGCATGGTGGCTCACGCCTGTAATCCCAGCAGTTTGGGAGGCCGAGGCGGGCGGATCACCTGAGGTAGGAAGTTCGAGACCAGCCTGGCCAACATGGGGAAATCCCGTCTCTACTAAAAATACAAAAATCAGCCGAGCGTGGTGGTGCATGCCTGCAATCCCCGCTACTCGGGAGGCTGAGGCAGGTGAATCGCTTGAACCCGGGAGGCAGAGGTTGCAGTGGCCACTGCACCACTCCAGCCTGGACAACAGAGCAAGACTCCGTCTCAAAAAAAAAAAACAAAAAAAACAAAAAACAAACATCGGAGCTAGGCAGGTTCCACACCCAGAGCTAGTGGTCAGGAATCAAATGGCAAGGAATCAAATCTAGTCATACAAGCCACAGTCGGGTCAAACCTGAAAAGACAGTTGCAGTGACCATGGATCCTCAAGAACAGAATAGGAAGGCAATATAAAGTTTGGTAAACAGTCAGGAATCTGGAAATGTGATGAACAAAAAGAAGGATAATGTAAATGAGAGGCCAAATTTGAGATCTTCAAAAATGCAGCAAGGCAGTTTTGTGCATCAGCTCCAGTGTATGTATAAGGATCCTTTGAAGGAAAGCATTCACTCTTGAGGAGCAGGTGCTCAGGATTACATGATTGAGGTAAGGGAATGTAGGTGGAGCCGAACCAACACTTTCTCCTCAAGAAAATTCTGGCAATAAATATCTTAGCCAGTTTTTAGAAGAATCTTTCCAGTCATTCATTTTCTAATTGGACAGCAAGATAAAGCTTCATCAAATCTCTAGACAAATTTCCCTTGGGACTTATGGCATGTTTTCATGATACCACAAAATATTTTGAAAGTAAAAAAACTCAATCGTCGATGTATGCACTCATTATTAGATCCTCAGTGTGTATGGTTTCAGCTATGAATGAAAGCATTGCCTCCTTTCTTGTTGACCTGAGTTTACTAAGTAATTGGCTAAAGTTAATTAATGAATCAATTGTACTGTAGCAACATGCATGTGAAAGCTAGGCAAAACCCTCCTGTGGATGGGAGAGAATTACTGTCTTTAGGTAACTGTTTGTTTGCTTTCTATCTCTACATTCAAAACTGACCAAGGAATGCCACTAGCTAGACATGTGTAGTGACTACCAGCGAACCTCAGGGAGGCTCACTCAGGACTGGCTACCCCCAGGATGGAGGGGTGGCATGCCAGTAAGGAACCTGGCCTTAGCAGCAAGTTGGTTTTTTTTCTGCAAGTATCTTCTATTTCTTCTCCAACCAATTTTGTTCCCCTTGGTTCTTGGGAACCATTATACTGTTAGGTTAATGGATCATTGGTTTATCCACCTGTACATTTCCTGAATTTTGGCCATTCAACCATGCATTCCTGGTGACTGGGTTTATAAGTATTAGTTTCCTGGGTCCAACACCACATTTGGATATCTCTTAACTATAAATTGGTGTAGTAACCGTGATATATCAGCATAGAGATGGCTCCATCCATTAAAAATATATTGGTATTGGTGGTATCAAAAAATTGTATATTTGTTACTGGCATATAAAACAAATGAATGGCCAGATACAAAATTGTACAGAACCCAGATTAGTAGCTAATAAAGAATTAATAAAGAATATGTATTAATGTAGATATATTCATTTACATATTAATTGTTTTTTTCAAATTGGCCAAATTTTTTAAAACAATTACATATTAAAAACTGAGATATACGGAAATTCTAACTAATAGGTTTATAGTCATTCCTAGGGTAGGCATTAACACTTCTTGGTAAGTTCTGTAAGTTAATTATAGTTTAACTTCCTAATTAATTAATTCTGTAAGTCAATTTATAGTTTACCTTCCCAGAGGCTTTGGTGTCTTTTTTTACCCTCACTTTAAAATACACACAATAGTATATAATATATCACATTTGGTCAACAGTTCAAATTTTTTTATTCTTTAAAGCATGTACAAAAAATATACTAGTTAGAATTCCTGTGAAAAATTCTAATACAGAGGAATTATATGGCTATGTTTGGAAAGATAATATTTCTTTAAAAATGTGTTTTCTTTATGTTTTATGTTTGCAATAAGGATTATTTAAGTTTGATTGAAGAACTTCATGATTCTTGTGTATTATTTTCTTGTATTGAGAAATAGTGGCCCACTGTTGGGCTGTATTTAAAATTAATGTGTATGAAACAAGAAATATTTAATTAGAGTTATTAATTTTCCACAAGTAATATGTGTACTTGACCTAAATCAGTATCTTTTATCATATCAGCCTCACATACAACAAGAATAATAGCAAGGACAACAACAACAAATTTGAATGTTTCCTTTGTGCCTATGCTCCTAACTATCATGTTATACTCATTCATATAAACCTAACAATTAATTTGAAGTTAGACACACAGGATTTACTCATCAGTATTAGAGCATTCGCTGTTATCCAGGAAGAAAACTATCCCTGGTGCTGAAACTGCTCTGTGTAGTCCTTGCGGTTGAAGAATTAAAAGTCTCTTTTAGACATCTCCTTTCATTGAAATTATGAATTGGATAAGTGTTCATACCTTAAAGGAAGTATTAAATTTCACATATGTTAACATCTTAATTAATATAAGATTAATATTCTACTTATGACTATGTTTTAATATTGAAAAATGAGTTTATGATGAGTTTCATTAGTTTCTAGAGAAAACAGTGGTTTAAAAAATTTCAGTCATAAGACATTGAAGAGTCTATGACTGTTCCAGAAATCTGAAAACATATACCACTAATCAAAAGTTTCTCCATTCATGTTGACTAGCATTTGCCTTAGGTGTCAGAATTAATGGATTTGTGTTAAAAATAAACACCTGAAATCTAATTCCCTAACTACATTATAACACACTTGATTTCAAGTTCTTAGCTTTTATTTAATGCTTCTAATGACTTTAAATTGTAGCAAAATGGGCTTCCCCCAAGAGCACTGCTTTGTTGATCCTGAGTTGGGGTCCTAAGCCAGAAGTTAACTATGCTTTCATATATTCTTGCAAGTAGAAGTACAGTGTTGGTGTAAATTCCCCTTAGATGGATAGCTAAGCCCAGAGGAAATAATGGTAATTGGAACCATATGACCGTATGCAATTCATGTGCATATTTATATCAAGAAAAGAACATTATAGGTCGGGTGAGACCCTATTTTGTTCTGACAATGTCATCTGTATTTACATGTCTGTTTCGGGAGTTTGGATGTCAAGGGATTCTGTGCTGGATTGTAAAGCATGTGCTTCTGCTTGATGTAGCTACTCAATTTTGTATTCCTGACTAATAAAGTCATAAACATAATTCAACCTCTGTGTGCGTGCTCTCCTTCCATTAATTTATACTTTAGCAAAAAGTATTGAATGTGTGTGTTATGTAACAATTTCCTATAAATTATATTAAATGATTTATTAGCTTTATTCAATAAAGTTTTAAGTGTTTTCTTCTATGACTACATTACTTGTTAACAAGAAATTTCTTTAACTGAAAACTTCAAGGAAGATTATCTGGGTAACTCTTTCAAAAAGAATTGTACCTGTATTTTGGAATTGAATATATTAATTTCTTGTACTGTTTTAACAGCACATAATTTTACAAGACAAGCCACTTTTTCAAAGCCTGCTTCTCCTCCCATTTTCCCTATCTCTGTGATTGACACCTCCAACCCCTGTAGCCTGCCTCTGCTCTCTCTTAACCAGTCCTACTGATACTACTTCCTAAGTATTTTTCAGCCCTGTCCTTCCTCTCCATCATGATGGATTCACTTCCAGTTGAAATCCTTATGGTACCCTCCCTGGATTATGGCAGTAATCAGAGAGCTGGTCTCCTTAACTCAGGATTCACTTCTTCTCATCTGTTGTTCACAGTGACATCAGAAAGATATTTTAAAATAATGAACTAGAATTAATTATATAAAACACACATACACACATAAATAATACTTAAATTTTTCAATGATGTTCCAATTATGTAAAATATAATATAGGAGGCACTTTATGTTCTGGCCTCAATCTTTCAATTCAAACTTATCTCCTGCCACTATCTCCTTTGAACATTGTATTCCAGCTACTTTAGAATAATAATAATATATAATATTCATAGAGCCCTTCCTGGGTTCCTATCACCGTACAAAATACTTCACATATAACATTTAATCTTTGACAACTTTATTAGGCATGCACAATTATTATCTATCTATATATCTATATCTATATATATAAAATCTATATTTTATAGATAAGAAAATAGAGGGTAAAAACTTGCCAAAATTACAAAGCTTAGAAGTGTAGCAGTTGGGATTTGAATCTAGGCATCCTGCTTCTATAGTCTACAGTGGCTTTCTTGTGCCAAAAGCCTTGCAGTTCCCTAGACTTAACATTTCTCAAAATCTGTGTCTTTCACATGCTCTTCCAATTGTCTGGAAAATCTTTCCCAACCTCAGTCTAACTGTGGTACTCATGTTCACCCCACAAGAATTGACTCCATCTGTCCCCTCTCCATGAAAATTTCTTTGAATCTCAGCACTTTGGGAGGCTGAGGCAGGTGGATCGCCTGAGCTCAGGAGTTCGAGATTGCCCTGGGCAACATGGTGAAACCCCGTCTTTACTAAAATACAAAAAACTCACGAGGTATGGTGGCACACGCCTGTAATTCCAGCTGCTCTGGAGGCTGAGGCAGGAGACTTACTTGAGCCTGGGAGGCAGAGGTTGCAGTGAGCCAAGATTGCACCACTGCACTCCACCTTGGGCTACAGAGTGAGACTCCGTCAAAGAAAAAAAAAAGAAAGAAAGAAGAAAGAAAGGAAGGAAGGGAGGAAGGAAAGAAGGAAGGAAGGAAGGAAGAAAAAGAAAGAAAGAAAGAAAGAAAGAAAGAAAGAAAGAAAGAAAGAAAGAAAGAAAGAAAGAAAGAAAAGAAAGAAAGAAAGTAAGTTTCCCTGGTAAGGGCTCATGCCTTGGCACTGAGGGCATCTTGCAAAACTCAAGGATGCCACTTGGCATAGCAGATAGAAAATAATTGTGATATGAGACAGGCCTGAATTGGATTTATGGCTCTATTTCATATTGGTTTTGTGATTTTGGGAAAGTCATTTAATCTCTCCGAATTTTAGTTTCTTTAGGGATTAATAGTACCTTTTCCAGGGAGCTGTTATTAGGATGAGACAATGACCAGAACATAGCAAGAATTCATTAGTGCTCTCACCACCCTTCCCCCATTGCAGCCGTCAGTACCTGAATGGCAATCGTGCATCTTCTCATCGGCCTGGAATTGCTTCCCCTTTCATCTTTGGCTCTGCAGTATTCAGTGTCACTAGTGAAATGTGTGAAATGAATGAATCGACAACTGATGCTTAATACCTAATGAGACAAGTGAATGAATCCTTTTGTTCATTTTATGGCCAGAAAGATAGTGTAATTAAGTAATAACAACTGGCAAAAAAGAGAAACTCAACCTATACTTTGTCCTTTTCTCAAGTAGCATCTAAAACTTTTCCCTTCTGATTAAAAAATTATCACTGAAGGATCTCTTTGAATGTGTCTTGAATTTTATATAAGCAGATGATCACAGCTCAGCATAATATTAGAAGATTATACGATTTTAAAAATTGGTTCATAGTTTTATAGTCTTGGAATATCTATCTATCTGTCTGTCTGTCTGTCTGTCTATCTATCTAGGTATCTATCTATCTATCTACCTACCTACTTACCTACCAATCTGTCATCTTCAAATATATTTAGGCTGCTTTCCTGAGGCTAATTTTTTATTCCATTCTTTCATCTTTTTCAAGATCCTGGTATTCCCTGGTGTATTGGGTCTAGGTATTTATGATTAGGAGAAGAAATGATTCAGTGGCAGCTCCCCAGGATTTTGAATTATGAGATATGAAACTAGAAATGGCAACTTAGGTGGATTGTTTGAGAACACTGTGTATTACTGCTTCTGTATCAACTTCTATTCTCCCTTGTTCATACTTTTTTAATACGCATTTCAAGCACTATATATTGGTGAACATTTGAACCCGAATCATATAACAATAGAAGATGCCATAGTTGGAAAGGCATAAAAGGTCATTCTAAATGTGTGAACAAATTAGAGAACTACAAAATTAGAGATCATCATAGCTATATTGCAGAGAGACTTCATTGCTTTTCACAGAAATTAAGCCATAGATAACAATGACAGGTTGAAATAGGTCATGATTTCTAAAAATAATGTCATGTAAATTACCTATCTAAATACATTAAAATATGAATTATTGGAAAAAATGAATAGCAGGTCCTCAGAATAGCCCTACACATAAGTATCTAATAAAAGCATGAGTTCAAGAGCAGAATGTTAATGAAGCTCCCTGCCTTGGTTTCTTTAATAAGATTTTCTATTCCGCTTTCTGGAACTATTATGTTCCCATTATAAACTTTGTACCAAGTTAAAAGTAGGGCCCCTTTTGCCCCTTTTTTCTGTCTTCCTGGCTCTCTAGTCCTAGGAAGTTAAAAAGAGTCAGAAAATCCCATCTTTTCTTCTATGAAGTTTGGGAGAAAAGTCAAGATAGGCTATAAAGTGTTGCACGTGATAATCCAAGCATCCTTCTACTGATAGTAGAGTCTCATTATCCTTCCTCAGATATATGCAGTGATGAAAATAGATAATGAGAAAGCATGCATCCAAGTAACTCTTTGAGTGTATAAGGGCTGATTAAGTTGAAAGAAGATTGCCAGGCGAGGTGGCTCACGCCTGTAATCCCAGCACTTTGGGAGACTGAGGCAGGCAGATCACTTGAGGTCAGGATTTCGAGACCAGCCTCGCCAACATGGTGAAACCCCATCTCTACTAAAAATACAAAAAAATATTCGGGCGTGGTAGCGCATGCCTGTGATCCAGGTACTCGGGAGACTGAGGCAGGAGAATCACTTGAACCCAGGAGGCAGAGGTTGCAATGAGCTGAGATGATGCCACTGCACTCCAACCTGGGCAGAAGAGTGAAACTCCATTCAAAAAAATTGCAAAGTATCTACTAATCTAAAAAATGCACAGCCTCAGTTCTCAAAGAGTTTATGTTGTAGGATCACGTCAGTTCCATATATAATTTGTTTATCACAACTGCACACTGTTACTGAATCTGAAATGCTTCAAAATCTGAAAGTTTTGAGCACTTACATGATGCTCAAAGGAAATGTTCATTGGAGCATTTCAGATTTCAGATTTTCAAATTAAGGATACTCAACTGGTAAGTATAATGCAAATATTCCAAAATCTGAAAAATATCCAAAATCCAAAATACTTCTGGTCCCACGCATTTTCGATAAGGGATACTCAACAAGTATTTTAAAAGATCAAAATAAGGGTAAGAGAATATGGATATTTAAGCTTATGGATACTTACATGGAACAGTTGAGGCCATTAAAAAATGTCTAAGACATAGGCAGTGGAAGGCTGAATTCAAGAAAAAGTCTCAGAGCTGAGGAAACAAAGAACCTATGAGGTTAAGGTGTTAAATGAGCCAACCACATGAGTGTGAAAGGGAGGCCAAATGAGAAAATGATGCTGCTTGGGTGTAGAGGAAGTTCTGGAATAAATGTGGCAGTTGTTAGAAGACATTATAGTTAGAAGACATTATAGTTAGATGGATAGACAGTAAAGAAGGGGCTTTTGTATTAAAATAGAGGAATAGTGGTTGGGAATAGAAAATATGGAGCTAAAATTATGCCAACCCACTTCTATTAAATAAATTCTATGACACCTTAGCCTTTGGGAAAATGACTAGCCTTCAGTGGAGCACATGTCAAGGGAAGCATTGTCCCCATATAGATAGCTGAATTTTAATTAAAGCAAAGAAATGGAGTCAATGTCCTCTAATGAGGTTTCCAGAAGTCACATTGAAAATATTTGGGAGGGAGGGAAGATTGATTCAGAAGTAAAACACAGAGCAGTATGGAGATATGACACTGGAGAGCATAAATGAGTCGAGTTTTCAAAAAAATAGAACAAAATTTTTTGAAGTCAGTTGCCTATTAGCTTCCCTCACAGTTCTTAGGGAGATATAACTGAAGGCCTCCAGAGAATTTGTGTCTGTCCATAAGGTACAGAATAAATTTATTTCAAAGATCTCCTCCTCCCAGAGTTGATTATTTGACTTAGGGCAAAAGACTGAATGTAAATAGTAGCGAAACTGTCTCTGATATTATTGTAAGGAATAAAATAATTTTGCTTTGTAAATAAAATAGAATATTTTCTAGAGAGAACTGACCCAAACTCAATTTTAGGACTGGTCCTGAAATTCAGAAATGCCTTTCCCATATTGCCTAACTGTGCCTTTTTCACTGGAAGAAAAGTGCTGCCTTCAGGGAGCACGCCTCCCCAGAGATCAGTAAAATCAATGAGAAATGCAATGTCCATTTGTCAGTAAAGACATCTGAAGTTTGATGGGTTTCTTGGGACTGGATAACTAGTTAAAGATTCTAAAGAAAAATTAAGTGGGGCATAGAAACCAAAAATCTCAAGAGATCTTTGAAGAAGGAAACATGAAAAATGAGGACAAATTTAGAGAAATGTTGCTGGCATAGATGTTAACTTCCAGAAGAAGATGGAAATAGACTACCATGCAAAACAAAAAGACAGAAGAGAATATTAGCACTCTGTTGCAAAGGAGAATAGGTATGCTCTACTGGTAAGTATAATGCAAATATTCCAATATCTGAAAAAAATCCCAAATCCAAAATACTTCTGGTTCCCTGCATTTTGGACAAGGGATACTCAACAGGTATTTTAAAAGATCAAAATACAGATCACAGAATATGAATACTGAAGAATATGAGCAAACGAGAATAAGAAAAAATGTTGGAGGACTTTTAAAAATGTATAAAGGAATTAATGAATGCAATTAGTATTATTTTTTAAATCAGTCATTAATAGCCACTCGCCATGATTGCCAACCCCTTTGATGAGTACTAATTTCACAATTATTAAGGAAAGGCAAATATTTAGACTCATACAGGTTAAAAGAAAATATTTTCCAAATTTCAAATTTAAGCTTATAAATGTTCTAATCTACTTTTGAATGTGTATTCGTGACCCAAGATTGGTTTTTTCCGGGCCCCATCATTCTAATGACTTTTTTTTTTTTTTTTGAGACAGAGTCTCTCTCTGTTGCCCAGGCTGGAGTGCAGTGGTGTTATCTCGACTCACTGCAACCTCCACATCCCAAGTTCAAGCAATTCTCCTGCCTCAGCCTCCCGAGTAGCTGGGACTACAGGTACATGCCACCATGTTCGGCTAATTTTTTTTTCTTTTTTTTTTTTTTTTAGTAGAGACAGGGTTTCACCATGTTAGCCAGGATGGTCTCGATCTCCTGACCTCATGATCTTCCTGCTTTGGCCTCCCAAAGTGCTGCGATTACAGGTGTGAGCCACTGCACCCAGCCCAGAGTTTTTTTTAACAAGGTTCTTCTCAGCAATTCTAGTATCCAGATATAGGCCCATCATAGACATCACACAAGCGTGTACTTCATAATCCTGGTGAATACAGAAGTTTCCTGGACTCCTTGATGAGCTACTGCTTTCGCTCCTATATCAGTGTTTTCAGCTGATGTCATTTGTGATTGTGTTTCTGACTTTCTGTAGGCAGAAAAAAACTTTCATTTTTTTTGCTTACATGCACATAAATGTAAGCGCTAATTCTTATATTAAACTGTTTATTTCTATAATACTTAATTGGCTGTTTTCCTGGCTGAACCAAACCAAGAGCATAAGGAATGATAACCTTCAAAACTGATTAAATTAGAGATCAATAAATGGAGCTGTTTTAATTCTATTATTCTTCTTTCATAGATTAAATAGAAAATTTTTGTAGATAGTTTTTCTTCACTGTCTCTTTGGTTACCATGAGGTACTGCTTGTAGTGAAAAGGTAGAATAAATACGTGATCCTTTCCCTTTATTTACCATTTTCTATTTATCAGTTACTCTTTTATTTGCCAGTTTTCTAAGTAGCAATATGGTTTCCTAAAATCCTAGAAAGTACTTGAAGAAATTAAAAATGGATTGACTTTTTAAAAATTAATTTTGGGAATTATTCTCCTGACTCTTCTCAGTCTGATGAAATTTTTCTGTAAGATGTTGTATTTTTAAGTACTAGAATTTTTTTTAAAGTTTTTATCTCTGCTGAGGCTTCACATCTGTTTGCTCAATTTTATTTTTATTTCAATCCTTGAGCATGTTTATAATATAGTAGTATCCCCTTATTGTGGCTTTACTTTCCTCACTTTCAGTCACCCACAGTCAAAAAATATGAAATATAAAACTCCAGAAGTAAACAGTTTATAAATTTTAAGTCACACCTTGTTCTGAGGAATGTGATGCAACCTCCCGCCATTCTGCTGTATCCAGTTCAGGATGTGACATACCCCTTTGCTCAGCAGATACACAATTCCTGCTTCCTGCTCATTAGACACTTGCAGCTGTCTAAGTTATCAGATGGACCTATCTCAGTATCGCAGTGTTTGTGTTCAAGTAACCCTTATTTTACTTAGTAATGGTCTCAATATGCAATAGTATTGATGCTGGCAATTCAGATATGCAAAAGAGAAACCTGAAAGTGCTTTCAGTAACTGAAAAGCAGAAAGTTTTGCACTTAATGAGGAAAAAGATATGCTGAGATTGCCAACATCTAGGGTAAGAACTATTCCTTTATTGGTACAATTGTGGAAAAGGAAAAATAAATTCTTGCTAGTTTCGCTTTTGTACCTCAAACTTCAAAAGTCACAGACACAGTGTGTAGTAAGTGCTAATGTAGGGTTCGGTATTATCCATGGTTTAAGACATCCACTGGAGGCCTTCCAAAGTATGCCCCACAGATAAAGAGGGAATACTTTAGTCTTTTTATGCTAATTCCAATATCTGGATAATGTATTTATTCTATTGACTGCATGCTTTAACATCATTATAAGCTCAATGATTTAAACATATAAGGTGTGCACCTGCTCATTGCTGTCATCATCATCATCATTATTTTGGTTTGTTTGTTTTTGAGACAGATCTTGCTTTATGGCCCATGCTGGAGTGCAGTGGCATAATCACAGCTCACCGCATCCTCAGACTCCTGGGCTTAGGTGACCCTGCCACCTCAGCCTCTCAAGTAGCTGGGACTACAGACACAAGCTACCATGCCTGGCTAATTTTTTGTTTTCTATTTTTGGTAGACAGAAGGTTTTACTATGTTGGCCAGGCTTGTCTTGAACACCTGGGCTAAAGCAATCCACCTGCCTTGGCTTCCCAAAGTGTCGGGCTTACAGGTGTGAACCACCATGCCTGGCTTGTGGTCATCAATATTATTGATGCTTATATTAGTTCATGTTTGGAGAGTGGGACTTCCTTCAAGTTGCCTCTTGGATCCTATGGACACGATCCTAGGGGGTATAAAAGTGTCCTTGCATTCCAGTATGACGAGATGCTCTAGATTGATTTTGCACATTGCCTGCCTGCAGCCAGAAAGCAGCCATTTCTCCGAGACGCTTTGGTTCCTTTTAGTGAATGATGACATGGAGAATCCAAAGTTATGGCACCAAGGTGCTTTCTGCTTCTGTTTTATTTAATGCTTCCAGGACTTTTCAGTGGATAAGTCTAAAAGATAAGTGTATTTTTTTAATAAAAATTTATAACTTTTAAACAAACCTTTTGGTTAACAGTCTTGATTAGAGGATTTTAATTATGCTCAGAGATATTACATCTGTATCTTCTTCTATTTCATTAGAAAAGTACCAGTTTTCAATGTCACACCCATAATGAGATGGAGTCTAGCTCTGTCACCCTGGCTGGAGCGCAGTGGTGTGATCTAGGCTCACTGCAACCTCCACTTCCGGAGTTCAAGCAGTTCCCTACCTCAGCCTCCAGAGTAGCTGGGATTACAGGCAAACTCCACCACACCTGGCTAATTTTTGTATTTTTAGTAGAGACGTGGTTTCACCATGTTGGCCAGGCTGGTCTTGAACCACTGACCTCGTGATCCACCCACCTCGGTCCCCCAAAGTTCTGGGATTACAGGCATAAGCCACCGCGCCCGGCGCTTTTTTTTTTTTTTTTTTTTTTGAGACGGAGTCTCGCTCTGTTGCCCAGGCTGGAGTGCAGTGGTGCAATCATTCTCCTGCCTCAGCCTACCGAGCAGCTGGGACTATAGGCACGTGCCACCATGCCTGGCTAATTTTTTGTATTTTTAGTGGAGACAAGGTTTCACCGTGTTAGCCAGGTAGGTCTTGATCTCCTGACTTCGTGATCCACCCGCCTCAGCCTCCCAAAGTGCTGGGATTATAAGCGTGAGCCACTGTGCCCAACCGATTTTTTTGTATTTTTAGTAAAGATGGGGGTTTCATCATCTTGGCTAGGCTGGTCTTGAACTCCTGATCTCGTGATCCACTCACCTCGGCCTCCCAAAGTGCTGGGATTACAAGCATGAGCCACCGTGCCCAGCCCCATAACTACTCTCTTTTTTTTTTCTTTTTCTTTTTTTTTTTTTTTTTGAGACGGAGTCTCACTCTGTCAGCAGGCTGGAGTGCAATGGCACCACCTCGGCTCACTGCAACCTCCACCTCTGGAGTTTAAGCAATTCTCCTGCCTCAGCCCCCTAAGTAGCTGGGACTACAGGCACATGCCACCACGCCCAGCTAATTTTTGTATTTTTAGTAGAGAGGGGGTTTCACCATGTTGGCCAGGATGGTCTCAACCTCTTCACCTGGTGATCTGCCCATCTCAGCCTCCCAAAGTGCTGGGAACTAATCATTTTTTTAAAATCCTGCAATATAAGACAAACCAATAGCCTAAGACTAAAAATACAGCCTTCTGAAAAATAATAAGCAATCTGAGATTATTTTTGTGCATTATTTTGTTCTTAGGCTATATTTCATCATGAATATACAGTCATATTATTGCTTTTTAAAGTCAGTGTAATTCTGATTGACAGATGACATAAATATATTGATTAGAAAATAAAATATGATTTTCCAACCATTCCTAGACAGTGTTCTAACATGACTAACTTTAATTGCCAGAAGTAAAAGCTTTTATTTTACATGATTACACTTCATTGTACTAGAATATATCACAATCTCTATTTCCTTGAGACAAACAGTTTCCCTAATATGGTATTATAAAACTGTTTAAACATATAAAAATGTTGTGGGAAGTGCATATTTATAGTCCAACCACTTAGATTGTACATCATTTTGTTATATTTGCTTTACTACATATCTCTCACTCTATCCACCATTCTATCCAATTATCAACTCACCGTTTCTTATTTATGTCAAAGTATATATTTTTCTTACATACTTAACATATGTAGCATTATTGTTCAGTATTTGTGTACAGCTCATTTTTTTTAAGTTACTAAGGTTTTTTATTAACACCTCAGAGTAGAGGTTATGAAAGGACCCTGAATTGTTCTAGGAATTTTCTTCAGTGAGCATTTGTGAAGACTCGGGGATCAAGGTTGGGTTAAACTTTGTGATGGGTCCATTGGCAGTCTAGTCACAAGCACCTCCTCGATCCTTAGGTCCCAGCGGAAAATGATGCCAGACTCTTAAACTGCCACAAGGTAGCCTGGAAAGAACTCTACAGTCCAGAAAGAGCCTGGAAAGTGGTTTTGTGAGATGAAATTTACTCCTGGTGAAAATGCTGTGAATATTGTTTAGCCTACAACAAAGGATTTAGAATATTGATAAACATAGTACAACAGTGGCAGGGTGTGAGAGGACTGACTCCAATTTTGAAAGAAGTTCTACTATGGGTAAAATGCTTATCAAACAGTATCGCATGGTACACTGAAATCTTTTGTGGAAGGAAGAGTCAGTTAATGTGGCAAATTTCATTGTTTTCTTTTAAGAAATTGTGACAACCACTTCAATATTCAGCAACCATCGCCCTTATCAGGCAGCAGCCAACAACATCAAGGCAAGACCCTTCACCAGCAAAAAGACTAAGACTCCCTGAAGGCGCAGGTGATCATTAGCATTTTCAGCAATAAAAGATTTTTCTATTTTTTCTTTGTTTTAAATAATTGAGCTTCAAGTAAGGGCAGCAAGTAGTTTTTCTTCTTTTTCTTTCTGTTTTTCTTTTTTCTTTTCTTTTTTTAAAGACGTGTTTTGCCATGTTGTCCAGGCTGGTCTTGAACTCCTGAATTCAAGTAATCAACCTGTCTTGGCCTCCCAAAGTGATGGGATTACAGGCATGAGCCACCGAACCCAGCCAGCATCAAGAGTTTTAAAATTAAGGACATAACGCCATTTCACACTTTAAATAGACTATAGTGTAGTGTAAACATAGCTTCTTTTTTTAAATAGAGACAGGATCTCCCTATATGCCCAGGTTGATCTCACAATTCCTGGGCTCAAGTGACCCTCCCGCCTCCGTCTCCTAAAGTACTGGGATTATAGGCATGAGCCATCACACCCAGCCAATATAACTTCATATTCACAAGGAAACAAAACAATTTGTGTGACTCACTTTGTAGCAATATCTGCTTTATTGTGGTGGTCTCGAATCAAATCTACAATATCTTTGAGGTATGGCTGTACTTTCTAAGCATTTCCTGAGTCAGCCTACTTTTTCTCCATTTTTATTGTCACTATTCTATCTATTTTTTGTTTTGTTTTGTTTTGTTTTCTTGTTGTTGTTTGGAAACAGGAACTTGCTGTGTCACCCAGGCTGGAGTGCAGTAGCACGATCATAGCTCACAGCAGCCTCGATCTCCTATGTTGAAACCATCCTCCTGCCTCAGGCTCCTGAGTAGCTGAGACTACGGGTGCATGCTACCACACCTGGCTCATTTTTAAAAAGATGTTTTTAGAGATGGGGTCGCATGATGTTGCCCAGGCTGATCTGGAACTCCTGGCCTCAAACAATTATTCCACCTCAGCCTCCTGAGTAGCTAGGGTCGATCCATTGTTGAAGAGTACATGGATGTTATTTTGCAGACTGTCAACCTGAATTTGTATTTGCTTGACATTGCCTAATTATTAGTTTCAGTTTCAGCTTACCCACTTTTTGTCTGCAACATGCAGAAGAGACAGTGCCCTTTTTAGTGTATCATATCAGGAATCATCTCACATTGGTTTGTGCCATTACTGGTGCAGTGACTTTCAGCCACTTGGGTAAGGTGGAGTTGGCCATATGTCTCCACTGCAAAATTACTGATTTTCCTTTTGTAATTAATAAGTGTGTGTGTGAAGATTCTTTGAGATGAGGTATATATCTCACTCTTCATCAAACTATAAGTTTTTTAAGTAAAAGAAAATTTATTATGAAACTAAAGGAATAAAAGAATGACCACTCCATAGGCAGAGAAACGTCACTTTAAGGTTTTGACGTCAATTGATTTTTGTCCAAATCAATAATTACTGCAATGATTGAAAAATGATTATTACTAAGTTTGTTTTCATTGTCTCAAGGTCTGCTGAACTCTGGATCCAGGCTGTGTCAACAGGGTAGTGTGGTGCCTCCTGTACCTGTCTTGGCCTCCTACAGTCCTTTTTACTTATTTTGTTTTTTAGAATAGAGACAGGGTCTTACTATGTTGCTCAGACTGGTTTCAAACTCCTAGGCTCAAGCAATCTTCCAGCCTCAGCCTCCTAAAGTGCTGGGATTACAGGCATGAGCCACCACACCCGGCCAAGTTCTTTACCATCTTCAGAAGGCTTAGCTTGCACTTTTGGAAGAAGAATAGACTCCCAGGAAGACTGTGAGAGAGATTTGGGGCCCAAATTGATATTATCAAATACACTGAACTTGATTGTATTCACCATGTTCTGGCTCTTGAGAAATGAGAGTGCTAGTGAGGCTGGTGCCACTTTGTGTATCTTCTGTACCTTGAAGTCCCTCAGAAACCTTGCCCCTGGTCTTCTCTGGTCTTCTCATTCTAAGGACATAACAGGTTCTCTTTTTCTCTGGAGATGAAATCTAGATCTTCGATTTTGGAACCAAATTTGGACTCTTGACTCTGAAGCACCAATTTCTTCAGCAAGTTGTTCTCTGGAATCAATCCCAGGGTATGGGTTTTTCATAAATGCATGGATGACTGTGTGTAATTGAAAGGTGCTATAGGTGGTACAACACCATCTGGCTTCTCTATTTTGAAACTCCACACCAGGTTAATCTTGTCCATGGCTGTGGCTTAAATCTAAAGTCAGGTTCTGGTGTTTTCTGGAATCCATGCCTAGCTCTTTGATTCTGAAACCAAATCTGGATTCTGGACTCTTCTGCATTGATTGCTAAAGCAAGTTTTTGTTTGGTAGCATAACCTGGGTAAGGTTTTTGAGTGAAGGTATTGATGAGGATTTTCAATTGATCTTCTGTGAATTTGGTGCAATTGCACCTATGATTTGTTGCTACCATCTTGTGTGAAGAGGGGTCTTCAACTATGCAGAAAGAGAGTTCTGGAGGCTGAGCTACTGTCTGGGAGACTGCTTACAGCTCATTTTTTAAAAAGAAAGGTCACATATAATACAATATAAAATTCACAAATCTAAAGCTTATGGTTTTCTGGGTTTTGACAAATGAAAACTCCTGTGCAACTTCAAGCCTTACCAGGATATGGATGAGGGTTTCTACCCAAAAGCACCAGTATTCTAACAAACAACTTTACGTTTTTTGAATTGTCCAGTGCCTGTGAGGATTCCTTACTCCAAGTTTATGACAAACATATTCAGAAGGCATAGTCTACAATTAGTGTTTGGGTAAGTATTTTCATCAATTGTCTGATTATTTGCTGTGAATTTGAAGTATGCTGATTCTTATGTAATTGTCTTCTGAGAAACATTGTGCCATTTTTCTTGTGGAAACCACCTGTAGAATAAACAGAAATTATGAACGCACAGAGTTGGTTGTGATGGGCACGTCTACCTGTGGCTGCCATTTAAGTGGAAGGTGGAATCCGACTCTGGAGCATCGGCAGCCTGAGCTGCTGCTGGGCTCACACTGACCCTGGGAGTGCTCTATGCATGCTTCACCTTATGAGGGGTGCAGAAGGAACAAAAGTAGAAAAGTGTGCTCTACTTTCACGTGTTACCAAAGGACAGAGGACACCACCAAGGATTTAGAAAACTGTTAAGTGAGGATTTATTCTTCTTAATAGCCTTTCAAGCAAGGAATTTGAAAACAAGATTCTACTCATCCCACACCAAAATGTAAACAGATATATTATTTTCTATACTCCCAGGATAATTTTGGTTTTACTTAAGCATCACTATTGCCCTCAAATGTCAAGTGGAAAAATAAATGTGAATAATCCCACCACTAGCCTCCAGACTTGATGTTTATGCTATTTCATTTTTAAAATGACCTTTTAAAAGTTATAAATTAGAAACGTGGAAGTAGAATGGCTTCATGCAAGAAATACTGGAATAAGATCCCTGTTCTGGCCCCAGAGTCTTAGACAAGTCATTCAGCCTTTCTAAGCATCAGTTCTCCCTTCGGGAAAACATGGGCATTCATCTCTACGGGAGCTGCTAGCTCTAACTGTCAGTGAGTTTCTGAAACTTGCCCAGGAAGGAGCAGCCCCAGTGTGAGTGCATGCCACCCCTGTGCTTGCCTTTTGCCTGCTTCTTATCCTTGAGGTAGCCTGCAGGCTCCTCCTCATTCATCTCCTAAGCCAGTGCTATCTGACGGCACAGAATATGTTTCCAATTCTGGTCTCATCTGAAATACATTTTTCCTGGAAGAAAGATTACATCTATGACCTGCAAAGCATTATGCTCCTCTCTGTATTCCGGATCTTGTGTTATTTTTTTAATATGGGAAAATTTATGATTTTTTTTTTTCCTGAGATGGAGTTTTGCTCTTGTCACCCTGCTAGAGTCCAATGGCATGATCTTGGCTCACTGCAACCTCTGCCTCCTGGGTTCAAGCGATTCTCCTGCCTCAGCCTCCCGAGTGGCTGGGATTACAAGTGCCTGCCACCACACCTGGCAAATTTTTGTATTTTTAGTAGAGATGAGGTTTCACCATTTTGGCCGGGCTCATCTTTAACTGCTGACCTCAGGTGATCCACCAGCCTCAGCCTCCCAAAGTGCTGGGATTATAAGCATGAGCCACCGCTCCCAGCACGATTACGTCTTTTTATATGAGAAAAATTTATTGAGATCATAAGGAAAAAAAAAATCCCTGAGCCAAAAAATGTCAACCAAGAAGAAAAGGAAAGTGAGAAGTAAGAAAAATATGTATTTTAGAGAAAGTGAAGTGGGCATAGCAATCACATTGAAATCTGGGTATAGAACAACCTTCATCTCTAAAATTTGTATTTAGTCAACCACTATGCTAAGCAAGGTTGTGGTAGGAATACCTGCCACCTATTCTAGGCCACATGTCTCTTACGGGCAAAAAGTAAAGCAAAGCCATAATTGTGGTTCGATATTTTGGATGTATTAATTCTCATTTCAGCATTTGCATAGTCTCACATTTTGGAAAACAAAATTGTGGTGATTTCACTTGTCTCTCCATATCATGATTATATTCAAAACTAGGAAACAAACGTAGACTAAAGAAGCAAATACTAAAGAGTGAGATCATGCAGGTTAAACAGATACTCTTTCTCAGGGAAAAGTCATTTACCCATCATGAGCTGATATACTGTTGTGAGTTTATATGGTTTAGTGTATTTACAACTTAACTAAGTATACATGATTCACTGTGTACTGTAGAATATAATTAAATTGACATTTGCTGGTACGGAATAAATTTGCACATCAGTGAAATAAATGATGAAAATAAATAAAGTCTGAGGCCAGATAATTCCATTGGTTACCAATTTATGTCTTCAGCTCTACACCAAAACAAATATTACAACTCTAAACAAGCAAACAGGTGAAGAAGAGATTTGCTGTAACCTCAGATGTCAGAGAATGCATTTGTCTCTGAAAACATTTGTACTGGTTCTTTTTTTTTTTTTTTTTTTTTTTTTTTTTTAGTCACGCTGTACTTTATTTAAAGGTGGCCATAGCATTAAAGTGTGAATTCATTTTGTACAACCAGAAATGGAAAAGGAGTCAGTCAAGGTGGGGCAGAAGTTTCTAACAAAGTCTAAAGCATAGTTTTATATAACTAATAATAAGGACACAATGTTTAGCTTACTTAACTCCCAAACTGAGGTCACTAAAACTTAAGAATATCTACCAAAACTTAAGCAAAATCTCAGAGAGAAACTTTAAAAATAACATTTTATTTTTGATCATTCAAAATGTTTCAATCAATATTCTGAGCCTAAACGTGTAGGTGAGTGCTTTCTCCATCTTTGCACATGTGAAGTGCGCCTGAACCATAGCCCCACATTTTCTCAAACACCATCACACTCATAGAACAGAAAGGAAAGGGCAGTTTCACCAGCTAGCCCCCATACACCACTCCCTAGGGTCCTCCCCAGCACCTGCTAAATTTGGGAGGCCTGATTCCAGGGGGCTGGATAATGAGCTGGCAAAATAAACCCAGAAGAATCGTAATTGCAGACAAAGATAAACTCAGGTTCCAGCACAGATAGACAGCCCATACCAGTGCTTTTGATATTAGCTGCAGTTAAGCGGGCAGGAAAGGCTCCCACTCTATGGCCGGTGGTGTGGTCAGCTCAGCGCCGCCACCTCGGCAGGCTCCATCCCACCATCACCCTCCCAATCAGGCTGATAGTGTCTCCTTATGCCAAGTGGAAGGAACTGCAATCAAATTCTGACACGAACTGCAAATCCTCCAGGGCCCTGGGCTACTGGTTAGGCCAGTAGGGCTGTGTATCAACCGATTAAACCAATTAATAACTGGCAGCACAGCACGGCCTCCTTCTCAACAAATTACGATGCTGATCCCCAGACTCGGCCATCCATGCCCATGGTCTATTGTTCTTATGCTTTCAAAACGCCTCCCCTGCTTCATGCTTTCTAGTCTTGAGGACTTGGCTTAAATATGCTTCTGAATTGCCACTCCCTCTTGTTGACAATTCTTCTTTTTATTTTGGGAGACGGAGTTGCTCTTGTCACCCAGGCTGGAGTGCAGTGGCGCCATCTCTGCTCACTGCAACCTCCGCCTCCCGGGTTCAAGCAATTCTCCTGCCTCAGCCTCCTGAGTAGCTGGGATTACAGGCATCCACCATCACGCCTGGCTAATTTTTGTAGCAGAGACGGGGTTTCACCATGTTGGCCAGGCTGGTTTTGAACTTCTGACCTCAAGTGATCCGCCCCTCTCGGCCTCACAAAGTGCTGAGATTACAGGCGTGAGCCACTGCACCCGGCTGACAGTTCTTTACACCGTTCTCCAGTTGGGGCGGAGTGGGAGACACCACGGAGCCTACCTCTGCAGGAGGCATAGCTTGGCAGAAGGGAGACACCAGCCAGAGGAAGGGTGCACTTTAGGCACCGAACTTTAGGTAAAGCGCTCTGGGTCAGGCGTCTCCTCCAGAGTGGTCTGTTTAAAGTTAAAAAGGTCGCCTTCAAAATAGTTGTAAAATCTATACACTTACCCAGACATACACATTTTTCGAGACAGGGTCTTGCTCTGTCGCGAAGGCTGGAATGCAGTGGTGCAGTCGCAAGCCATCTTCCTGCCTCAGCCTCCCGAGGAGCTGGGACCACAGGCCCGCACCACCACACCCGGCTAATTTCGTTTTCTGTTTGTTTTATTTTCGTTTGTTTGTTTTGGAAGGATGGAGTCTGACTGTGTTGCCCAGGCTAGTCTCGAACCTCTGGGCTCAAGGGATCCTCCCTCCTCGGCCTCGCCAGGTGCTGGGGATTAAGGCTTGAGCCTCCACACCCGGACCTATTAATTATTCTTAATTAAAACATTTAAAGGACACAGCATTTGGGGTCAGCGCAGCATTTGCAGTGGCTGCTCCAGCTTCGGGGCCGCAGGTCACCGCGGGGGCCCGGTGCCTACTGGCCCGGCCGCCCTGCGGGTCAGCTCATGGGGATTCTCTGGAGAACCCTGAGCCCATCTCCTGCGCCTCGCCCAACCTTGGGTCCCCAGGCCCAGCCTCCGAGGCCCCGCTCCCAGCGCTGCCGCCAGAGCTCCAGGCTGCGCTCCCCCAGGCAAAGGCGCCACCGGCGTGTCCAGCGCAGCCTCCTCCTCCAGGCGGCGCGTGTGAGTCAATGGAAATGACCGTGGCGGGCGGAGCAGCCACCTAGGACATCGCGGAAGCCTCCTGAGGGGACTTCCACCGCTTGTCCCAGGAGGTTCTACAACAGCTGGCATTGAGAGTTCAGTTATAATATTTTCCGCCAGTTTTTCCCAGCCCGGCCCCCAAGCGTCTGATTTTAAAGTTCCCGCCTCAGGCTCCGGGGCGCCTACCCTGCAAGGGCGCCAGTTCTCCGACACCTGCTAGGGAATGAATCCCCATCCCAGGAGGAAGGCGTGGCGGGGACGGAAGAAACAACCACACGATCTGTGACAGCGACCAAGCTTTAGAGGCCCCGCGTGCCTGCCAGGCGCCTGAGCCCACACCGTCCACGCTTCCCTGCCCCGGCGGGAACCACCTGTTCTCCTTGCACCGGCGAGGGCGCGGGGTCACCCCCGCCGGGCCGACCCCAGGCGTGAGCTCCAGAACCCCCTCCCAATCGCCCCGTCTTGGGAGCGCAGGGAGCCTGGCTCTTCCCTGCCAATAACGAAATCATCACGGACATTAGGAAAGCGGGGCGAGGCTGGGAAGGGAGCGGCTTTAATCCGGGGTCCGCCCCCTTCAATTCTCCAGCGTAGCGGTCCCGAAAGTGGGGTGGGGACGGGGATTGAGGCTGAGCTCGCTTCTTCCTTGTTTTCCGGGTCTTGCGCTTCTGAAGCGAACTAGGCCTGGAGGAGTGCTGGGGGTCGAGGAAACAGGGTTGGGGTGACCGAGGGACAGGTGGGGCGGGCACCTGGGCCCCGGTCGAGGCGGATTCCGAGGCGGAGCCGCTGCCTGCCTGCGCCTCGCCTGCTCGGTCCACCCAACAGCTCCGCCCTAGACTCGCAGCTGCGGAAGCGGTGGGCCGGGTGGTGATTACAACCCTGAGCGCTGTCCCTTTGGAACCTGACTCCCGACTCCGCTCAGCAACCGGGACGTTGCGACCTCAAAGCCCTCTGTGCTTCTCCATCGATACCGGGCCGCCTCTCTCGCCTGCAGCGCACGCCTCCGCCCCCAGGGGCAGCGCAGCGAGGCGGAGACCCTCCTGCATTCCGAGCGTGCGGGGCAGCCCTCAGACTGAGGACCTGCGACTTCGTGGGACGCCGGTGTCCGCCACTGCGCCCCTCCAGGGAGCAGAGGCGGCTCTGGAAGTCGGTTTAGGGCGGAGACCGCGACTGGAGGGGCGCAGAACGCTCTTCCCAGCGTCCCGGGCTCCACCGGCACAATTTTAAAACCAGGGGCGAAATCCGAGTCCTGCTGCCACGCGGGGGTGGAGCGTGACCGCCTCGCCGCGCGCTGTCTCAGGCTCCGCCGGCTTTAGCGCCGCGAGGCTGCCAGGTGACTTCCAGGGCTCTGTGGTTCCTAGAGCGCTCCCGGGAGTCTCCTGGCTGCAGCGGGAACCGAGCTGGATGCCCGGACAGCGCCGGGGTCGTTTTTCTGCCCCCGCCCCGTGGCCGGAGCCGCAGGCCTGCCGCTACCCCCACCCGGGCCGCGCCTTCCTTCCTCGCGGCCGGACCGCGCCAGAGTCCCGGGCCCTGGCTGGAAACTCGCAGGCCCCGGGCAGCCGGGGCCGCAAGTGCGATGAAGAAGCGGGCCCGGCGCGCACATGTGGTTCCGGGCAGGAGCCCCGGCCGCCTCGTGCCCTTCTTCTCGCCCACGACGGTGGCCGGCGGCGGCCTCTGCTTCCCGGACCCATGAACAAAGCTGGAGATGCGGCTTTGGAGTCGGCCCTGGGACCTGCTTCTTCTCTTGGCTTTGGGGACCGTAGCCCAGGGCGTTCCCTCCGGGTCGGTGGCCAGGGCTTGCGGGGCGTGTGCGACTCGGGACCCCCAGCCGGGCAGCAGCGGCCGCCAAGCATGGCAAGGAGCAGCGCCAGCCTCTCCCCACCACGTCCCGGGATGGTGGGCGTCGGGTGGGAGCCGGCCCAGGACATCCAGGTGGGATCAGCCACCGCTCAGGCCCTGTCCCAAGCGGACGCGGCCAGAGGCAGTCTCAGCACCACGCAGGCCGCGGGTTCAGTGGGCAAAGAGAGGGGCCCCCGGTTTAGACCAAAAACGTGTGTTCTCCAACCTCCTACTTAAAAGCCCCTGTCTCATATGCTGGTTCCTGTCTCTAATAGTTCCTAGGTGTCTGGGACCGGTGACTTGGCCCCTGTTATCCCCGAGCTCAGCCGCAGGCTTCAGGGACCTGGGCAAAGTGTGGATAACCCTGCCCGCCTTTTGGGGAGGAAAGCCAGTTGCTCCCCTAGCCTCTACTGTGGCACTAGGAAGCAAGGGCAGCCAAGCTGATCGCTGGTTTCATCTGCACCACCCCACTCCCTCCAGCAGGTGATGAGATGGCCAGTGACGGGTGGGTTGGCAGCTGGACTGGCGTGGCATGGCTAGCTGACCTGGGCACCATATTCCCTGCCTATCACCACTCCTGGTTGTCCAACAAAGCAAAGTCACAATGACAAGATCCAGAGAGGGGAGTCTCCAGCTGGAGATGGTGCCGCTGTCACAGGGCACCAGAGCAGCAATGTGACAGCTTCTCATGGAGGCAGACTCTGTTCCCAGTCCCTACTCAACCCTGGCTTGATCCTTGTCAGTGTCTTATTTCTTTGCCTTGCCTTTTTCTCAGCCTGGCTTCCCTTCCAGGCAGCTCTGAGTGGCTCTTGGTCCAGGCTTGTCTCCATCTCTCCTTCCTCTTCCCAACTCCCTAAACTCAGGACCCAGTCACTCCTGCTCCTTACATACACACACACTCACACTAACACACGCACACACTCTCACCCTCTCCCCCCCACACACTCACACACACTCCCACCCTACCTTAGGAAACAGGTTTCCTTCCATGAACCTTTATTAAGACCTGTGGGGAATGACCAGGATCTGGGCCCCCAGTGTGTCTGTGAGCCAGCTTGTGTGTGTGTGCAAAGGTGTGAGTGTGTGAGCATCCATGTGGCTGTGGAAATTAGAAAGCATGTGTGTACACACGCGAGTGTGACAGTGAAGTGCTGAGAGTTGAAACAGTGTGCGTTTGGGGTCAGTGTGACCTTGGCCGTGTGGGCACACAGGTGAGCTGTGGCGACGGTGGAGGGATGTGAGTGACTCTGAGTGTGGAAGCTGAGCCCAGGGCAGATGGACAAATGCATCCTTTGAGCTCCTGTAGAGGCTGCCACTCCATACCTTGCTCAACTACTCCCTCTTTGTCATCCTGGGCTCCCTCAAATCAGGATGGGGTGCAGGAAGGGGAAGTGAAGCTGGTGACCTATGGGAAGGGGACTGTCTGCTTCCTGGGCCTGTCAGCCACTGATCTGTTCCATGTTCCTACAAATACTTACAAATCCCAGCTGCTGAGGAGCAAGACATCCTCCACCAGCCAGTTGGGGCTCCTGGCCTGGAGCTATGGAGCGAGACACATGGGGGAGGGGAGGGGGGACCGCATCAGAAAGGCTGGCATCAGGGACTCCTGAGTTCAGCTCCTAGTTTTGCCAAAGGTTAGCCTGGGCACCCCAGTATGTCTTCATCAGGAACTGCAGAGCCAGACACACCACCCACGCCTCTGCCCCAGGAAGCGGCCCTACCTCTGCCTGAAGAGAGAGACTCCCACCTCAACAGCCAGCTTTCTGCCTTCTAGTCACGCCTCTCAGTTAGGGGTAAAAAGAGGGGTCTTCTTGTTTTTTGTAGTGGGGGGTGTCTCACTGTGTTGCCCGGACTGTTCTCTAACTCCTGGCCTCAAGTGATCCTCCTGCCTGTAGCTCTGAAAGCACAGCAATTACAGGTGTGAGCTGCCACACCCAGCAGCTTCTTACCCTTTAAACGCCACACAAAATTCTCCTGGAGTTCCTGGGGGAGATTGTCTCTTTGAAATCAAAATCTTTCCCAGGACACCTTGAGCAATCCTTCAGGCTCTTTCTGGATTGGAGGCAGAAGAAATTGCAGCTCGGTGACCCTCCCTTTGCAAGGGCCCCCTCTGCAGCCCTTGAGGGGAGTGAAAGCATTTTCATTTGGCCTCATGCCCAGCTGCAGCCAGCTCTTTCACTTCTGGAGCTGGGCTGGTTGTGATAACCTGGAGGAGGGGGAATGAGTTGGGATGACTCACTTGCCCCAGCCCATCAACCCTGGCCTAGGCTTGTGGCCAGACACCTGGTTAACCACCCCAAGAGAGCTTCCTTTCTCAGGGAAATAATGATTATTGATTATTGATCCTCTATATCCACTTCCCAGGACACTGTCAGGCACACCACAGGCCCTTGGGCATTTTTGTGGCATCATCAGCCTTATTCCTGGATCACCATGTCAAGCTTTCCCAATAGCAGTTGGTGGCAAACTCCAACTCCTACTGTCAGAAGGCATCACAAGGCCCAGATATGCTGGGCCTCCCAGCTCAGGCAAGCCCAGCTGTCAGGGACACAGAAACCCCTGACACTGGGCCAAGATCTTTGCCCCCTGTCTTGGCTTGAAATTCAGATATATTGATGTTGAGCCCTCCTGGCCCGCAGTGGGACCCCCCTTAGCCTTACACAGGTAATGCCTATATCATGGCCTAGGTTTTTCCAAAAAGCCAGACTCTGGGAAGAACCTGGAGTGGAGGAAAAAACCAGGCAGAGGTAACCCCATGAGGGGCTCTGGCATGTGACTCCCTGCTGGAAACGTGCCCCTAACAGGGCATCAAAGCCAGGCAGGCAGGGGCTCCTGCTCTGCCAGAGGCTGGAAATCAGGACTGCAGCTTCCCATCTTACTCTGGGGATGCAGGTCAACTATTTTCCCTCAGATGAGAGATGCTGAAGTTCCAATTTTATAAGATGAGGAGAAGGGCTGAGGTGATGCCCATTCTGCCACTTTGCTGAGTCCAGAGCTGTGATGAAGAGGGAGAAGTCACAGGACAAAGAAGGGGGCTCAGGGACCCCGGAGTTTTCCTTGGCAGAAGTCAACTTGCCCCGCCCCTGAGAAAACTCTGACCTCAGCTGCCAGGGAGGAAAGCAGGGACTGGGGAGGAGGGGACAAGGAGAGGGAATAGTCTGGTGCTCTGTGCTCTGGGAGAGAAGTCTGATGGCGGCAGTGACTCAGGAAGGGTTAAGAATATTCCTAAAATAGCCAAGCCACAGCCTAAGCCAGTTCATGAATGCCTCTTCCAGAGAGCAGATCAGTAGCAGGAAAATTCAGCCTGATCTTCGCCCCACTGCCTGCCGCCTGCCCCTGGCTACTAGTTAAGCCTCCCACCCTGTCCCCTTCACCAACTCCTGTCCTAGTGGGGATGGGGTAGGAGTAGTCAGAGGGGCCAAATCTCCCCAGTCAACAGGGAACTCCAGCTGGGACCAGGAGTACTGGGCCCCAGTGCCCGCCACCACCCCCCCCCCATCCACACTCCTGGTCTGAGTCAGGTAGGAGGACTTGGGACAGACAGGCAAAGTGCAGGCCTTGTACATGGGATGGAAGGTGCCAGAAGAGAGCAGCCAAATTCTCCCACCCACACACATGCATCACCAGCCATGATCAGGTGGGACCTCCAAGATCATCCTCAAATACTGCCTTCTCCTAGCTCTGTGTTCCCCTTTACTTAGGGCATCTTGGAGTGAGATGGGCAGGGAGGGGTCGAGTGAGTCCCTTCATGAACAAACCTTATCTTTGTTTCAGGGACAGGACTGGGTACATAATTTGCAGGACCCGGTGCTAACTGAAAATGTGGAGTCTGTTCAAAAATTGTTAAGAATTTGAAGGCAGTGACAACATAGCACTAAAACAAGTTCAGGTCCCCTCTGACAGTGGGGCTTTTGCCACTGCACAGGTGGCACCTCTATGAAGCCAGCCTTGTGCAGGGGTTTGGTTTAATGAACATTTACTTAGCGCCCACTGCTCAGCTCTTCTGGCTCTGTAATATGGTGTGGCTCTGTGTCTGCACCCAAATGTCATTTTGAACTGTAATCCCCACGTGTTGGGGGAGGGGCCTTGTGAGAGGGCATTACATCATGGGAGTGGTTCCCACATGCTGTTCTCGTGATACTGAGTGAGTTCCCACGAGATCTGATGGTTTTATAAGGGGACTTTCCCCTCTTCTGCACTTCTCTCTCCTGCTGCCACGTGAAGGATGTGTTTGCTTCCCCTTCCACCATGATTGTAAGTTTCCTGAGGCCTCCCCAGCCATGTGGAACTGTGAATTAAACTTCTTTCCTGGAGTGTGAAAATGAACTAATAAACTCTGTGACCTCAGAGACTCCCTCTCAGTGACCCTGTTCTCAAATGTATGAAGATGGGTGCTCAAAGATCTCTCTCTAAACATGGAACAGGGCCTGTCTGAAGACATAAGTGATTAACTTCTAATCTATAACTAAGGTCTGAGTCCTGAAGACCTTCCTCTGGAGGCTGAGTAGTTAATCTAGATGGGTCCAGGTGCTGCAGGTGATTACCTTTATCTTGTTTCCTGCAAAATCATGGAGGTTTGGGAAGTTCCTTTAGACCCATTCTCGTATGGAGGTTTGTTTTCTTCTTTTTTCTTTCCTGCAAGGACAAACCGAATTCTGTGATGGTTTGTGTAGCATTTTTGAGTTTATTGCCAAAAATTGAGGCTCGTTTGTAGACTACATTTTTTAATAAAATAAAACTTTCTAGACAAAGAAATGCAGGTGAAACTGTTCCTTTGACACCATTTTCCAAATCTACACAGAGTTGATAGCAAATTTTTCTCTTTATCTTTCCTTAAATTGTATATATTCATATAAATGCTCTTAAATTCTTAGTGCAACCGAGTGGATTGTCATTACAGAGCATGTCCTTAGCATAGAGCACAGATCTTCCCACTGTCAACTGGGCTCTGTTCACAAAGCACCCAGAGCTGGCCTTCAATTTCCACTCCTCAGTTCCTTTGCCTACCTTATTTCTAAAATAGGGAAGGTATTTGTCTTTTTAATATTTAATAAATGACATTTATTATCATTCTGCCTACTGAATTTCACTTGTCTGTCTGGTAATAACCTACTCCCGTAAGAATCAATGAGTTCTTGGTACATATTGGTCTAAATTTGCCTCCTCTTTGAACCTTTTTCCAGTTTTCCAGGCAAGGTTGATTTATCTATCTATTTATTCTATGTTTCCATAACAATCTTTCCAAGCATAATACAGTAAAAAAAGAGCTGATGCATCATGTCCTGTCCGTTTCCCTCTGGAGACTTTGGAGCCAATGTGAGGGTACAGGTATGCTCCTGTAGAAGCTCTTTGGTCGCCTTTGTCAGTTTAGGACAGTTCTCAGTATGTAATTGTTCTCAGGTGCCATTAAACTAGACCTGAATAATTGAAGGATTGAAAGTGTTCAGAAATCACCCAGGATGCTTCAATAATTCATCCTAATTAGGGATATGGGGATAGTTTGCATGAGAAAGAAGTTTTTCTTTTTGAGGAAAAGTTAAAATTCAGCAGGCAGAATGAAAATAAATGTCAATAATTTTTTATTTTAAAATATTCATGTTTTACTATTTTGATATAATTTTTAAAGAAAAAGGCAGAAACCACTGCTTATTAGAAGGCAGATTTTATTGATTTTATACCCCTAGACTTGTTGCATATCAAACCTGTGTAAAAACATCTATAAATCAAATCATTAATTGCACCTAGTATAATAATTCTATATATGGAGGTAATGTTTGATTCTTCAGGAGCTTTAATAACTTGAAGCCCGTTTGATTGCTTTAAAATGACTTCTCATTGTATTTGTTTATATTGTATCATTAAGCAAAAGTACAGAGTAAGCAATTAGTGTGATTAATTCCTCTTCTATAATACAGTAAAGCACTGCCTCCATAGACCAATTCTCTGGGATCCCTGGAAAACATCTGGCATCCAGCAAGTCTTGACCCCTCTTTAGAAAGCCATGGAGAAACTGGAGGCAATTCTGTTAATTATTTGCCCTCTAGAGGCAATTGGGTTAATTACCCTCCCTTCCCTATCCATGACACAATTTCTCCAGTTACATGTAGAATGCTGTTATGTGTCTCCTGACCAGACCCCTTATTTCATAGATGTGGAAACTGAGGCCATGAAGGATGAGGTGACTGTTCACAATCCACATGGCTAGTTAGTGTCCAGAGCCTGGCCTGGACTTCTCTCTTGTTCTGGGGCCTTGAGTTCTCTCCCTCTTCTTTAGTACATATGGCCACAGGTAACGTAATCTGCGTACCACATTTGCATTTGGAGTGCATCTGTTTTGCATTCATTTAATCTTGTTGAGATGGTTTGCTTGCTGACCTACTCAGTCAGTTATCTTTTCACCTTTGTGAGTTGAGAGCTTTGTGTATTAAATCTGTAAAACTTTGCATCGTGGAAAGTGACATAATCTGTAGCAGACCCATGCTGTTTTTAGATGCATCTTCATTGTGGTAGTGACAGTGATTGAGAAACTTTACATGTTTTTCTGTGCTATTTCAGAATATGCCTTCTGAATTCAGCTAGAGGTGGAGTCAAAAACAACAGAATACTATATTTTTGTTTCTCTGATTTAGGTAAAATACCTCTTTTCTGACAAGACTAGGACTCTTACATAGACTACCATGAACTAAAAGAAGCACAACATTGCCAGAGTAACCTGTGGTACGTGTATTAATCACTTACTGAACATTTTACTTGCATTCTTTCAAGAAAATGAGTTTATTTTTAGATACTTAGTCAAATTATCTTGACTTTCTGATGTTTTTAAAGAGTATTTATAATAGATTTAGTTATTTCATTAATATTGAATGTATTTAAAACTAAATGCATCCCAAAGGAAACTGAACAGTTAAAACATGGTTTATTTCTGCAAATATTAACTTAGTGAGAAATCCCAGGGAATCTGCACATTTGTGTTTTCTATCTAACAATCATGAATTTCTTAGTGTATGTTTTGATCAGGCTGTCTTTTGATCACAGTTTTGTGACCACTCTGTTATTCCTCTCTCTCTGGCAGTCATTTCCCAGAATTGACAAGGAATTCATCCTGAGATGATTTCTGCTAAGTAAATCCTAGCACTTCTTGACACTTTAGAAAAGGCTTTGGAATAATTTTATATTAGCATTTTTCACCTGCATATTTTTACATGTAAATATAAGCTGTGAATGCATTACTTTGAAAGAGAGCCAGGATAAAATTTAAAGAAACATGGTTTTAGAAGTCCAATGGTAGTATAAGATTTCACAAAGAAACAGACTGCTCTTCATTCAGTACTTCCTATTTACTCCCCAGACACAGCCAACTTCAACATTTTTTACTTAAAAAATGTATTTTTATATTTCAAAATAACATGTTTATGTGACCTGTCTCTCACCCATCCTGCCCTACTCTGGCTTTACCCCCTTCAGAATATTTAAAATTTCTTGAGTATCCTTAGCATATACCATTCCAATCATGAATCTTGGGGTAGGCTTATTTTTTTTTTAATTTGTGCATTTAATAAACCCCTAGTGGTACATGTCTGTTTTTCTTGTTAATTCTTGGAAATGTCTTTCTATTGTTTCTACAATAATTTTCTTCCCCTCTAGCTTCCCTTTTTCTTCTGGATCTCGTTAGGTATTGAACCTCTTGAGTTGATTTTCTAATTTTTGTCATCTCCCTCTCTCATTTTTTGTATTTTGTGTTTAATTTTCTGGTATCTAATTCACCTTGATTTTCTATCTTTCTGGTGATATTTTCATATGCTGTCACTCTTACAGTTGTCAAACGCCTTCTCCTGACCTTGCCCTTGTGTTCTGTTTACTCTGCCCACCTCTTCGATTCTCCCCATTGCTACCTGGTGTTTTGGTTTCTTTTTCTTTTCTTTTCTTTTTTTTTTTTTTTGAGACAGAGTCTCGCTCTGTAGCCAGGCTGGAGTGCTGTGGCGCGATCTCAGCTCACTGCAATCTCCACCTCCCGGGTTCAGTAGCTGGGACTACAGGCACATGCCACCACACCCAGCTAAATTTTGTATTTTTAGTAGAGACTAAACATACATTTCACCATGTTGGCCAGGATGGTCTCGATGTCTTTACCTCGTGATCCGCCCATCTCAGCCACCCAAAGTGCTAGGATTACAGGCGTTAGCCACCGCTCCCAGCCTTGGCTTCTTAATTTTGTTTTATAAGCTTTCTTCAAAGGCCTGGTCATCATTTGCTGTGTGTTTATATATTTTTATTTTTTCAGTGGGCAAAATACATGTAACATAAAATGTATCACATTAACTATTTTAAGTGTACAGTTCAGTTGCTTTAACTATATTCATAATGTTTTGTAATGATTCCCACCATTCCTCTCTAGAACTTTTTCATGTGAAGCTCTGTACCTGTAAAACAGTAATTCCTAACTCCTGTCATCTTCCAGTCCCTATTAACCACCATTCTACTTTCTGCCTCTATGACTTTGCCTATCTTAGGTACCTCATATAAGTGGAATCATACAGTATTTGTCTTTTTGTGTTTGGCTTATTTCCATTAGCATAATGTATTCAAGGTTTCATTGTTCATCCACATTGTGAAATGTGTCAGAATCTCCTTCCTTTAAAAAGGAATAATATTCCAATAATATTCCATTGCGTGCATATATCACATTTGTTTATCCATTCATCCACCAGTGGGCATGATGTTGCTTCCACCTTCTGGCTACCGTGAGTACTGCTGCTGTAAACATTGCTATGCAAATATCTTTTTGGGTCCCTACATTTAATTATTGGGGCTATATACCTCAAAGTGGAATTACTGGGTCATATAGTAATTCTATGTTCAACTTTTTGAGGAACCACTGTGCTGCTCTGTAGAGCAGTCCACCACTTTACACTACTATTAGTAATGCACAAGGGTTTCATTTTCTCCATGTCCTTGTCAACACTTTTAATTTTCCATCTTTTGTTTGTTTGCATTATAATCGCCATTTTAATGGGTATGAAGTTGTACCTCTTTGTGATCTTGCTTTACATCTCCCGTATGACTTGTGATATTTTCTGCACATATTTTAAGGTTTATATACTAACAAAGCCGATTACTAGGGGGGTGTGTGTAGGGGGAACTGTGTGGCTGCTGAGTGGCTTCCCTGTGGGATGATCAGCCAGAACCCACTATTGTATCAGGAAATCCCCAGGTGTCACCATCTATGGGTCTTTTGTAGTTTTTATGGGTACACAGTAGGCATATATGTATTTATGGGGTATATGAGATATTTTGATACAAACATATAATGCATAATAATCACATCAGGGTAAATGCGTTATCCATCATCTCAAACATTTATCATTTCCTTGTATTATGAACAATTCAGTTATACGCAGTTATCTTAAAATGTACAAAAAACTATTGCTGACTATAGTTACCCCGTTGTGCTATCAAATAAAAGATCTTATTCATTGTAACTACATTTTGTACCTATTAACCATCCCCACGTCCCCCCACTGGCTACACTTCCCAGCCTCAAGTAACAACCATTCTACTCTATCTTCATGAGTTTGTTTTAATATTCAGCTCCCCCAAATCAATGTGAATGTACAAAGTTTATCTTTCTGTGGCTGGCTTATTTTACTTAAAATAATATCCTACAGCACCATTCCATGTTGTCACTAATGACAGAATCTCATTCTTTGTTATGGCTGAAAAGTACTCCATCATATATAGGCACATTTTCTTTATCCATTCATCTGTTGATGGACACTGAGGTTGCTTCCACATCTTGGATATTGTGAATAGTAATGCAATAAACATAGGAGTGCAGTTATCTCTTCGATATATTGATTTTCTTTTTTTGTGTATATATCTAGCAATGAGATTGCTGGATCATATGATAGCTCTAATTTTAGTTTTTTGAGGAACCTCCAAATTGTTCTCCATAGTGGTTGCACTAATTTACATTCCCACCAACAGTATGCAAGGGTTGGCTTTTTTTCCATATCCTCACCAGCATTTGTTATCACCTGTCTTTTGAAAAAAAAGCCATTTTAACTGAGGTGAGATGATATCTCTTCATAGTTCTGATTTGCATTTCTCTGATAATCAGTGATGTTGGCCACCTTTTCCTAAGTCTGTTAGTCTTTTGTATTTCTTTTTTTGAGAAATATCTATTAAGATCTCTTGCCCATTTTCAAATCAGATTATTAGATTTTTCTCTATACAGTTGTTTGAGCTTTTTATATATTCTGGTTATTAATCCCTTGTCAAATGGATAGTTTGCAAATACGTTTCCCCATTTTTTGCATTTTCTCTTTGTTGACTGTCTCTTTTGCTATGCAGAAGCTTTTTAACTTAGTGCAATCCCAATTGTCCACTTTTGCTTTGGTTGTCTGTGCTTGTGGGGTATTGCTTAAGAAATCTTTCCATAGTCTAATAGCCTGGAGAATTTCCCCAATGTCTTCTTGTAGTAGTTTAACCTACCAAGATTAAACCATGAAGAAATTCAAAACCTGAACCGACCAATAACAAATAATGAAATCAAAGCCTTAATAAAAACTACCAACAAAGAAAATCCTGGAAGCAATAGCTTCACTGCTGTATTTTACCAAACACGTACAGAATAACTAACACCAATCCTACTCAAACTATCCCAAAGAATAGAGGAGGGAGGAATATTTCAATGCCTGATACTTAAACCAAAGACAAATTAAAAGAGAAAACTACAGGCCAATATCCCTATGAAAAATTGATGCAAAAATCCTCAAGGAAATTTACAAACAAAACAAATCCACAACATATTGAAAATTATTCATAATGACTAAGTGGAATTTATGCCAGGAATGGAAGGATGGTTCAAAATATGCAAATCAATGTGATCATCATATCAACAGAATGAAGGACAAAATTTATATAATAATGTCAATTGATGCGGTAAAGCATTTGATAAAATTCAACATTTTATTGTGAAAACCCTTCAAAAAACAGGGTATAGAAGAAACATACCTCAACACAATAAAAGCCATATAAGACACTCCCACAAGTATAGTATCTTACTGAATGGCAGAAAAACTGAAAGCCTCTCCTCTAAGCTCTGGAACAAGAGATGCTCATTTTCACCACTCTGCCTCCTGAGTTCAAGCAATTCTCCTGCCCAAGCCTCCCTAGTAGCTAGGACTATAGGTGCATGCCACCACACCTGGCTAATTCTTTTCTTTTCTTTCTTTTTTTTTTTTTTTTGTATTTTTAGTAGAGATGGGGTTTCACCGTGTTAGCCAGCATGGTCTCAATCTCCTGACCTTGAGATCTGCCCACCTCAGACTCCCAAAGTGCTGGGATTACAGGCATGAGCCACTGGGCCCAGGCCTTCCTGTCTTCTTCTAAGCTCTCCAAACTGTTCCAACCTCTGCCCATTACCCACTTCCAAAGCTGCTTCCACATTTCCAGGTATCTTCATAGCAATGCTCTACTTCCCAGTACCAATTTTCTGTATTAGTCTGTTCTTGCACTGCTATGAAGAACTACCTGAGACTGGGTAATTTTATAAAGAAAAGTGGTTTAATTGGATCACGATTCTGCAGGCTGAACAAGAAGCATGGCTGAGGAAGCCTCAAGAAATTTACAATCATGGCAGGAGGTGAAGAGGGAGGTGACACGCCTTACATGGCTGAAGCAGGAGGAAGAGAGAGCAAAAGGGAAGATGCTACGTACTTTTAAACAATCAGATCTGGTGAGAACTCACTATACAAGAATGGCAAGGGAGAAATCCTCCCCCATGATCCAATTACCTCTGCCCAGACCCCTCCTCCTACACTGGGGATTACAATTAGACATGAGATTTGAGTGGGGACACAAATCCAAACCATAAGGTTAGTATTAAAAGTTAATTGCTTTCCTATATACTAGCAATGAAAAAAACTGGAATTTGAAATTTCAAATACAATGCTATTTACATGAGTACCCCAAAAATGAAATATGTAGGCATACAGTAAACAAAATATGTACAGGATCTATATGAGGAAAACTTCAAAACTTTAATGAAAGAAATCAAAGGAAACCTAAATAAATTGATATATATTTCATGTGCAAGGATAGCAAGACTCAGTATTGTTAAGATGTTAATACTCCCCTTCTTGATCTATAGATTCAACTCTACTCCAATTAAAATTCTAGCAGGTTATTTTGTAGATATAAACACATTTATTCTAAAGCTTATATGAAGACGCAAAAGACTCATAGTCAAAATGCTGAAGAATAACAACTCAGAGGACTGACACTACCCAACTTTAAGACTTACTCTCCAGCTAAATAATTGAGTTAGCATGGCATTAGTGAAAGAATATGCAGATTGATCAATGGTTCAGAAGAGAGAGCCCGGAAATTGACCTATGCAAATATAGTTAGCTGAGCTTTGACAAAGAAGCAAAGGCAATTAAATGAAAGAATGCAGTCTCTTCAACAAATGGTGCTTAAAAATTGGATGTCCATGTACAAAAAAAAAGAATCTAAGTTCAGACTTTACACCCTTCTCAAAAATTAAAACTCAAAATGGATCAAAGATCTAAATGTAGAATGCAGAATCACAAAACTTCTAGATCAAGAATATCCAGGTGACCTTGGGTTTGGTGATGTATTTTTAGATACAGCTAAGTGTAGGTGCAGTGGCTCACACCTGTAATCCCAGTACAGGTGTAGCTGTAGGGAGCTGAGGGAGGCAGATCGCTACAGCTCAGGAGTTTGAGACCAGCCTGGTCAACATGGTGAAACCTAATCTCTACCAAAAATACAAAAAATTAGCAGGTGTGGTGGTACGCACCTGTGGGGCCAGCTACTTGGGAGGCTAATGGGGGAGAATTGCTTGAGCCTGCGAGGCAGAGGTTGCAGTGAGCTGAGATTGCACCACTGCACTCCAGCCTGGTGACAGAGCAAGACTCTGTCTCAAGAAAAAAAAAAATGTCGTTTTATCCACTGGGTTTTGTTTCCTACTTTTTTGATTTGTGTTAAGAAAGGGGAAAAAAATCACAAGTTTGTCTAACCATTCAGTAGAAAAACAGAGCATTTGCAGACAACTTGGCAAGGGTAGAGAAATGGATGTACTGTTTTTCAGTATTTGGGGAAGGTGGTTTGAGCAGTATTTATTGACAATTTCATTAGTGGGGATGTTTCTATTAAAAACACATAGTAAGATCATTAAGTGTTCTTGCAATATAAAGTAATAATACCACCAGTGTTTATCTTACTGTTTTCGTGTTCTAAATGCATGCACCTGAGTAAAAGGATCTGGGCTGCAGTCTAGGCTGAGAGATGCCAGCAAAGGCTGCCTAGGCCAGTGCAGTCCAGTAAATCCCTCTTTAATCTTCTCTTCCACACAGACAGCAGTGATGAGCATGCCCACGAACCCACATGATTATTTTGGGAAAAATGAAAGAGTTGTATTCTTTTTGTGGTAGTAATTCCACTTCCAGGGGCAAATACATTTTGATTATTTTATCACCTTTCAGTGAGTTGTTTTTGTTCTTTAACCAAGGATGTATGTTTGAGGTAAGAAGTAAAGCATAAAGTATATGATTTTTTGTGTGTATTTTTATCTTGCTATACCCATAGGGAATGTTTAATTCTGCCTTGGAAGTGGCCATATTTGAAGGTGCTGTGATTCAAACTGTCAGCGAGATAAGGCAGCAGATCAAGAAAGCACTCCGGGCTCCAGAAGGAGCCTTCCAGGCCAGCTTTGAGCATAAGCTGCTGATGAGCAGTGAGTGTCTTGAGTAGTGTTCAGGGCAGCATGTTACCATTCATGCTTGACTTCTAGCCAGTGTGACGAGAGGCTGGAGTCAGGTCTCTAGAGAGTTGAGCAGCTCCAGCCTTAGATCTCCCAGTCTTATGCGGTGTGCCCATTCGCTTTGTGTCTGCAGTCCCCTGGCCACACCCAGTAACAGTTCTGGGATCTATGGGAGTAGCTTCCTTAGTGAGCTTTCCCTTCAAATACTTTGCAACCAGGTAGAGAAGTTTGGAGTGAAGGTTTTGTTCTTCGTTTCTTCACAATATGGATATGCATCTTCTTTTGAAAATGTTAAAGTAAATTACCTCTCTTTTCAGATACTGTCTTCATGCGAACTTGGTATCCTGTTTCCATCCCAGCCTTCTATAACCCAGTAACATCTTTTTTGAAACCAGTGGGTGAGAAAGACACCTGGTCAGGAACGCGGACCACAGGACAACTCAGGCTCACCCACGGCATCAGACTAAAGGCAAACAAGGACTCTGTATAAAGTACCGGTGGCATGTGTATTAGTGGAGATGCAGCCTGTGCTCTGCAGACAGGGAGTCACACAGACACTTTTCTATAATTTCTTAAGTGCTTTGAATGTTCAAGTAGAAAGTCTAACATTAAATTTGATTGAACAATTGTATATTCATGGAATATTTTGGAACGGAATACCAAAAAATGGCAATAGTGGTTCTTTCTGGATGGAAGACAAACTTTTCTTCTTTAAAATAAATTTTATTTTATATATTTGAGGTTGACCACATGACCTTAAGGATACATATAGACAGTAAACTGGTTACTACAGTGAAGCAAATTAACATATCTACCATCGTACATAGTTACATTTTTTTGTGTGACAGGAACAGCTAAAATCTACGTATTTAACAAAACTCCTAAAGACAATACATTTTTATTAACTATAGCCCTCATGATGTACATTAGATCTCTAACTTGATCATCCTATATGTCTGCTACTTTGTATTTTCTTAATGTACGTCTCCCCATTTGCTATTGGTCATTTCCTATTTGGCTCATTTTTCAACTGGGTTGTTTTCCTGTTATTAAAAGAGTTCTTTACTGATTTTTGGACATTAACTCTTTATCAGATATGTGATCTGCAAATATTTCCTCCAGTCTGTAGGTTCTCTTTTCATTTTGTTGGTTTTTTCCTTTGCTGTGCAGAAGCTTTTTAGTTTGATGCAGTCCTCCTTGTTTATGTTTCCATTTGTAGCCTGGCTTGTGGTGTGATATCCAAAAAATAATTGCTAAGGCCAATGTCAAGAGGCTTTCCCCCTATGTTCTCTTCTAGGAGTTTTAAGGTTTCAGGTCTTATTTGGGTCTTGGGTCTTGTATCTGTTTTGAGTTGATTTTTGTGTATGGTGTATGATCAGGGTCCATTTTTATTCTTTTGAATGTGAAAATCCAGTTTTCCCAGCACTATTATTGAAGAGACTATTTTTCTTTCCACTGTGTTGTCTTGTTTGCCCTTGTCAAAAATTAGTTGACAGTATATGTTTGGATTTATTTCAAAGGTCTCTGTTCTGTTCCGTTGGTTTATACTTTTTGTTTCTATGCCAGTATCATACTGTTTTGATTACTATAGCTTCGTAATACAATTTTAAATCAAGAGGTGTGATGCCTCCAACTTTTTCTTTCACAGTAATCTGTTGGCTGTTTGGGGTTTTTTGTGGTTCCATACAAGTTTCAGGATTGTTTTTTCTGTTTTTTTTGTTTGTTTGTTTGTTTTTTTCTTGAGATGAAGTCTCACTCTGTTGCCCAAGTTGGAGTGCAGTGGCACAACCTTGGCTCACTGCAACCTCTGCTTCCCGGATTCAAGCAATTCTCCTGCCTCAGCCTCCCGAGTAGCTGGGACTACAGGCACATGCCGCTATATCCAGCTAATTTTTGTAGTTTTAGTAGAGACAGGGTTTCACTATATTGGCCAGGCTGGTCTCCAAGTCCTGACCTCGTGATCCACCTGCCTCGGCCTCCCAAAGTGCTGGGATTACAGGCATGAACCACAACACCTGGCCAGGATTGTTTTTTTCTGTTCTGTGAAGAATGCCACCAGAACTTTGATGAGGATTGTGTTAAATCTATATATTTGCTTTGGGTAGTGTGAACATTTTAACAATATTAATTCTTCTGATCCATAAACATAGGATATCTTTTCATTTGTTCATATCTACATTTCTTTCATCAATGTTTTATGGTTTTCAAGTGTACACATCTTCCGTCTTATTGGTTAAATTCATTCCTAAGTATATGTTTTTCTTTGATGTTATTGTAAATGAGATTGTTTTCTTGATTTCTTTGTCAGCTAGGTTATTTGTATATAGAAATGCAACTGATTTTTATATGTTGAGTTTATACTTTGCAGCTTAACTGAATTGATTTAGTAGTTCTCAGAGTTTTTTGTGGAATGTTTGGAGTTTTTTACATAAAGGGTCTTGTCATCTGCAGATAGAGATAATTTTACTTCTTTAATTTAGTTGCTTTTTTTTCCTCATCAGATTGCTCTTGCAAGTACTATGTTCAATAAAAGTGATGAGACTGGGCATCCCTATCTTGTACTCAATCTTAGTAGAAAAGCTTTTAGTTATTCCCCACTGACTATGATGTAGGCCATGGGTTTCTCATAAACGGTCTTTATTATGTTGAGGAACTTTCCTTCTATACATAAACTATTAAAAGGTTTTATCAAGAAAGGTTGCTAAACTTTGTTAAATGCTTTCTCTGCATCAATTCAGGTGACCATGTGGTTTTACCTTTCATTTTGTTAATGTGATATATCACATTGATTTACATATGTTAAACCAGCCTTGCATGCCAGAGATAATTCCCACTTAATCATGTTGTATAATCTTTTTGATGTGTTGTTGAATTCTACTTCCTAAATTTTTTTTTCCTGATCAGCCACTTATTTTTATATACATATATATATATTTTATTACACTTTAAGTTCTAGGGTACATGTGCACAATGTGCAGGTTTGTTACATATGTATACATGTGCCATGTTGGTGTGCTGCACCCATTAACTCATCATTTACAGTAAGTATATCTCATAATGCTATACCTCCCCCCTCCCCCCACCCCACAACAGACCCAATGTGTGATGTTCCCCTTCCTGTGTCCAAGTGTTCTCTTTGTTCAATTCCCACCTATGAGTTAGAACATGTGGTGTTTGGTTTTTTGTCCTTGTGATAGTTTGCTGAGAATGACAGTTTCCAGCTTCATCCATGTCCCTACAAAGGACATGAACTCATAAATTTTATGGCTGCATAGTATTCCATGGTGTATATGTGCCACATTTTCTTAACCCGGTCTATCATTGTTGGACATCTGGATTGGTTCCAAGTCTTTGCTATTGTGAATAGTGCCGCAATAAACATATGTGTGTATGTGTCTTCATAGCAGCATGATTTATAATCCTTTGGGTATATACCCAGTAATGGGATGGCTGGGTCAAATGGTATTTCTAGTTCTAGATCCCTGAGGAATCGCAACACTGACTTCCACAATGGTTGAACTAGTTTACAGTACCACCAACAGTGTAAAAGTGCTACTATTTCTCCACATCCTCTCCAGCACCTGTTGTTTCCTGACTTTGTAATGATCGCCATTCTAACTGGTGTGAGATGGTATCTCATTGTGGTTTTGATTTGCATTTCTCTGATGGCCAGTGATGATGAACATTTTTTCATGTGTCTTTTGGCTGCATAAATGTCTTCTTTTGAGAAGTGTCTGTTCATATCCTTCGCCCACTTGTTGATGGGGTTGTTTGTTTTTTTCTGGTAAATTTGACTTCATTGTAGATTCTGGATATTAGCCCTTTGTCAGATGAGTAGATTGCAAAAATTTCCTCCCATTCTGTAGGTTGCCTGTTCACTCTGATGGTAGCTTCTTTTGCTGTGCAGAAGCTCTTTAGTTTAATTAGATCCCATTTGTCAATTTTGGCTTTTGTTGCCATTGTTTTTGGTGTTTTTAAACATGAAGTCCTTGCCCATGCCTATGTCCTGAATGGTATTGCCTAGGTTTTCTTCTAGGGTTTTTATGGTTTTGGGTCTAACATTTAAGTCTTTAATCCATCTTGAATTAATTTTTGTATAAGGTGTAAGGAAGGGATCCAGTTTCAGCTTTCTACATATGGCTAGCTGGGCAATGTCAACTTTGTAAATTAACTGAGAACTGTCTCAGATTTTGAGGGTTCACAAACTATACTCCAAGGATATAGTAACCAAAACATCATAGGTCTGGTACAAAAACCATGACACAAAAGCCAATGGAACAGATTAGAGAAGGTTGTAGGCTGCACTCCTACAACCATCTGATCTTTGACAAAGTCTATAATTAGAAGCAATGGGAACAGACTCCCTATTCAATGAATGGTACTAGGATAACTGTTTAGCCATATTCAGAAGATTTAAAATGGACAACTTCCTTCCAACATATTAAAAAAATCAACTTAAGATGGATTAAAGACCTAAATGTAAAACCTAAAAGTATAAAAACCCTAGACAAAAGCCCAGAACATAATATTCTGGACATAGGCAATAACAAGGATTTTATGATCAAGTTTCCAATAGCTATTGCAACAAAAACATAAATAGACAAGTGGGACCTAAGTATACTAAGGAGATTATGTTCAACAAAAGAAACTATCAGCAGAGTAAACAGACAACCGACAAAATGGGAGAAAATATTTGCAAACTATGGATCTGACAAAGGTCTCATATCCAGAACCTGTAAGGAACTTAAAAAAATTTTTAAGCAAAAACTAAACAACCTCATTGAAAAATGGGCAAAGGACAAGAACAGACACTTCTCAAAAAAGACATACATGCTGTTAACAAGAATATGAAAAAATGCTCCATTTTAAAAATCACTAATCATTAGAGAAATGCAAATGAAAACCACAATGAGATACCATTTCATACCAATCACAATGGCTACTAATAAAAAGTCAGAAAATAACAGATGTTGCTGAGGTTGCAGAGAAAAGGGAAATCTTATACACTTCCGTTGGGAATGTAAATTAATTCAGCCATTGTATAAAGCAGTGTGAAGATTTCTCAAAAAACTTAAACAGAACTACCATTTGGCGCAGCAGTCTCATTACTGGGCACATACACAAAGAAATATGAATTGTTCTATCAAATGACACATGTACTTGTATGATTATCACAGCACTATTAACAGTAGCAAAAACATGGAACCAACCTAGAGGCTCATCAGTGGTGGACTAGAAAAAAAAAAATGTGTACCGCCTGACGTGGTTGCTCACGCCTGTATTCCCAGCACTTTGGGAGGCCGAGATGGGCGGATCATCTGATATTAGGAGTTTGAGAAAAGCCTGGCCAACATGGTGAAACACCATCTCTACTAAAAATACAAAAATTAGCCAGGCATGGTGGTACATGCCTGTAGACCCAGCTACTTGGGAAACTGAGGTGGCAGAATAGCTTGAACCTGGGAGGCGAAGGTTGCAGTGGGCCCAGATTATGCCACAGCACTCCAGCCTGGGTGTCGGAGTGAGACTCTATCTCAAAAAGAAAAAAAATTGGTACATATACACCATGAAATACTGTGTAGCAACAAAAAAACAATAAATTTATGGCTTTTGCAACAAAATGGATGTAGCTGGAGGCTACATCCCACAAATTAAGCAGATTAACACAAAAACAGAAAAAGACAGCATATATTATCACCTATAAATGAGAGATAAACATTGGCTCCACATGGTCCAAAACAAGGACCAATAGATACTAGGGCCTGTGTGAGGGTAGAGGGTGAAAAATCGGTGAAGATTGAAAAATTACTTATGCCTATCAGGTACTATGCTCACTACCTCAGTGACTAAATTATTTTTTCCATGAAACCCCAGCAACATGCAATTTACCTACATAACAAAGCTGCACGTGTACCCCCTGAACCTAAAATATAAATTAAAAAAGAAAAAAATGAATATCAATAAGATACTTAGTAAACACACAAGTGTTTGGAAATCAAACAACAAACTTCTGAATAATTCACAAAGAAACATCAAAATAAAACTTAGAATACATTTTGAATTGAAAGATAAACATCTGAAGTGCTGAAAGAATAGAGATGGCTTTAGTCTCGAAACTTACATATAAAAACATTGAAATTTCAATCAGATGGCAATTGGTATGTGATTTGATAATCTACTTTAAAGTTTATACGAAACTGAGAACCCGGTTAGGTGCGGTGGCTCATGCCTGTAATCCCAGGACTTTGGGAATCAGAGGTGGGTGCAACACGAGGTCAGGAGTTCAAGACCAGCCTGGCCAAGATGGTGAAACCCTGTCTCTACTAAAAATAAAAAAATTAGCCAGGCGTGGTGATGGATGCCTGTAATCCTGGCTACTCAGGAGCCTGAGGCAGGAGAATCAATTGAACCAGGGAGGCAGAGGTTGCAGAGAGCCAAGATTATGCCACTGCACTCTAGCCTGGGTGAGAGAGCAAGGCTTCATCTCAAAAAGAAAAAAAAAAAAATTGAGAACCCAGATAAAAATAGCTAACTTTCTTCTCCAAAAGAAAAAAGAATGACAGTGAGTAGAGGTCTGCTTCTATTGGCTATCAGATAATCTTATAACCCTACAGTACTGTGGTGGTACGAAGCACATCCACAGCAGTAGTGTGACCGTCAGGTATCAAATAGACAAGAACTTCAGAGAAGACAAATGTAACATTTGAAATCAGTAGAAAGAAGTATTACTTTGAGAAAGTTGGTTATTATTTGGAATTTGAAGAAATAAACAATAAATTTCAAATAACTTAAAGAATGAAATAAAAAATAAAATTAATACTACAAGGAAGTTTTTAAAATATTCATGCCTTTTCCTCATGACATGAAATATAAATATCATGAAGTAAAAGACAGACAAATTTTACTAACTAAACAAACTCATTTTTAGCAAACACTTGATAAATACCATTGAGACAAATAAATTAGAAGAAAATATTTACATGGTATATATAACAAAAAAATGGATATTCAGAATGTATAGAGATTATCAAATAATAAAGAACTTGCAAATCCCAGTGGGAAAATGAGCAAAGAATATAAAGAGGAATTACACAGAAGAAAACGTATGCTATGTATTAACAAATGAAAAGTTGCTTCATCTGTGTAATGGCCAAAATGTATGTTAAAATATAAGACAGCATTTCTCCCATCTCATTGGTAAAATAAAAAATACATATGCACTTCATAAATTCATATGTCACTTCAGCATTTTTACAGTTAATATCACTTTTGTTATTCTTAAAAAGTTGAAAAATTAAATGAGTTAAAAGCAGTATGAGAGAAATTATTGCAAATATGTGTATAATATTGTTAGGAGAAACCCAAGTAAGACCCCAGAGGTGTAAGTTTAAATTGAAGACTAATCAGTTTATATATATAATAATTTAAAAATATTCTGTGCATTATAAAACTCACAAAAGAATTAAAAGGCAAAAAAATCAAGAAAAAATAATTTCAAAATAAATGCCACAACACAGCTTCCTGTGGTCAAGATTTCTCTCCATTCTACTTTGACGTCTAAATAGATCTTTGGGCATCTAGACTAATATTGGGTTTGTATACTCCCAGAAAATTCAAGACTACTAAACGCACCCAACCTTACAACCCCGAAGCATATTATCACATAGGGGTCTTGTGTAGTTTGCTAAAATGTAATGTACTACCTGTCACAGAATGAGCACTTAACTGATGTTGGGTGTGATGTAGCATAGTAGCAAAAAACTTTAGAATTAGGCCACAGTGTTTTTAAGGGCTTTGCACGACCCATTATTTTTTGGCACTTAATTTAAAAAAATCTGCATGCTTATTTTAATTTTGTCATTACTTGCCATTGTATCCATCTCAGCACACTGATCAAATAATCACAAAAATCACAGAGATGATACTCTGCTAATTAAGAAAGTTTTCTTTTTTTCTTTGTGAAACCATTCTTCATTTTTTTTTTTTTTGGTATTTAGAAATAATTTCTAGTGCTAATTTATTTTTAGTGACATTTTGCACAGACTCTCCAAATAAAAAACCAAGAACGACCAATTTTATTGGGAAAATACTAAATGTAACAAACTTTATTTTTTGATGAGTGAAGACTATTTTTCTAATTTTGCTTAAAAATTTTAGGTTTAGCCTTAGGTAATAAAGTTAATAGAGAGAATGTTTACTACCATGCATAAATTCAAAAGACTTGTTAGTTTAGATTGTCAATTTAATGTTGAACAAAGTTGCTTGAAATTTTCAGATGAAATAACTTTAGGTAAGCTTAAGAAAAGTTTGATTGCATTTTGTTTATAATCTTGTACTTCTATTTTCATTCTGATTTAGTAGGCTGCACACTTTTTAAAAAAAAAATTTCAGGTGGATTGTGGCCATTCCTTTTCCTCTTAAGTCTTATTTGATTGTTCTTCCAGAACAAATATTAACATTTGCAGTCCTGCATCTGGATCAAGCAGTTTGGTTAGAGAAATTTAAACCTTTAAATCACAAAACAGCTTATTTTCAATTGTCATAGCTGACACTGAATCTATGCCTAATGGTGTAAGCAATGTGGATATTGGAATGTCTCTGAGTTTTTATATTAATAAATTTACTAGCTAAATAAGTGATGTAATCATCTGTTGATGTCTGAGATGAAGAGTGAGTAAAAACCACATAAAAGTCTTCCATAAAACTAAACTTATCTTGGAATTCTTTGTAAAAATAATTTCTGTGAGATGGAACTTTGGAAAGTTTTCCTGTAATTTCTTGAAATCAAATTTAACAGTGCATGGTAGTCTGACCATTCTGCATTCTCCTTTCTGTATAAAAAACATCACTATTTCAAGGCCAGAGAGCCCCCTTTACATGGCTTGTTAAGAATTCTTCAAAATCCAGCATGATTCAAGATACTGATGGATTTTGGGTATTTCAAGAGAATTCCTCTGGTGGCTAAAATGCTTTGAAGATCATTTGTGCAGCAGTCACTCAAGATGAAAGACTCCCTAGTTAATTGTCCAGTGAGATTACAGTTCCTGTGACAGTGGCAGAAGAAGTCCAGCAAGGAGTTAGCAGCAGCCTAGTTGGCTTTTGTTGCATTCTCAATGAAAGCAGAAACTAATGAATAGCACTCAAAGTAATCAAGTTCCTGCTTTCTTGTCAAAAATTGAAGATGTACTGCTCCAGCTACTTTGGGGCTTAACACTTTCTCCAATTAAGAAGAGATGTTGAGAGCTTCTAGGAACCCATCATCCAAGACTGCGGCACTAAAAAAACACACCTGAGATTTTGCTCTACGAAGTTATTTTCTATTAAATTCACTGCCTTTTTCACATCAGAGTGAATAATGACAAAACATTGTAGCTTAGTCGTTTTGCACTCTTCATTCTGATTTTGCAGCAACTTGCATTCCTTTCAACTGCTCATAAGTTAAATTTCTCAATGAAGTAATCACAACAGAACTATCTCCTTGGACAGTTTGGAGTTTCCTGAAAAAAAACAGATATACTACCATATGATCCAAAAATCCCACTGCTTGGTATATACCCAAAAGAAAGGAAATGAGTATATCAAAGAGATTTCTGCACTCCTAGGTTTGCTGCAGCACTGTTTACAATTACTAATATTTGAAAGCAACCTAAGTGTCCATCAACAGATGAATGAAGAAAATGTGGTACATATACACAGTGGAGTACTATTCAGCCATAAAAATGAAAGCCTGTCATTTGCAACAACATGGATGGAACTGAAGATGATTATGTCAAGAAAAATAAGCCAGGCACAGAAATACAAACATCATGTGTTCTCGCTTATTTCCGGGATCTAAAAATAAAAACAATTAAACTCATGGACGTAGAGAGTAGAAGGATGATTACCAGAGCTTGGGAAGGGTAGTGAGAGAGTGAGGGGGAGGTAGGAATTGTTAATGGATACAAAAAACAAAAAAGAAATAATATATAATAAAAACCTACTATTTGATAGCAAACCCAGGTGACTATAGTCAATAATAACTTAATCATATATTTGAAAATAACATAAAGAGTGTAATTGGAATATTTGTAACTCAAAGAATCACTGAGGGGATACCCCATTCTCTAGGATGTGCTTTTTTTCACATTGAATGCCCGTGTCAAAACATCTCATGTACTCCATAAATACTATGTACCCACAAACATTAAAAATAAAATACAAAAAAGAACCATCTTCTCTCTGTGTAACAAATACTATAGTTTCAAATCCAAGGCTAGAGAGCTGCCCTGAAATAATATACACTCTTTTGACTTGAAGAGTTTTCTCTTTGCTCTATACATAGGTATTTGTAGAAGTTAACATTCTGGAACACTGACTTCCAACACAGCAAGAGGGACAGCCACACATGTAAAATACAATGACAGAGCAGGACTCACAAGTGCATTCTGCTGAAAAGGTGAGCAAGCCAAATTCAAATTATTTTTCAAACTCATTGATTTTAGCTACCGAAAGGTCTATAGGACATTATCAGACAGAGTTTTTGTAGAACCTAAGATTTAGAAAGTGAACTTGAATGTGACTGTGATCATTATGCAACAACTGCTGTAAAAACTCAGGTTGGTGTTGGCCACAAAGGACTACAACACTCTTGTGTTGCCTTGACAAAGCTCCTCTAAACATGGCAGTAAACTTAGTGCCTTTCAGTATTCTCCTTTTTCCCATAGACTCACAGACAGCGAGAGACACCTGGCTCCCCCACATCACTTCCTTAGCAGCCAAGAACAGCATGTCACCCAGAATGAATTCTGGCTGTGGCAGAAAATGGCCCACATAGAGAGATGTCTGGCATTTGGTAGTACCTGGGTGAGAGCTTTCCAAGCTCTTAGGAAGTATACAATGCATAAGGTCCATTTCTAAATACTAGAAACATCTTGCTGTGAAAGCACATAAAGTCCATAGTTAAGATGATGATGCCATGCAGAAAAACACGTGGCAATGTAACCACCAGTCTTTACTTTTTCAATGGCCTTGCACATGGCTGTTACTGTACTGCTGAAGTCCAGCGTCAGCAGTTTATGTTTCCCCATTGTGTCATCAGCCCAATGCAAAGTACCATCAAAATAACACCTGGAGGTGCTAACAGGAAAATAATCTGAGTAAATCCACATTTGCTGTCTCAACTTCCAAAGACTGGTCATCAAACAGTGTGTTTCTGTCTTTCTATCTTGGCTGCCACCTTTACTACACTGTAGGGGTCTGAGGTTTGTAGAGTGGATATCGCAGAGTTCTGGTTGTCCTTGTGAGGTTTGATATGATAAACTTTTTAAAAGAAAGTAGGCCTGATTACAGAAATGAGTATTGTCCCGACAATCCACATAGAATTCTGGGGCATTCTTCTCTTTACATTCAATAATAGCTTCCGCTAAACTTGTAATGTTCTGTGGGAATGTATCACTTCTTCACCTTCTTGCTCACTTCCCACCTTCTTGCTCAGAGCTCCAATGGGCTCAGAGCAATGTTTGGAGTGCCAATCACCCTGAGCTCAACCTTGCTCTGAGCATCATCTTCTCTGAGCTCCATCTTACACTGAGAAGCACCTGCTGCAAGCTCCATCTTGCTTGGAGCTCCTTCTTGCTCCAAGCTCTATCTACTCCAAGCTCCATCTTGCTCAGAGCTCCATCTGCTCCAAGCTCCATCTTGCTCGAAGTGCCAATCGCTCCAAGCACTATCTTGCTGTGAGCAACATCTGCATAGACATTCATCTTACTCAGAGCTCCATCTAGTCAGAGATCCATCCACTTTGAGCTCCATCTTGCTAGGAGTTCCAATCACTCCAAGCCCCATCTTGCTGGGAGCTCCAATCACTTCTAGCTCCATTTTGCTCTGAGCACCATGTGGACAGAGCTCATCTTACTCTGAGCTACATGTGCTCTGAGCTCTACCTTGCTTGGAGCTGTAATCACTGTGGGCTCCGTTTTGCTCTGAGCTCCAACTAAAACCAAGCAACGTCTCCTCCAAACTCCATCTTGCTTAGAGCTCCTTTTTTGCTCAGAGCTCTGTCTGCTCTGAGCTGCATCTTGCTCAGAGCTCCAATTGCTCAGAGCATGTTCAGAGTGCCAATCATTCTGAGCTCCCTCTTGCTCTGAGTACCATCTGCTCTGAGCTCCATCTTACACCAGCAACATCTGCTCCAAGTTCCATTTTGTTTGGAGCTCCTTCTTGCTCAGAGGTCTATCTGATCTGAGCTCCATCTGGTTCGGAGATCCAATCACTCCAAGCTCCATCTTGCTCTGAGCACCATCTTCTTGAAGCTCCATCTACTCCCAGCTCCATCTTGCTTTAGAGCTTCCATCACTCTGAGCTCCACTTTGCTCAGAGCTCCATTTACTCAGAGCTCCATTTGCTCCAAGCTCCATCTTTCTCAGAGCTCCAATCCCTCCAAACTCCATCTTGCTCTGAGTACCCTCTGCTCAGAGCTCCATATTCTCGGAGCTGCATCTTCTAGCTCCATCTTGCTGATATCTCCAATCACTTCCAGCTCCATTTTGTTCTGAGCATCATGTGCTCGAAGCTCCATCTTACTGTAAGCAGCATGTTCTCTGAGCTCCATCTTGCTCTGAGCACCATCTGTTCTGAACTCCATCTGAAACTGAGGAACATTTGCCCCAAGCTCCATCTTGCTTAGAGCTCCTTCTTGCTCCGAACTTCGTTTGCTCCAAGCTCCATCTGCTCCGAGCTCCAGCTTGCTGAGAGCTCCAATTACTTCCAGCATCATTTTGCTCTGAACACCATCTGCTCAAGCTACATCTTACTGTGAGCAACATGTTTTCTGAGCTACATCTTGCTCAGAGCTGCATCTGCTCCAAGCCCCATTGTGCTCGAAGCTCTAATCACTCCGAGGCTGATCTTGCTCTGATCACTATCTGCTCAGAGTTCCAATCCTCCAGAGTAAAGTTTTTAAGTTCCAATCATTTCAAGCTCCATGTTGTTACGAGCATCTGCTCTGAGCTCCATCTTACACCGAGCAACATCTGCTCCAAGTTCCATCTTGCTTGGAGCTCCTTTTTGTTCAGAGCTCTATCTGCTCCAAGCTCAATCTTCTCTGAGCTCCATCTTGCTTGGAGCTCTAATCATTCTGAGCTCCATCATGCTCTGAGCACCATCTGCTCTGAGCTCCATCTGAAACTGAGCAACATCTGCACAAAGCTCCATCTTGCTTAGATCTCCTTATTGCTCAGAGTTTCATCTGCTCTGAGTACCATCTTGTTCAGAGCTCCATCTTGCTCAGAGTTCCAACTGCTCAGAGAACTGTTGAGAGTTCCAACGACTCCAAGCTTTATCTTGCTCTGGGCTCCATCTTACACAGAGGAACATCGGCTCCAAGCTCCATCTTGCTTGGAGCTCCTTCTTGTCTGAGCTATATTTGCTCTGAGCTGGACACTCCATGCTCCATGGTGCTCTGAGTTCCATCTGCTAAGAGCTCCATCTGCTCCAAGCTCCATCTTGCTTGGAGCTCCAATCACTCCAAGCTCCATCTTGCTCTGAGCACCATCTGTTCTGAGCTCCACCTTGCTCAGAGCCCCAGTCACTCCTAGCTCCATCTGGCTCTGAGTACCATCTGCTCGGAGCTCCATCTTGCTCTGAGACCACAGGCTTGGTGCTCCATCATACTCAGAAACATCTGCTCCGAGCTTCATATTAATCGGAGCTCCATCTCACCTGGAGCTCCATCTGCTCTGAGCTCCATCAAGCTTGGAGCTCATCTTGCTCAGAGGTCCATCTTGCTTTGAGAACCATCTGCTCCATGTATGGTTATAGCAGCACTATTCACAATGGTAAAGACTTGGAACCAACCCATATGCCCATCAATGATAGACTGGAAAAATAAAATGTACTACATATACATCATGGAATACTACACAGCCATAAAAAGGTATGAGATCAAGTCCTCTGCAGGGACAGGGATGAAGCTGGAAGCCATCATCCTCAGCAAGCTAACACAGGAACAGAAAACCAAACACTGCATGTTCTCGCTCGTAAGTGGGAGCTGAACAATGAGAACACATTTTAATACTATTACGCCCTCTGAAAATGGTCTCTATTTCTCTTAACAAAGGATATTTATACTTTGTAATTTTTTTCTCTCTAAAGGATTGTGGCTTCTTCTGTCTGTGCCAGTCTAGGGCCCAGGTTGACTACCTCACTTTGAAATGACCCACCCCATGTCCGTCCGCACATGGTTGGTCCCTCCTGTAAACTGTTTGTTCACAGACTGTTACCACCTGTGGGTCATTTGACGGGAGGTGACCTCACACAGCAATGCACCAGGCAAATCACCAACTGAAAGAATCACTGAAACAACATGTGTCTGCTTATTTCAAAGAATGAATAGGAGTCAGTTGAAGGTGATTAAGTCAGCAACATCTTAAGGTGATAAGATGTCAGTAACATCTTAGATGACCAAGAATAATCTTGTGGGCCCCAAGAACATATGACAATATGGATTACGCCAGCAAAAATCTCACCCATCAGACAACAGCAAATGACACTGTGGCTCAAATGTTAAATGTCCTCTCTTGATGTGTGAAAGCACATGACCAGCAGGAGGCAAAAACATCAGGGAGACAAAGGCTTTGTTGCATATCTGTGGACTTCAGTCTCCAGTGAGACACTCAGAGCCTACATCTCCTCTGTTACCACTGCTGTTTTGATTGCACAGAACATTTCCATATATGTTTCATTCTACAAGAAACGTTTCGACAAACATACATCTGATAAAAGGCTGTCTTCAAAATGTCTAAGCAACTAACACTACTCACTAGCAAAAACACAAAAGAGAAACTAATAACCAAACAAAACCTGAATAGACATTTCTACAAAAAAGACATAACATTGAAAACAAGTTTTAAAAACTTGAATAACATCACAAACCATGAGAAAGATATAAATCAAAACAACACACATATCTCACTATAATTCAAATGGATGTTATCAAAGTGATACAATATATTAAAAGAGACACAAATGCTGGTGGAAATTTCCAGAGAAAAACTCATTTGGTAAGAATGTTAATTAGTATACAGCCGGGCACGGTGGCTCACGCCTGTAATCCCAGCACTTTGGGAGGCCGAGGCCGGCAGATCACGAGTTCAGGAGATCGAGACCACCCCGGCTAACACGGTGAAACCCCGTCTCTACTAAAAGTATAAAAAATTACCTGGGCGTGGTGGCGGGTGCCTGTAATCCCAGCTACTCAGGAGGCTGAGGCAGGAGAATGGCGTGAACCCAGGAAGCAGAGCTTGCAGTGAGCTGAGATCATGCCACTGCACTCCAGCCTGGGCAATACAGCGAGACTCCATCCAAAAAAAAAAAGAATGTTAATTAGTATACATACTACAGAAACCAGTGGGAGGTTCCTCCAAAAATTAAACCTACAACTACCACTTCATCTAACAATTCTACTACTAAGTATACTTTCAGTGCCAAAGAAATCAGTTTATGCAAGAGGTATCAGCCATCCTATGTGGACTGCAGCACTATTCACAATCGCCAAGATAAGGAATAAACTTACCTGCCCATCCACAGATGAAGGGATAAAGTAACTGTGGTGGACATACACAAAGAGAATAGTCTTCAGCCAGAAAATCAGAATGAAATTTCATCCTTTGGAGCCATACTGTTGAACCTGGAGGACAGCATGGTAAATGACCTGAACCAGGTAGAGAAAGAAAAACATTGCCACATCTCACTCATGTAGAACCCAAAATAAAAGGCTTTATTGCAATAGATCTAGAGAGCACAACAGTGGTTTCCAGAGATTGGAAGGAAGCAGGGGCATGGGCAGGGATCAGAAATAGGTACAAAATTACACTTAGATGAGAGCAATGAATTGTTCCTCTCTGTTCCACAGCACTGTGACCAGAGGTTAACAAAACATCACAGCTTTTTCACAAAATCTGGAAAAGAAGATTCCAAATGTTTCCACCACAAATAAATTAACAACTGTTTGTGATAACAGAGACTCTAAATATCCTGATTTTAACATTCCTCTGTGTCTGCATTAACCAAAATGCCCCACTCTAACTCCCCCCATTGTATACCTTTACTATATGGCCAACCTTTTAAAAAATATGTAAATATGCAATGCTAAAATTCATGCAGACCACAAAACACCCTGAATTTCTAAAGCAATCCTGAGAAGTCCACACTACATTGGTTGTGTCACACTTCCCGATTTTAATTTTCATTGAAAAGCTAGGGACCCCATTTCACACAGAGCAGTGGAACAGATTAGAGGACCCAGATGTAAACCCACACCCCTAACACCATCTGATCTTCAAAAAAATCCACAAAAATAAGCTTTGGAGAAAGGACTCCCTCCTCTCAATAGATGGTGCCAGGATAAAGTGCTAGCCAGTTGCAGAAGAAAAACAGTGGGCCCCTGTGTCTCACCCTGCACAGAAATTAACTCAAGATGAATGAAAGATGTAAACACAAGACCTCAAACTATGAGAAGCCTGCAAGAGAACTTGGAAATACCCTTCTTGACAGAGGATTTGGCAGAGCATGTCTATGCCTAAGTCCCCAAAAGCAAGTGCAACTAAAACAATTATTGACAAGTGGGGCCTAATACACAAAAGAGCTGCTGCACAGCAGAAGCAATTACCAACACAGTAAACAGACAGCCTACACAATGGGAGAAAATGTTCCCACATACGCATCTGATGAAGTCTAATATCCAGGATCTACCTCAAATACATTAAGCAAATAAATCAGAAAAACAAAAACTCGATGAAGAAAGGGTAAGGGGCATGAAAACATGCATCTCAAAAGAAGGTTTACAGCAACCAACAGACAAGATATCATTGCTTTACCTCAGGAATCATCAGAGAAATGCAAAGCTAAAGGCCCATGAGATAGTATTTCACACATTCTGATGAATGACAATTATGACACAGTCCACAAGAATGAACACCAGCAAGGCAGAGGAGGAGGGATGCTGGTCTGCTGTTGGTGGAAATGCAAACTAGTTCGGACACCATGGAAAGCAATGTGGGGATTTCTCAAATAACTTTCTCGACATCACTAAACCTCACAAAAAAATGTCCATGAAAACCACACTAAGATTCCGTCTCATTCCACTCAGAATGAGTACTACCAAAAACAAAACACAAATTTTTGAAGGTGACATCCAGTGTAGACTTACAGAAAGGTAACCTCTTAAACACTATTGGTGAGGATGTAAATTAGTATACACACTATAAAAAACAGCTAGAGGTTTCTGAAAAAATTCACAGTACAACTACCATGTCAGCTAACAGCCCCACCACTGGTTCCACATTTAAAGCAGTTGAAGTCCCTAGGTTGAAGAGAGCTATCTGCCTTCCCACGGGTACTAAAGCACTCTTAACTGTGGCCAAGGTAGAGAACCAACCTACCTGTTCAAACACAGCTGCAGGGATGAGGAAACTGCTGTACAGATACACCACGGAATATGTTTCAGCCAGAAACCTTTGGGAAATCCTGCCATCTGCAGCCACATGAAGAAACCTGAAGAACATGAGGTTCAAAGAATAAGGCTGGTAGAGAAAGTCCCATGCCACGTGATCTCAGGCATGCAGACTGAAGAAAGCTTTATCTTCTAGAAGTGGAAAGTTCAATAAGGCTTACCAGAGGCTGCTGGGGAAGTGGAGGCAGTCTCAGAAGGAATCAGTGATGGGTACAAAGTTACTCTCAGATGAGACTGATCAATTCTGGCCTTCTATTCCACAGCAGGGTGACTAGCCTTAACACAAATGTATCATATGTTTCAAAGTAGCTAGAAGGAAAGATTCTGAATGTTGTTACCACTCAAAAATAATAACTATATGAGATGAAGAGATGCTAAATAACCTGATTTTATCATTACTCAACATATACACGTATCAAAATCTTCCTTGTACCTTTTAATTGTATACATTTAGTATATGACAAATAGTGTTTTAAGAAATATAAAGAAACAATGCCAAAATTTATGTGGAAATGTGAAACACCCTGAATTTCCAAAGTTATTCTGAGAAATACAAACCATATGGGATGTGTCACATTCCCTGAGTTCTAATTAAATGAAAATCTGTAGTTAACAAACCCATACGTTACTGGCATACACAGAGAAACACAGACCAGTGAGCAAAATGAATGTGCTCGATAATAAACAAAAATTTATATGGAATGAACACATTTTTCAAAACACCACCAAAATGACACAACGGGGAAGATTTCCAAAACTAGATATCCATATGCAAAAGAATAATACAGGACTCTTATGGTACTAGATACACAATAATCAACTCAAAATGATTAAAGATTATACACAAAACTTGCAACCATAAAGCTCCTATAAAGACAACCTCAGGTGTGCGTATATTTAGGGCAACTTGGATGTATGCTTAGGGTTCGCAAAAAGTAAACAAAAATACAAGGGAAAAAAATTATTGACAATGAACTGCTTTGGTAGTGATTTGTGATTTTGTTTTTTCTTGATTAGTAACCAACAGCACAGCCACCAAGAAATTATGCACATGTGGGACCACGTCAAGCTGAAGCGTTTGTGCCCAACAAAGGAAACAATAAAGAAAATAAAAAGGCACACTAAAAATTACAAGTTTGGGATAAGGGATTATTTTTGAAAAGGTACAAGCGAGTCATACTACCAGCTGGCAAAAAAAAAACAAAAACAAACAAAAAAAAAAAAACAACAGAACAATTGCCAGACAAAAACTGGGCAAATAACCGGATTAGATATTTTTCTAAAGAAGACAGGAAACTGACCCAATGTCTACAAAAACGTGGTTAACATTACTACTCACGAGAAAAATGCAGATCAAAACCACACTCAGATCTTATCTCACTCCAATAGAATGAACATTACAAAAAGATCAAAATATTTAAAAAGACAATTCCTGGTATGAATTTCCAGAAAGGGGAACTGTTTGTGGAAACATAAATTAGTATTAACACTATAAAAAACAGTTGGAGGTCTTGCAAAGAATAGGAAAAAAAGAAATACCATATCATCTAGCAGTCCCATTACTGGGTATAAATTCAACCTACCTGTTCATCCACAGATAAAGAGATCAAGAAACTCTCATATACATACACTAGGAAATATTCTCCAGCCATCAAAATAATGAAACAGTGTCATTTAGAGCAACACAGATGAACCTGGAACACATTATGTTAAATGTAATGAGCTAGGCCTAGAAAGACAAACACTGCATGATACCACTCGTGAAATCTTAAGATGTTTATCTTAATGAAGTAGAAAGCACAATATTGGTTACCAGAGTTTGGGAGATAGAGGGGGAATGGGGAAGGATTGATTATGGAAACAAAGTTATCTTAACATTAAAGGAATAAATCTGAAGTTCTCCTCCTCAGCCTGGTGACTGGAGTAAACAATATCATATTTTTCTAGAGCAAGAAGGGAGAATTTTGAATGTTCTCCCCACAAAAAAAAAAAAAAAAAAAATGCCTGGACGAGCAAATATAGATCCTAAGTACCCTGATTTGATCATTACCCAACCTATATGTATGAAAATGTACCCCTAATTATGGACCTTTATGTTGTGAAAAAAAGTTAATAGAAATAAATAGGTATTGCTAAAAATCACAGGGAACCACAAAAGCAATGAATATCTAAAGGAATCCTCAGAAATACAAAGTGAAGACCCACAATCCTCAATATCAAATTACACTGCCAAGTTGTAGTTATACAGCTGATATATGATACTTGCATAAACTATGGACAAAAACAGGGAGAACAAAAACATGATCAACACAAATATGGACACAGTCAACTGACTTTGATAAAGAACACTGCAATGTGGAAGGCAGAGAATGAGTACCTTTGAGAAAAATGATATTCAGATGCAGAAGTGAGAAATAGGACCTTATTTTACACGATGTATGAAAATGAACACCCCCTCCCCCAAATTGAAGGCAAAACAAAAGACCATAAACCACAAAATGTTTTTAACTAAAACACAGGATGAGCATATATTTTGGGTCACTTGAATCTCTGCTCACCTTTGCAAAGAGGAAAATAAACAAACACCCTAGAAGAAAAACCTCATTGACAATTAAATGCTTTGTCACTGATATATATTTTCTTATATGGGTGACAAAAATTACATGCATGAAACGCAAAAATAAATATATGGGACTATGTCAACATGAAAAGTTTCTGCACATCAAAGAAAACTACTTTCCAAATTAAAAAGCATCCTATAGATTAGGCAAAAATTTCAGGCAATCATGTAATTCACGAGGAGTTGTCATCTAACATGTACACAAAAAACACTACAAAGTAGCAAAAGCATCCAATCTAATATTTTGCAAAGAACCTGAACAGACAATTCTGCACAGCCATAAAATCGAACAACAAATAAGAGATAAGGTCCTCAAAATAAACTATTCATTAGAAAACTGTAATTCAAAACCACACACAGATAATCTCACACTTATTGAATATTCCTAGATTTTTTATTTAAAAAATAAGAGGGGCTGGGAATGGTGTCTCATGCCTGTAATCTCTGCACTTTGCGAGGCCGAGGCAGGTGGATCACCTGAGGTCAGGAGTTTGAGACCAGCCTGACCAATATCGTGAAACCCCATCTCTACTAAAAATACAAAAATTAGCTGGGCATGGTGGCGGCGCCTGTAGTCCCAGCTACTCCGGAGGCCGAGACAGGAGACTTGTTTAAAACCAGGCAGAGGCTGCAGTCTGCCGAGATGGCGCCACTGCACTCCAGCCTGGAAGACAGAGCAAGACTCCATCTCAAAACAAAAACAAAACAAACCCCAAACCAAAAATAATAGGAATGCGGGTATGGTTTTGGAGAAAGGGAAACTCATACACTGTAGGTGGAAATGAAAATTAGGATACACACCATGGAAAACAGCTAAATAGCTGGAGACTCCTCAAAGAACTGAAACTACAGATGTCCCCTGCTCTAGCGAGGTCTCTTTTTAAAGGTGCTGAGGCATCAAAAATAATCCTAGACTCCAGCTCAGAGGCCCCTGAGGCTCGGAGGGACCCAGGTCCGGCGTTTCACCGCCAGCTCTGGGCCAGGGCGCTCCTATATGCTGGACGCGGGTCGGACATTGGCATAGCCTTCCCGGCCGGGGTGCGGACGCTGCAGTAGCCAGGACCCCACAACCGCCCCCACGCGGAGGACTCGGGCCCAGATGCCCACGAAGAAGTGAAAGCACGAAAACAGGGAGAGGCAGGGAAGGAGCCGGGAGGGTTCCCGGTGGGGTCCACGCCCCCGCCACTTACCGCGGAGACCTGCCTCCTACTCCACCATCACATGGAACCCACCACTGCTTCTCCGAAGCTCGCTCTGACCACGCCGCTGCTGCTGCAGGGGCCTCGCAGGAAGTGCAGTCTCAGCTTCCGTAGGGACACGCACGCTGGCAGCATCCCTCGTGCCAGGTTGAAGCTCCACCCCCTCTTAAAGGGACGCGGCTCGGACTTGCCAGAAGCAGCTTTGGGTGGCAACACAGGCTGAGCCTCTGCCCAGCCCCAGGGGGCGACGAAAGACCCCTGGTCTCTCATCCTCCCCAGCTTTCGGGCCCTAGAAGTCGCAGGGACGCTCCCTGTGACCCCCTCCCCGAGATCGGCTCCCTTTGCCTAGGGAGCACCCGGGACCTGCCCCTGCCCTCCTCTGGACCTCAGTTTCACCATCCGCAAAGGAAGCAGCCTCGCTAGAGCTCTGGGGTTCCTCAAGCTTGGCGTCTCAGGATCCAGGGTGTGCTCCCCTGCCCCTCTGCAGAGGGGGTCCAGAGAACCACAGAAAGCTGGGGGCTGGAGGGACAGTCCGGAGGGCAGCAGGGCCTCCCCGGCCTCACTGTCCGCATCTGTCCTGTGGGAGCCCGGGGGCCTCGCTATGGCCCAGACACCCACAGCCTCACCAGGGCTGCCTGGGTCACCGGGCTCCCCAGGAGGCAGGCAGGGGCCCTGGGGTCCAGCGCTGCCCCCACCTCAACTCCATCCTGCGTCAGGGCCCGCGAGGGGCCCTGTGGACTGGACCCAGGCCCGCCCATTCCCAGGGAGAGGCTATTAATTATTGCCTCAATTTCAGAGCCTGTTATCGGTCTCTTCAGAGATTCAGCTTCTTCCTGGTTTAGTCTTGGGAGGGTGTATGTGTCAAGGAATTTATCCATTTCTTCCAGATTTTCTAGTTTATTTGCGTAGAGGTGCTTATAGTATTCTCTGATGATAGCTGGTATTTCTGTGGGATCGGTGGTGATATCCCCTTTATCTATTTTTATTGCATCTATTTGATTCTTCTCTCTTTTCTTCTTTATTAGTCTTGCTAGCGGTCTATCAATATTGTTGACCTTTTCAAAAAACCAGCTCCTGGATTCATTGATTTTTTTGAAGGGTTTTTTGTGTCTCTATTTCCTTCAGTTCTGCTCTGATCTTACTTATTTCTTGCCTTCTGCTAGCTTTTGAATGTGTTTGCTCTTGCTTCTCTAGTTCTTTTAATTGTGATGTTAGGGTGTCAATTTTAGATCTTTCCTGCTTTCTCTTGTGGGCATCTAGTGCTATAAATTTCCCTCTACACACTGCTTTAAATGTGTCCCAGAGATTCTGGTATGTTGTGTCTTTGTTCTCATTGGTTTCAAAGAACATCTTTATTTCTGTCTTCGTTTCGTTATGTACCCAGTAGTCATTCAGGAGCAGGTTGTTCGGTTTCCATGTAGTTGAGCGGTTTTGAGTGAGTTTCTTAATCCTGAGTTCTAATTTGATTGCACTGTGGTCTGAGAGACAGTTTGTTATAATTTCTGTTCTTTTCCATTTGCTGAGGAGTGCTTTACTTCCAACTATGTGGTCAGTTTTGGAATAGGTGTGGTGTGGTGCTGAAAAAAATGTATATTCTGTTGATTTTGGTGGAGAGTTCTGTAGATGTCTATTAGGTCTGCTTGGTGCAGAGCTGAGTTCAATTCCTGGATATCCTTGTTAACTTTCTGACTCATTGATCTGCCTAATGTTCACAGTGGGATGTTAAAGACTCCCATTATTATTGTGTGGGAGTCATATTTTGGTTGAAGTTGAGTTTCTAGTCAAAGAAAAAAACACATGAAGGGCATTCATGTTTCCAGGAACAGAAGCATCCTGTCTGGTTTTTCAAAGGTGAAGGGAGCAGTCTGAAGGGGCCATGGCATACGTGTGTCTATAATCAAAGCTCAGAGCCAAGGCCCTGGGGGAGGGTCAGGGGTGCCCCAGGGGGTGCGCCCCATCCAACACTGCACTGCCAGGGGCCTTGTCTTTATTAAATTCTGGGCCTTTTCCTGGGCAATAGTTACACAAGGTGGGTTCAATGAACCCTGTGTCCTGTGGCTGCCACCCATTTCAGGGTCGCAAAGGTAATGATCACCCCTTCACCTTCTGCTGAGGGTCCAGGTGACCCCCTGGTGGTGTAACCCAGGCCCTCGCCCCTAAGGGGTCCTGAGTCTTGCTCACCACTGAGTCCTTGGTCTAGGGCTCCCGCACTTGTCCAGGTACCATCAAATGCTGTGTACTGAGAGGCGCTTGCGTAGAGCCCCTTCTTCCCCAGGCAGCACAGCCCTGCTCCTGCTCACACCATGGTCCAGGTGGTACACATCTTTCTGCCCGCAGGTCCCATGGAGGAGCAGCCTGAGAACAAAGCAGCACCCAGAGCTTGTTTTTTTTAGAGAACCTGGCTCTGTCCTGTCTAGAAGCCCCACAGCTGTGGAAACCAGGACCTCCTGCTTTTCAGAGCCTAGATGTGCAGGACATAGATGCACCTCAGAGGTCCTGGGTGTGAGGTGGAAGGTTGGGGGACACTGGGCTTCCTACTGCTGTGCTCCCATTGCCACATCTTCTACCTGGTGGGACCAGGCAGCTAGCAAAGGTGACAGATTCACCCAGACACTGTGTCCTCCCACATCCTGACCTGGCACCTGAGCCACACTGCTGGCTCTGAAGTTCCCAGGAGCGTGTGTGTGCTGTGGCCAGCGGACCTATGGCATGTGCCGTCTTCCTCCCTCTGTGGCATGGTATCAGTTCCTCTGATGGTGTCATGTGAGGTCTCGTCCTGATGGGCAGAACTTTCTATAAACCATCCCGTGGCCCCGGGGAAAGGCAAGCTCATCCCTGCAGGTTTAGTTGTTTCTGTTAAATGCAGCCCTGTTCTTCCCAGGATGTCAGGGCCTGGTGCAGTTGTCCCAGCCTGGCAGGCAGTCGTCCCCTTGATGGTTTTGTGGAGCGCGCAGCCTGGGCCTAGCTCATGACCCTGGCAAAGGGCAGGTGAGCCCTGGGGCTGACCACCTGCACTTTCTGTTTGGTGGTGGGAGATGTGGGGCAATATTTCTTGCCTTTCCTTTAGAGATCATCTCCCAGCCTGCACAGACCACTAGACCCCTAAAAATGGGATTTGTAGGCAGGGCCTGGCTCTCTGTGGTGCTTTTCTCTCCCCTCCAAGCACCTGTGACTCCCAGGCCTCCAGCCCCGCCGGTTTCCCCCATCTGTGCTCCTGATGCAGGGGGAGGACTGTATTATGGCAGACAGCATGCTGGTTTACACAGTTCTGGGACAAAACTGTAGGTATACATTATTTTATGTCCCAAGTAAATGAATCCAATTTCTGGATGCTTTTTTGACACAGAGGGAAGAAATGCATTGGTGAGATCCATGAGCCAGAGCTCAGGTCCATGCTCAGGCTCTGGGAGCAGCTGTGCAGCTCTGGAGCTGTTGCGGGGCCCGGGGAAGGTGTAGGTGCTGTGTCTTTGCTCACTGTGTTAAAGGCTTTATTTGTTTCTTTGTTCAGTTTGTTTTCTTCAATCCCTGTTTAGCAATACTGAAAATCAAGCATTTCTAAGAGGCGGAGATCTTGATTTGGAGCAGGGGCGGGGCATTGGGCGGAAATGGAAAATAGGTTGATAGTGGGAATTTCATTTTCTGGAGCTCACGTGCAGCCTCTTGATGGCCCCGTCACAAGTTCACCTGATGACCTGAGTGGCCACTGTCCTTCTCCTGAGTGGTTTGCGTGCTTGCCAGGCACATGAGCAGTGCTTGCTCACATTCTTCAATTGAAGGAACTAAGAAGGGTTTGTCAGCAGATTGTAAGCCTGAAGCTGCCAGTGTTTGGTCCACAGTAAACCACATGTGGAGAGCTTTAAAAAATTGCCTTCAAATCTGGCAAGAAAATTACAGTAATAAATTATTACTATAATACACATATTTATTTAGTTACAATTATATAGATAAAAAACAATTTTGCAGAAGTTTCCCATCTACCAGCATTTATTATTATTATTTTTTTTGCATGATAAGTTTCCAAGGAACCTTAGTGATGGGGACTGTCTCTTTTAAAATTAAATTGTGTAAATAACTCCCAGAGCCATGCTGGTAAGAAACAAAACAAAACAAAAAGAACTAGAAACTTGAAACAAACGTAGGATTTCTGCTGGTAAAAGGATGCAAAGCAGGCCTGCCTGCTGCACTTCCCCAGAGCTAATCCTTGAGCCAAAAGAGCTTCCTGGTGAAGCCTCGCACTCTCCGTAACAGGGTGTGGGGGGACCGAGACATGTGGGCTCCAGACTTGACCATCTTTACCTAGTTATGGGATTTCAATCATGTCTTTTAAATTCTTTGAGCTGCAGTTTTCACATATATAAAGTGGAAATATTTTTAAAATTTTAATTTGTATTATAACCTTGTGTAAAGATAAAATAGTACACTTGAAAGCATTTTAGCTGAAGTCAAACGTTCATGTGTGTGCATGCGATGGCTTAATTATTTTAGGGCTTATCCTGGTTTTACTGGTAGTGTTACTAGCACTGCTACTTCTCCATATCTCTGAAGACTATGAAATACTTAGAACTGAAGCAACAAGAAGCACCTGTTAAAGGGTTCTATGGCCGATGACAGATTTGACACAACTGGATATAATAATATGTTAGATGGTGACTAGAGCACTGCTGAGCAGAGACTTCATGCTGTTCAAAGTCGAAGGTGTCCCTAGAATTCTGAACCTGCTGAAGCAGCATTCAGAACTGAAGTTGAGAAAAGTACATTTTCAATTAAAGAAAGTCTGAGAGAATGTGTTGCCATCACACCCAAACCACAATAAATGCAAAAGAAAGCTGTTCAGCTTGAAGAAAAATGATAACAATTGGAAATTCTAGTTCTCAGAAAAGATGAAAGTGTGCCAAAAATAGTAAACATGTGGAGGGGAAACTGCTGTTTTAATGACATCCTCCAGGAATTACAACATGTGCAGAAGAAAAATCTATGACAACATGGCACAAAAGATGAGAGAAGGGAGGAGGGTAAGGTAAGGTTTTTATATTTTATATACAGTGTTATGATATTTAATATACTTTAAGTATTTTTATTTTAATTTCTAAAGAACTCACTAAAAATAAATAAATGAAACAAAGAGTCATAGTTAAGAAAAACACAAGATACAAAATCCATACTAAAAAAAAAAGAAAACCCCATAAAACAAACAAACAAACAAATGAAAACTACAATAATCCAGAAGAAGACCAGGAAGGCAGAACAGAGACTGTCAAAGTAGGTAAAAAGGAAACCTCAATATCAGCTTTTAAAACGATATACACTTATGAGGTAAAGATACAAACAGATTCAAACTGAAAAGATGGACAAATATACACCATGCAAATCTTTGTTATCAAAAACTGCAGCCAGTGTATTAATGGCAGATAAGACAGACTACAAGAAAGACAAGCATCAACAGGGATAAAGAAGGATGTTTTATGCAATAAGTCCATTTGCTTAGAAAACCTAATAAGCATAAGCATGTATGCACCTAAGAAAAATAACAAAATACACAAAGCAAAAGTTATTGAATTAAAAGGATAAATGCATAAATCCACAATTTGACAATTCTAATTCTTATATCTCAGAAATTAATAGAAAAAAATAACTACGACAATAAGGCTACAAGGTATTAATAGGAGAGATTATAACCAGAGCACTGGGAGAAAAACAGCAATATCCAATATGCTTACAATATTGGTTGACAACTCAAAAGTTCCCAAAATAATTTTTGACACTAAAGGTAAATAGCCTGGAAAACCTAAAAGCCAGCATAGGAAGGAAGTGGAAAATGAAATGCTGATTGAAAATAAATCTGGAAGTCCAGGCGCGGTGGCTTATGCCTGTAATCCCAGCACTTTGGGAGACCAAGGTGGGTGGATCACCTGAGGTCGGGAGTTCGAGAAATTCTGTCTGTACCAAAAATACAAAATTAGCCAGGTGTGGCGGCACATGCTTGTAATCCCAGCTACTCGGAGGCTATGGCAGAAGAATCGCGTGAACCTGAGAGGCAGAGGTTGTGGTGAGCCGAGATCACCCCATTGCACTCCAGCCTAGGCAATAAGAGCAAAACTCCATCCCCCACCCCCCCCAAAAAAGAAAAGAAAAGAAATCTGAAGAAAGGAAAAGAGAATTGAGGATAAAGCTTTGGGATACAAAATCCAAAATCAAATGCTAGAAATAAGTTCAAATATATCACTTTTTCCTACCAAACATAGAAGGATTAACCTCATATATTAAAATACAAAATATCAGTAACAAAGCAGCACTTTCAAATTCAAGAAAGAAAAATAATGGGAATAAAAATTTTAAGTAAATATTCACAGAAAGCAAGCTGCTACCACAAAATTAATTTTAGTTCAAATAAAACTTAAGGAAGAAATAATGAACAACAGGATAGACACTGCACATGGAGGGACCATAGAACCGAGTAGGTGAAGCAACGTCAAGTCCAATGCTGGCCTCGCCTCCAGGACATACAAAGAAACTAACAGGAAGAGCAGGTCTAGAGAGGGACGCTGGAACTCATACTTCTGAATTTAAATGGGAAATAGACAAAAATGTTATGTGTTTATAAAAAATTTTAAAATCACAACAAATGCTGAATATACATCATTTCCTAGTATATGTAATACTTACTAAATGGGACTCATATTAGGTTGCAAAAGAAATTACAAAAAAGCTGGACCTAGGGACCAAAGGACTAACAGAAGTGAGAACAAAAAACACACCCCATATATTTTAGGAAAAAACGGCACAGTGATTTAATGGTAAATCACTATAAACATGAAGGGAAAGACTGCCATCCAAGGAAGCGCAGAAAAGGACACCCCTCAGGTCCTGGATGGAGGAGGATGACCCCCAATACTGGATGGAGAAGGATGACCCCCAATACTGGATGGAGAAGGATGCCCCCAGTCCTAGATGGAGAAGGATGCCCCCCTCAGTCCTGGATGGAGACGTCATGAGTAACTGTCGGTAAGAAACATCATGTTCCTCATTCTGCCCTTGCTCCTTGGGCTCCAACAGGAAAAACCAGAAATTCTGTGGATATAAAACATGGAAACATTCATTCTTTAAAGAAAAAGGCTGCAGAGACAAGAACAGCGAAAGGATGGTATTGAATACATGCAAATGGATAAAATATGAATGATTATGTTCTCATGTTCAACCCAATTTTTAAAAGTGGATGTATGAGCAGTGCGAGCATTTAGTCAGGCCATGGTGAGCCTGTGGGCAGCGGTGGCAAACCCGGACTCTGCCCGCCGACACCAGCGGCCCCGAAACCCTAGAGCCAGAGGCCACCTAGTGGCCAAAGTCAGGCAGTCGGCCCACAGCTGCAGGAGAGCTGCAACCCGCCCTTCAGCGGATTCCTGGAGGCTGCACAGTGCCCAGCTCCCGCCACCCGGTGCTCTGGGCGCGGGCAAATGACCCTCAGGCCGTCTGGGACCGGGCCAGCCCTGCAGCCTCAGCGGTGGGCTCAGAGACGGCTGCCACGTGCACACGGTGAACTATAGCAGCTGTGGCAGCCCCCGACCCTGTGCAAGCCACCGGCAGTGCAGACCCCATGACCAAAAGCCGCCGCGTCCCCTAACTCAGACGGTCGGCCCCCCAGCAGCCAGAGGGAGGAAACCTGCAGCTCAGCCCCATCCCAGCGCTTGCACTGTGCTCAGCGCCTGTAATCCCACTCTCTGGGCGCGGACAAGGAAGACTGGACCTTACGGTGGGAGGGCGGTGCACTCGGGGACCCTCAAGCCTTCTGGAACAAGCCCTGCCATCCTCCGCCGCGGGCTCAGCGGCAGCTGCCACCTGCACACTCCTGGAAGCAGCAGCGGTGGCAGCTCTGGTCTCTGCCAGCTCCAGCAGGAGCGCAGACTGTAGAGCCAGAAGTCACTGCAGCGCGTGTTAGGAGGTTGGCCTCTCAGCAGCAGGAGGGCAGGAATCTCCGCCCAACCAGATCCTCATGGCTGCACAGTGTCGAACGCCCACGACCCCGCAATCTGGGCGCTGGTCTAGGAATAACGGACCCTAGGGTGGAAAGGCGGTGCACTCACCCACCCTTGGGCAGCCTCAGGCCAGCCCTGCCAGCATCTGCCTTGGGCTCAGCTGCAGCTGGCGCCTGTGCATGGTGCACGGCAGTAGCAGTGGCAGCCCTGACCCTGCCCTCAGACACAAGCAGCAAAGACCCCAGGGCCGGACGCCTCCAAGGCACCTAAGTCAGGTGGCCGGTCCCATAGCTGCAAGAGGGCGGGAATCGGCTGCTCAGCCCCATAGCAGCTGTGGCAGCCCCCATCTCTGTCCATGCCACCAGTAGCACGAACCCCAGGGCCAGATAATGCGGTGGCGCCTAATTCAGACTGTAGCTGCGGCAAGGCGGGAATCGGCCGCTCAGCCCCATCCTGGAGGCTGCTCAGTGTCTAGCGCTCGCACACCACGTCCTGGGAGCAGTCTAAGGAACAGGAGACTCTAGGGTGGTAGGGCGGTGCACTCAGCGACCCTCAGGGTGTCTGGGACCAGCCCTGCCAGCCTCTGCCATGCTCTCAGCTGCAGCTACCATCGCCAGGTGGCGCCCGTTAGCAATGGTGGAAACCACACCCCCATCCCCCGACCTTGCCTGCCCCCAACAGCAGTGCAGATTCCATGGCTGGATGCCTTGCCAGGGCGGGAACCAGCCGCACAGCCTATTCTGGGCAGCTGCACAGGGCCCAGCGCCCGAAACCCCGAGCTCTGGGCGCGTGCCAAGGAAGAGTGCACCCTAGGCTGGGAGGGTGGTGCACACCGCGATCCTCAGGCTTTCTGGGACCAACCCTGCCGACCTCTACTGAGAGCTCAGCTGCAGCTGCCACCTGTACAAGGGCACGACAGCAGCAGAGCAACCCGGCACTTTGCCTGCACCAGAGCCCTGACACCGGGGACAACGCAGCCTCAGCGCCTAATTCAGGCAGTCAGCCCCGCAGCTGCAGCAGGGCAGAAACCTTTGCCCTCGGCCCAGTCTCCTTGGCTGCACAGTTCCCAGTGCCCGCGACCCGGAACTCTGGGCTCAGGCAAAGGAACAGAGAACCCTAGGGTGGGATAGTGGTCCACTCAATGACCCTGAGGCTGCCTGGGAAACGCCTTGCCAGCCTCCGTCATGGGCTCAGCTGCAGCAGCCACCTGCACATGGCGGGGGAGCAGCCTTGATGGCAAACCCAGACCACGCTTTCACGCCAGCCAGGCGGACTCCAGGGCCAGGCGCCGCCCAGCGGCCAATTCAGGTGGTCCGGCCCCAGCTTCAGGAGGGCGGGAACCGGCAGCTCAGCCATTTCCTGGCGGCTGCCCTGTGCCCAGCCCCTGCACACCCTGATCTGGGCACCTACAAGAAAGAGCTGACTCTAGGGTGAAAGGGCCGTCCACTCAGCGACCCCCAGGCTGTCTGGGACCAGCCCTGCCTGCCTCTGCTGTAGATTCAGCTGCAGTGGTAACCTGCACAAGGCGCGCAGCAGCAGCTGTGGCAAATTCTGACCCTGCCAGCGCCACCAGCAGCGCGGACCCTTGGGCCAGAAGCCTCCACGACGCCTAAGTCAGGGGTGTTGGTCCCCAGCCGCAGGAGGGCAGAAACTGGCTCTCAGCCTCACCTCAGAGGCTGCATGGTGCCAGAGCCAGGGCCCAGCTCTTCTAGCGCAGGTTGTGGAGGGGCCAGGGGCCCCCCAGGCTGGAGAGGCTCCCCCAGGCTGGAGAGCAGCATCATGAACACAGCTTACTGAAGCCTCAACCTCCCAGATTCAAGCTACCCTCTCATCTCAGCCTCCCAAGTAGCTGGTAGCTGGGACTACAGGCGGGTGCCATCATGCCTGGCTATTATATTTTACATACATTTTGGAGAGACAGGGTCTCACCATGTTGCCCAGGCAGATCTTGAAAGCCTGCAGTTCAAATGATCCTCTCACCTTGACCTCTCTCAGTGGTGGGATTATATGTGTGAGCCACTGTGCCCTACCTGCCGCTTTTCTTATAAGGATACTTGTCATTGGATTTAGGGCCCATCCTAATCATCTCAAGGTGCTGGATTTAATTACATCTGCAGATTGTTTTCCAAATAAAGGCACATTCACATGTTCCAGGTAGACATATCTTTTGATAGACCACCATGCAATCCACTCTAGGAATATTAAAGTGCCAGTGTGGACTGAGGCACCAAAGAATCACATTATGATGTCATATAACTTGCCTTATTTGTAGTGACCAGTGGGCTTGGAAACAACCATTTGCAGCTGTCAGGGAAGTGCACAGTGCCTGACCTTTCCCGCAGCCTCCTCCCCACTGGTCTTCCATGAGAGGATCAACCCTTGGAGTGTCCAGAGATTCCTGTTAAATGCGAAAGACCACAGGAGAGTTTGGGAGGGGGAAGATGTTTGGGGAGCAGCTTAGTTGTCCTGAGGTGCCCATCACCCTTCACCGTTTCAGCAATATGGATCTTCCAAGGATCTGGGAATGGGAACCAGGCATAAGACAGATACATGTGGATGAGAAGAGGCCAGAGTCTTTCTCTGTGTAGGCACCATGCAGCCCAAGATGAGCATTGCTCCAGAAACACATGCACTCATGATGCTAAACCCAATCTATTGAGGACTTAATACAAACTGCGATTTTTTTAAAGCATTTAATTCTTACCACAGTCCTTTGACATCTTATTATCTCCATTTTACAGATAAAGAAACAGGCACAGAGGGTTTAAGTAACTTGCACAAGGTCACACAATCACAACTAGTAAAGCCAGAATTAAAGTCCAGTCGGTCTGCATTCAAAGCCTGTGCTCCTGCCCCAAAGTGACAATTAGTGACTTAAAGGCAAGAAAAACAGACCCTCCTCTACCCACCATCCTCATACACAGCCTTCCAGCCCAGGATCTGAACCATTTATTCATTTTCTCTCATATTCATTCATTCATTCAATTCTTCATCACACATTTAGTGAAGCTCTGCCGTGGAATGTTCACACAGAAGGTACAAAAATGAGGCAGGTGTATTTTCTCCCATCTAACAGGGGATGACCACATGAAAAGAACTGGTGGCCTGTGTGTCCCATGGTCTTACAGGGCAGTGGTGGAGGGTGGCCCGGTCATCCACTTTCTGGGGAGGCAGAACCAGAAGCACCAGTTGGACAACTGCTAAAAAGATATTTATGCAGCCTCATATGTTAAGTCGTATATTTTGAAAGCTTTTTAAATTTTTTCTTTAAGAAGATTTTAGATGCTTATCACTGAGTACCAGAGGGATGTAGGCTGATGCCCTTATCAACAAAGTCAGGGACTGTGGCACACAAGGATTGACTACTGCAGACACGGTCACAATGCTACCTCTAGAGGGCCTGAATCCCCCTGCCCTCTCTGGTGGGGAGAAGGGCTGGCAGAGCCATTAGCATGGGCTCCGGCCAATCCTGGCCACTTTGACACTCCTGGTGCTGACCCAGGGTCCTGGAGGAAGGGATGAGGTGGGCAGTAGAGATGCTCAGGGCAGTGGCCCCTTTCCATCCACACTGGAACTATTTCAGTATTTTACCACCAATTCAGCCATTCCCTTGTGCGCTGGCTGAACATCAGCCCTGCTCCAGGTCTCAGTTTCCCCTTTGTAAAGGGAAAGCTCTGGATTCAGGAGTGATGAGAGGTCATCATGGTCTTGAGATTCCAGGCCTGTAGGCAGGGGGTGAGAGGTTCACTAGGACCACAGAAGGAAAAGGTTGGGGAGAGGCAGCAGAGAGAGTGGCTTCCCTTCGGCCCAGGTGGGAGGTTCACAGAGGCAAACTTCCTTCTTCCTCAAGGCAGGACTTGTTACAGTGAGCTTCAGGCAGTCTGGCTCTTAGGACTAACTGGGATGTCACCCTCCCTGCAGCATCCACTCCACAGACAACATGAGAGGAGTGTATAAGTATAACTAGGAACAGGCTAGTGTCCTGATATTCTCTGTGATGGAGGGGACAGCCCTCCTCAGAGACATGGGGGAGCCCAGAACCATGGGCAGCCTGAACACACCTTACTTTCTCAGCAGTGACAATCAGAACCTTGGCCTACTAAAGCAGAAATTAAAAAGAGAAAAACCTAAGTTCTGGCCTGTTCCAGGCTGACTCAGTCCAAGGCCCTGCTAGGACTAAGATAACTTTATATACAAGGCCAGGAAGAGCCCAGAAGGAATGGACTCCAGGAACAGGGATGAGAAAAACAAGTTCTTATCAGCTTCCCCCTTTGAGATTCTTTCCCAGGCCAATATTTCTTTGCTCTGCTCTCATAACTATTTTTGTAACTATTTCTGTAAGTTTGTAAGGATTTTTTAAGTTCCTGTTTTCCATCGGTGTGACCCTGAGAAGGTCACAAGACATGCCTGTGCAAGCCTAAAACAGTTGCCATCTGCTGAGAGCCTGCTGGGTGGCCCAGCAGAGGTCACCAGACATGTTTGAGTCATACACTTGTCACTGTTTGATTAACTGCCTTTGTTCTGCTTCTGTAAGCTTGCTAAGCCTGCCCTGTAAGTTTTGCAAAGCTGCATGCTTAAAAAACAGGCCCCATCTTTTTTCCGGGCTCAGCCTTTTGGATGCAAATCCACTGGGCAAGTGGTCACTTTAATAAAATCCTCCTGTCTCACCCATTGGTCTCTCCAGTCTCTTGACTCCCTCAACACTGAGACGGCTCCAAGATAGCATGTGAGATTTAAGTAATAACTTTTTTGTTTGTTTGTTTGTTTTTATTTTTGTATGAGACTGGGTCTGGCTTTTTCACCCAGGCTGAAGTGCAGTGGTGCAGTCACAGCTCACTGCAGCCACTTCCTGGGCTCAAGCCACCCTCCCACCTCAGCTTCCCAGGTAACTTAGGACTACAGGTGTATACCACTATCATTGGCTAATTTTTGTATTTTTTCCAGAGACGAGGTCTCACTGTCTCACTGAGCTCAGGCTGGTCTCAAATTCTTGAGCTCAAGAGATTTACCAGTCTCAGCCTTCCAAAGTGCTAGGATTACAGGCATGAGACACTGTGCCTGGCCAGTAATTTTGTTTTATTATATTAAGGTCAGGTTTATACCACCTTCTTCTGATTACAGAAGTAATACATGCTCATTATATAACACTGAAAATGTAAGCAGTATAAAGAAGAAAATAAAAAAGAATATGAAAATCACTAGTGGTCCCATTGCCTACCAATACACTATGTGCTGCTTTCTAATCTTTACTTCCTCTCCCTCCATGTGTGTCTTTGTGTGTGTGTGTGTGTCTGTCTGTGTGGTTTTTTTTTTTGGCACATAGGACAATAGCTGACATTTTTAGCTCCCCTACCAGTGTTGAGCATTATGTCAAGCAATTGAAAAAGTGTATTTTAACTCCTACAGAAAACCTATAAAGGGGAAGGGCAGTATAATTAACAGAATTTTCCAGATGAAAAGACTGGGACCTGACTTCAGGTCACATTTTATATACAGCATTGCATTTTACTTCAGACACTTAACAAAGTAAGTGTCCTGGAGAATCTTGGTCTGTTAGTCTATATAATTACATAAGCATCTTTTGTGGGATTAATAGTTTTTCCAAAGCATGCCTGGAATGCTTGCATAACATTTTAGAGTTTAAATATGTTGTTTATCGCCAGGCACGGTGGCTCACACCTGTAATCCCAGCATTTTGGGAATCTGAGGAAGGTGGATTGCCTGAGCTCAGGAGTTTGACACCAGCCTAGCCAACACGGTGAAACCCCATCTCTACTAAAATACAAAAAAATAGCCAGGCATGGTGGGGTGTGCCTGTATTCCCAGCTACTTGGGAGGCTGAGGCAGGAGAAGTGCTTGAATCTGGAAGGTGGAGGTTGTGGTAAGCCGAGATTGCACCACTGCACCCCAGCCTGGGCAAGAGTGAGACCTTGTCTCAAAAAAAAAAATAATTTTATCAAACCATTTTCATCTTTGAAACATTTTAGGTCTCCTCTTTGGCTTTTTCACATTATAAATAATACTGTGATAAACATCCTTCAGCAGAAACCTTCATAGGCTAGCTTCCTAGAAGTAGAGGTATTAGGTCCAAGGTTGTGAATTGTTTTAAAGCTATTGATTTTTCTGGATAAAATTGCTTCCAGATATATTGTCCCATTGCATTGCAATCAGTGGATCTCACCTTCAGTATTTTGTGCAAAAAAAAAAGAATGTTTCTCCTTTTAAAGATTATATTTAAAATAGCTTTCAAATATTAAAAATTTGTATCTACAAATAAGAGACAGTGAAAAAAATAATAAAAGAAACACAAAAGTAGAAAGTAGATGAAAACATTAAAATTCAGATCACAGCCCTCTGTCATGGAGAAGACAGCTGCAATAGCTTTTTTGTTCTTTTATCTATCCTTGATACATTTTTCTTTTAATTAATTTTTACCCCAACTTTTAGTGCTGGCTGAGTTGTCGATTTGTTGCTGGGATGGAAAGAAGAAATTTGCACCTTGTCCTTTGCAGGTTATGAGAGCCCTGTCTGTCCTCGTGGTTATGTGGATGTCTTTTAGATTATTGTGAATATTGAGCTTTGAAAATAACCTAACAGTCAATCAATTGCTGAGATTCTATTACCAGTAGTGGGACACAATGTACATCATGTAGAGAGGCAGACTCGTCGCTGACAAAAGGGCTGACCCCTGGAAAACCAGCACAGAGCCAGCTCTTCTGTCTGAATCCACTCTCTCCAAAACATAACATAAGTCATGGAAAGAAATGAGTCTCAAGAAATGAGACTCTTACCGTGATGAGAGGGGGACATTGAAAAGCTACTTTAGTGATTAGGGAGAGAAGTCCCCTTTTGCATCCCAAATCAAGCAGAGGACTGGTAGTCCAAATATAATTTTGGAATAACCTGAGTCACCTGGGCCTTGAGGAATCCTGGCCTCTTAGTCCACATTTGCAGAAATATCAGGAGGTCAATCAGGAAGCTGTTTAGGCATCTCAACACAGGGTCAAAAAGCTCCTAGGTACGCAAATAAATGTGCACACTGGAAATTGAGTTCAGTAATTTTTCCATGGCCTAGAGAACTATGATGATGAAAATGTTCTACATTTGTGCTGGCCAGTTCAGTAGCCACTAGCCACATGTGGCTATTGAGTAACTGAAATGTGGCTAGTACAACTGACCAACTAAATTGTAAATTTTGTTTTATTTGAATTAATTTTAATTTTAATAGTCATCTGTGGCTATTGGCTACTGTACTGGGTAGCACAGAGATGAGAAATAATAGAAACCTTTTTGTTCGGTTGTTTCAAGAGCTAACATTGTCAAAAGCTCAATTCCTGTTTTATGTAAGGTTTTGGTTTATATTTTCTCAAAGAAGTGAAGTGCAGAAAAAAGAAAACAAAACAAAAGGATGATCAAGCAGAACTTTGGTAAGGAAGGGTGAAGCAGAGATACTTAACTCAGGGTGGGGACAACAGCAATGACCTTGTTTGAAATGCAGCTCCTGTCTCTGTGGCTCTCTGTGCTCTGCTGGGGCATCAGTTCCTTTACTTCTTAGTTAAAGCAGTTATGTCGATGGTGCAATGCTTTTTTGGTGCAATGATTTTTTACACAGCTGGTTTATCTCCAGTATGGAAGCTCTCTGCTTAATCATCTTGATTTTTCTGGGCTTGTTCCCACTCTGCAGATGTAAGCATGACTCCTGTATCTCTCTCCCCAGGCTCTGATCTAGGACGACAGTTTCTATGATGTGCCCATCTAGAGAAATACTCAAATTGCAACTTTAGGAAGAGAAAAAGAGGGCCCTGCAAAAGGCATCTACAGGCCCCATGTGCTGTTCACCTTTCTTATTTATGGGTTGAAGTGAGTCCTCATCCATTTATTGGGCAGTTACAAGCAAAGGAATTATATGACTACGACAACACACCTTGAGGTACAACAATTTTGTCTGTTTTGAGTTTCCACTGTTGAAAAAAACCTAGTTATTCTAATTAAGAATAGTTATAGATAGTACAGTGATAACATTTTTTTTTGAGACAGGCTCTTGCTCTGTCCCCAGATTGGAATGCAGCAGCATGATCATGGCTCACTGCAGCCTCAACCTCCCTGGGCTCAGTGATTCTCCCACCTCAGTCTCCTGAGTAACTGGGAATGCAACACATGCCACCATGCCTAAATATTTTTTGGATTTTGTTTTCTTTTGTAGAGATGGGGCTTTGCCATGTCACCTAGGCTGGTATTGACCTTCTGGACTCAAGTGATCCTCTCTCCTCAGCCTCCCAAAGTGCTAGGATTACAGGTGTGAACCAGCATGCCATGCCTATAGTGATATCTTTAAGTAAGCCTCTCCTATCTTCTTTTGAGCAGTTTTTCAAAGCAACAGGCACCTTATTAAATTAGAAAGTTGATGTGTTTCCCGAATGCCTGCTAATAAAGTAGAGAACTAAAGAACCTCTGTGATTTCAATGAAGTCCATTCAGATGTTATGGGCTACTTGTTACTGACAAGTATGGTAGGAAATGTAGGTCAAGCTGTCATAGGCAAATAGATCTTGCTGAAGAGGAAGAATTATTGGCTAAGATAACACCCTAGAACACCTGGCATACTTTAGACACAGCTAAATTGAATGCTTTCTGAGGAGGAGTGTATTAATCTGTTCTCACACTGCTATAAAGATATACATGAGAGTGGGTAATTGAAAAAGAAAAGGGATTGAATTGGCTCACAGTTCTGTGGGCTGTACAGACTTATGCTTATAGGGAGGCCTCAGGAAACTTACAATCATGGCAGAAGGTGAAAAGGAGGCAAGCACATATTCACATGGCTGAAAAGAGTCAGGGGAGGTGCTACACACTTTTTAAACAAGCAGATCTCAGGAGAACTTTATCATCAGACAGCACGAGGTGGATGAGGCTAAACCATTAGAAACCACCTCTATGATCCAGTCACCTTCCAGCAAGCCCCTCCTCCAACACTGACAATTACAATTCCATATGAGATTGGGGGTGGGGGGTGCACAAATCCAAACCATGTCAAGAAGCATTTTAAAAATTGAGGGAAGTTCTAATCAGATAGCAATTCAGGACAGGGCATTTCATCAGCATAACACTCCTCTCAATACATGCCAAAATGGGAAAAAGGAAAAATTGCAAGGACGAAGATGGGACACAGCAAAATGACAAGATGACTAACAAGATGACCCCTGTGGAAAGCATTTACTGATTCAAAAACCAAATAATGAAGAAAATAAGAGCAAATTTGCTGAGTTTATATGCTCTTTATGCTTATTAGGGAAGGGCAGAAGCCAGCCCCTCAACATTGTTATTATTAATTAACATCATCACCACCTGCTCTTAAGTGTCTAGATACTTTCTAGAATCTAGTATTATCTTCACTCAAATGTTTTTTGGATATGCCCTTCGTGCATGTGATACTGCAAAAACATTCTACATTAGCCACAGCAAGATGGCTATGTAATAATTGGGATCACTTTAGGGGAGGCTATTTGTACCACATTTTGAGACAGAAAATGAAGTAAAGATGTCCATTTGTCAATTTCTTCTACGTTATGTCAAACATTCAAAGAGCTTATTTTATTTATTTCAAAGATGTATACATGTTGAAATTAAAATTTAAATTAAGAAAATTTATAAACTGAGTCAAAAGAAAAGTAAGTGAGGCAGTTGGTTAATGTGTCGGTTAATGCCACCATAGTTCTGCATGCCCTGGAAGTGTCAGGCATAAACAACTCTAAAGTATTCGGCATGCAGCCAGGTGTGGCAACTCATGCTGTCATTCCAGGACGTTGAGAGGCTAAGGCAGGTGGGTTGCTTGAGCTCAGAACTTTCAGACCAAGCAAGGCCACATGGTGGAACCCCGTCTCTATGAAAAATATGAAAATTAGCCAAGCATGGTGGTGCCCGCTTTTAGTACCAGCTACTGGAAAGGCTGAGACGATCATTTGACCCCAGGAGGTTGAGGCTGCAGTAAGCTCTGGTTGCACCACTGCACTCCAGCCTGGGTGAAAGAGGGAAACCCTCTGCCCAGGACTCTTGGGATATGACTATATCCATAGGGACTGCCCGCAGTAACCTCACATTTGAGTGGAAGTGGAGATCGTATGTACCTACACCAATATGTAGCAAAAAAGAAAAACAGAAATGATAGCAGAAATGGCCCAAAGAATAAAAGAAGGTGGGGGTAATTGAGAGAGGCTTTCTGGTGATAAAATTTGAACTGATTTCTGGAGAATGGGTTTAATTCCAATAGGGGGAGATGGACCAAATTTAATTTTGATGAGGGAAATGTCTTGAGCAAAATCTAGAAAAGGAAAATATGCCCATTTTAAGTTTTAATGAGTGGTCCAGTTGGGGTACAGTGCAAGAAGAGAGTTCTAGTGAAAAGGTAGTTGGTCTGATAGGTGAGGGTCTTGCAGGCAGAGGCAGATACTATCATTATTCTGTTTTTCAGATTGGAAAACAGACACAGAGAGTCCAAGGTCACAAAGACAGAAAGGGAATCTGGGCAGTCTAGCAGTAGCACCCTCTTCTAAAATGATCCGTTAAAGGGCCTCTTCTCCAGGCACTCTAAAACCCTTCTCCATCTTTAGTTCCCCAGAGTACAGTGAGGCCCCCTGTCTACCTCACAGGACGGGGTCTCAGAAAAGCAACAGATCCCAACTCATACTAGCTTTTAAATAAAAAAATTTATAACCTTGCAAAACAAGAAGTGCAGAGGTTGGGCAAGAGCCAGCCCTGGTTCATTCAGCAGCTCAACAATAAATCCAAGGACCTGGGTATTGGTTCACCTCTCCACACCACCGTCCTCATGGGCCAGCTTCTACCTCCTCCTGAATACTGTGTCTTTGCCTAGTTTTCTCCCTGATTTTGGCTCAATTGCTGATTCCTGGAGGCATCCTTTCCTGCCTCTGTCTTGGGGTCAGTCTGCCTTCGCAGGCTCTTGCAGCACACCTGGGTCTGCTGCACTTTCCCTTATTACATAATTTTGTGACTAATGTCAGCTCTTTCTGTTAGATTCTAAGCTCCACTAGGGAAGAAATTCTGTGCATTTTTGATCACTATTGAACCCTGGAGTCTACCACTCAAATACTTGTCAAATGAGTAAATGGTAGCTCTGTGCAGGGCCAAGGAACCCAAGAACCACAAGAAATAATCTGCCAAAATAGTCATTACAGCTCACTCTCCTCTGGTGACATTTCCCTGAGGCACATTGCTGTTGGTTTCTTCCCCTCAAGAAGCATTCTTCTTTCTCCTTCCTATAAAAGCCAGGTTTTTCTCAGATAGCCACACCATGCCCCATGCAAAGAGATTTGGATTATTATACCATCTTGAAGCATTTCTGTGGAAACTGCTATCAGCCAGGTGGCCCATGACCTAAGTTGACCCAAGCCGACTGAAGGGAGGATGTATTCTATGCACCGTATGGAATTCCACAGGGTGCTGGTTTCCCCAGCTGCTGCTGGTGGTCATCATGTAGTGAAGATATTTCTTTTTTCAGCATAGGCCTCAAAGGGTTCCAAATATCCACTTGCAGATTCTACAAAAAGACGGTTTCCAAACTGCTCAATCAAAAGAAAGTTTCAACTCTGTGAGAAGAAAGCACACATCACAAAGAAGTTTCTCAGAAAGTTTCTGTCTAGTTTTCATGTGAAGATGTTTCCTCTTTCCCCTTAGGCCTCAATGGGCTAACAAATATCCCTTTGCAGATTCTACAAAACGACGGTTTCCAAACTGCTCAATCAAAAGAAATGTTCAATTCTGTGAGATGAATGCACACATCACAAAGAAGTTTCTCAGAATGCTTCTGTCTAGTTTTTATGTGAAGATATTCCCTTTTCCACCACAGGCCTCAAAGCGCTCCAAATATCCACTCGCGGTTTCTGCAAAAAGAGTGTTTCAAAACTTCTCAATCAAAAGAAAGGTTCAACTCTGTGAGATGAATGCACACATCACAACGAAGTTTCTCAGAATGCTTCTGTCTAGTTTTTACGTGAAGATATTTCCTTTTCCACCATAGGCCTCAAAGCACTCCAATTATCCACTTGCAGATTCTACAAAAAGAGTGTTTCAAAACTGCTCAATCAAAAGAAAGCTTCAACTCTGTGAGATGAATGCACACATCACAACGAAGTTTCTCAGAATGCTTCTGTCTAGTTTTTAAGTAAAGATATTTCCTTTTTCACCATAGGCCTCAAAGTGCTCCAAATATCCATTTGCAGATACTACAAAAAGACTGTTTCCAAACTGCTCAATCAAAAGAAAGGTTCAACTCTGTGAGATGAAAGCACATATCACAAAGAAGTTTCCCAGAAAGTTTCTGTCTAGTTTTTATGTGAAGATATTTCCTATTGCCCCATTGGCCACAATGGTCTCACAAATATCCCTTTGCAGATTCTACTAAACCACTGTTTACAAACTGCTCAATCAAAAGAAATATTCAACTCTGTGAGATGAAAGCACACATCACAAAGAAGTTTCTCAGAATGTCATGTAACCAAGGTATTGCTAGTGCTTATGGAGAAAATAGAGCAAGTGGAGAGAAACTGAGTAGGTAAAAGTGGACAGGGCTTGGTGATGTTTGGGATATGAGGGATAAGACAGAGGATGGTCTTAGGAAAATCTCCTGTTCTTTCTTTTTGGACAATGGTATAGAGGAATAAAAGTTCCAATCACTGGGATAGAAAACACTTGGAAAATATGAGATTCATCCAGGCGAGTCTTTCATAAACTATTCCATAATCAGTTTTATAAGTGAAAGGGAGTCAGAACTCATCTCAACCTTGTTTGCTTCTATCATACTGCGTTGTACCCTGTTGGATCTACTTATCATATTCTTCCTGGTAGCAGACTTACCTACTAATGTTTGCACTTACTCCTTGCCGGCCTGGAAGCTCTGAGGCAGCAGGAGCAGTGTGTGTGCCCACGTGTGTGTGCACTTTCTTGGGTGTGTGTGTGTCTGTGTAATTGGATTCCCCACAGCACATTATTGTTTTATCCATAGTAAATGGTGGATGAATATTTGCAGTATTTAACTGGACTGCAGCATTGTGGAGGTCAGATAACCACATTTTGATAGACAAGTTGCATTCTAACCTTGAAGCAAACAAAATGCCCATCTTATCAGCCTCCCTCACACTGGCTGTGCCTTTCCTTTGTGGTTGTATGTTTAAAGAGCTCATCCAACAAGCTTCTTAAAAAGGGGATTGGACCTTTGCCAGCCTCTGGCTGCATGGCAGGGTGACTGTGTCTTTGAATATCCCTGATGGAAGCTGGTCATCCTTTTGTCTTTGGGTGAATAGACTACTCAGGAAGGCAGGGATGAATGCACCCCCCACCCTGCTTTCTTGTTAACGAGTTTGCCATTTATTTTGGCAGATCTGAAATAGTATTTCAAAGGCAGTGCAGAAGCAGATGGGGACATTACTTGTAATTGTTTAATACTGTTATGACATGACATTTGCTTACAGAAAGAGAGGCAAGCCACCATCTTCAAGGGAGGGCATAGTCATCGACTGTGATCCTGGTGTCCATGTTGGAATATCATGGCAACTATCTCCCAGCACTGGACTTGATTACTTCTACTGCATTCCCAGTGATAGCTGAGTTGCTTAATTTACTTTCTTCAACACCGTTTGTGAAAGGGAAGCTAGAAAACTGCACTATGTATGGCTTAGTGCACTGAAAATTTGACGTTATCAAAGGAGCCATGATCTCGTCTTTCTCTATCCCTCTTCAAATGTTTTCTATAATTATATTCAAAGGCTCATGGGTCTTACCATGGGTCATCGAGGAAGGGCTGGTAACTCTTTAAACCACAGGTAAAATATTACAAACATCTGAAACCTGCATTTTTACAGGTGAGAGAAATGAGGCCAGAAAAGTTAAGTGCATCATGTTGAATACAATTTTATTTGGTGATCAGGCAGCCCTGGGTTCAAATCCTGGCTCGATTGCTACCAATTAAGCCACTTAACTCCATCTGAGCCTCAGGTTGTCCATCTGCGTAATAAGCAGTAATAGCAGCTATCCTGTAGGACTACTGTGAGAATTACAACTCAGGCAATGACCATGATATTTCTTGGCACAGAGGTGTTCACTACTTAGGTAGTGTTATTATGATGTCTAAAGTCACAAAGGGAGTTTTTGAGAAAGCTGGAATGAAAACTTGTTTCTCTCAACTCTGACCTTATTAGAGCACACTGTTGCTTGAATAAAGCAGCCCTGCAGTCTCACAGTGGAGGGCGTTTGTAACATCTGCTCAGGCACGGTTTCATTTACTATATACCCAGAGACTAGCACTGTACAAGTTGTGGGGAGATACTCATGTGAGTTGGTGGACATTTGGTCAAATATTTTCCCTAAACCCAGGTCTCTATGGCATTCTACAGAACACTCTGCATCCTTCTAAGGGACACTCGAAGAGCAAATGGATTGTACAGTGAGTTACAAATAAAATGGCCAATCTCAGCATGAAAGACTGAGGGTGTTACCTGAATGAGGATGCAGACCCTCCATCTACATATAAGCAAACCTAGGTGACCATGAGCCTGCCAGAAAGAAATCACATGCTATGTAAAGGCTTAGTAACAGTGATGAATATCTGAACTTGAAATCCAGCTCCAGAGCAGTTCAGTGGCCTCTCTTCCAGGAACAGAAGCCAAAGCAGCTCAGGATTCTTGAAGGCTCTGAAAGGTCAGTGAGAATCCTGGTATATGTTAAGACTTTCCCACCAAAGAAGGGCTCCGTGTGTAGAGACTGAAAAAGGATTCCCAACTTTGGTCCCTTCAAAACCAGAAACAAAGGTGGGGGATAGCCCAATTAAGTGGCCCTAGAGATTTGCCCAGGAGCTGGAGCCTTCCGGAGAAGTCCAGTTTTCCTATGCAGGGAGAGGACTGGGAGTTCTCTGGTCACAAGCGTTCTGCCTTTGTTTTCATGAAGCTATGTCTCTTACCTGGTAAGAAAAATGGAACCGCATGCAGCTGCTGAAAACTTTAACCAGAAACCCAAAGATGTTGGCACAAAGAAAGGAGGCCTGAAGAAAACAAGTGACCATGAAAACACATTTAGCTCTTAATCTGACCCATTTCTCATGGGCCAGGCCTGGTGCCAGGAATGCGGTGATGAATAAGGCCTGAGCTGAGATTGTGAGGATGAGAGGGAGTCCACCCTGTGGGGATCTGGGATGATAGAAGGGCTCCACAGATAGAGGACCCGGGTGGCCAGAAGTTCTGCTGAGTGGAAAAGGGCTTGGAGTAACTGAGGTCAGCTGGATTCCTTAAACACTGCCCAGAGCCCTTGAAGCCATCTAAGGGCACACTTCTCAGGGCTGCTCTGAACCACACTCAACTGGGAATCTTTTAAGGACAGCTGCTGGGTTAGGCTTGCCAGAGATGGTGCAGTTTTTCCCCACGGCGGTAGAGGAACAGACCGCCTCTGTGCAGGAGCGGGGCCTCACAATGCCTTGGACTAGGGCAAAGGAGGATCTCCGCCTCTCCCCGTTCTGGGCTAAGACATGGCAGGACGCCGACCCATGGCTCCATGGACTCTGGCACCAGAGGACCCCCACTCTCCAGCACCCTAGACTGAAGCAGAAGACCCCAGACCTGCTCCGCCCTGAACGAGAGTACAGTGGGACCCGCGACCCGCCCTGGCCTCAGGCACTGGAGGACCCCTGCAACGCCATGCGCTAGACTATGCTACTGAAGGACCTCTCCCCCGGCTCCGCCCTGGACTAAGGTACCAGAGGATCCCCGCCCCGCCCCGCTGTGTCCTGGGCTGTGCCACTGCAGAACCCCCACCCCTCCACACCCTGGACTGTGGCTCCCGAGGACCTCGGCCCTGGCTCGCCCTGAGCTATTCCTGCCCCTCTGTGCTCTGGACTGTGGATCCAGAGGACCTGGTCCTGAGGCAACTTGGGCTACCGCGTGGACTCCAGGACCTCAGTCCCGCCGGGCCCTAGACCAAGACAGGGGAGAACCTCTGACCCACCGCCCCCTGGATAGGGCACCAGAGGACCCACATCTTGCCGTGCCCTGGACTACAGCACGGAGGGACCCCGATCCGCCGGGCACTGGGCTCCTGCACAGAGGAACCCCCGCCATGGAGATCTGGACTATCCTTGCCCCACCGCACCCTGAACTACTGCACGCCAAGACCCTCGCCTGAAAGCGCCCTACACTCTGGCATGGGGGAACCCCGCCCCGCAGAGCCCTGGACTCTGGCGTTGGAGTACTCCCACTCCATTACGTCCTGGACTTCTGCACCAGAGGACTCCTGCCCCACCGCACCCTGGACACCTGCACTAGAGAACCCTGCCCCGTCGCCCCCTAGACTATGGCCCAGGAGGATCCTTGCCACCGACTTCGGAACAATAAGGCCCCTGACCCGCCATGAACTGGATTCCAGCACTGGAGGACCCCCTGCCACGGCGCTCTCTGGGTTACGGCTGCCCCACCGCGTCCTGCACTACAGCACAGAAGGACTGCCGTCCCTCCGCGCACTGGACTGGGGCACAGCAGGACCGGGGTCTCGTGCGTGGTGGACTGCAGGCCGAGGTGACCCCCTCCCCGCCGCGCGTTGGACTATGGCACAGGAGGACCACCACTCCCGCATGCCCTGGACCACTGCAGGACAGGTCGCCCACTCCGCCGCACCCTGGAATATGGCACTGGAGGACCCCTGCCCTGCCGCTCCGAGGACTCCACCACCGAAGACCCTCGCCCCCCTGCGCCCACGACAAAGGCAAGCGAGGACCTGGCCTCACCGCCCCGTGGGCTATCGCATAGGAAAACCCCCACCCCACCCCCACCCCGCGCCAGAGACTCTGACGAGAGGACCCCTGCCCCCTGCTCCCCGGACTACAGCGAGGCAGGAACCACACTCCTCCCAGGTCCTCACTATGGCAACTGTGGACCCCCGCCCTGGTACCCATGGACTAAGACACTGAAGGACCGTGACCCCACCACGCCGTGAACTCCAGCATTGGAGGACCACTGCCTTACTGCGGACTCAGTCACTGGACTATCGCAGGGCAGGATCCCTGTCCCGCCATGCCCTACACTATGGCACGGGAGGACCCAGCCTCACTGTGCTCTGGACTCCAGCACCGGAGGACTCCTACACGGAGGACTCCCGTTCTGCCACGTCCTGGACTCCTGCAGAAGAGAACCCCCGCCCCGCTGCACCCTGGATATAGCAAGGCAGGAATCCTGCCCTGTCGCGCTCTGGACTGTGGCACCTGAGGATCCACGCCCCAGCGCGCCCTGGACTACTGCTCCGCAGGACTCCCGTTCTGCTGCACCCTGGACTACGGCACCAGAGGACCCAGCTCCCGCCGGCCTGAGCTATGGCACCAGAGGACCCAGCTCCCGGCAGCCTGGACTATGGCACCAGAGGACCCAGCCCCCCGCTTCCTGGGCTAAGGCACAGTAGGACCCTGCCTCATCGTGTACTCCTGCTCAGGAGGACCCTCGCAGGGCGGCGCACTGGACTAAGCTACTGAAGGAGCCCCACCCCTGCCTAACCCTGGACTAAGGCACTGGAGAACTCTTGCTCCGCAGAGCCACGGACTCTTGCACAAGAGAACCTCAGCCCAGCCGTGCCCTGGACTGTGGCACAGTAGGGCCCACACCACGCCATGGACTCCTGTATTGGAGGAAGAGTAGTGATAAATGTCCAGGTTTACAACTTGAAAAGTAGCAATCAATGTGCCACAATAGATGGATGTGATGTAAAATTATAAATGATGAAAACATTATGTGTAATTGCCTAGCCAGAACAGTTACACAAGACAAAGACGTAAAAGAAATCCACATAGGGAAGGAAGAGGTAAGATTGTTTCTGTTTTTTGAAAATATAATCTTAAGATAGAGAAAATCTTAAAGATTCCACCAAAATAAATGGTTATAGCTGATGAAGAAATTCAATAAAGTTAATAGTTACAAAATCAACATACAAATATCATTATTGTTTCTATTAACTAATGACAAACTATTACCTGAAAAATAAAGGCAATTCAATTTATAATAGAATCAAAACAGATATATAAATATATAAAAGACAGGAGTAAATTTAATCAAAACCATAAGAGATTTACATACTGAAAACTATAGCACATTGATGAAAAAAATTAAAATGGCATAAATAAATGGAGAAACATCCTTTATTGTTGGATTCAAAAATTAGTATTGTAAAAGTGTCAATGCTACCCAAAGCAATCTACAGATTAAATGCAACCACTATCAAATTCCAATGTCATTCTTCACAGAAATAGAAAAATTACTGCTAAAATTTGTATGGAACCACAAAAGACCTGGACCAACCAAAGCAATCTTGAACAAAAAGAACAAAGCTGGAGGCATCAGACTACCTGACTCCAAACTCTATTACAAAGCTATAGGAATTAAAACAGCATAGCAATGGCATAAAAACAGACACGTAAAACAGTACAAAGGGATATAGAACCTGTAAATAAATCCGTGTGTCTGTGGTCAATTGATTTTTTGATAAAATAACTAAAAATACACAGTGAAGAAAGAAAATTATTTTCAATAAATGGTGTAGACAAAACTGACTATCCACATACAGAAGAATAAAATTTGACTTTTATTTTGCTCTTTATACAAGCATCAAATCAAAATTAAAGTTTAAATGTAAAACTACTACAAGGAAATATAGAAGGAGACTGTATGACATTGGCCTGAGCTATGATTTTCTGTAGATTATTCCAAAAGGCAACAAAAGCAAAACACACAAATGAGACTGCATAAAACTTAAAACTTTTCCACAGGAAAAGAAGCAATGATAGAATTAAGAGAACCCACAAATGGGATAATATTTTTAAACCATACATCAGATAAGGGGCTCATATAATAATATATAAGCAACTCAACCTACTCAAAAATAAGAAAAAAACTATGCTTATTAAAAAATAAGCAAAGAATCAGAACAGACATTTCCTACGTCATACAAAAGGCCAACCAGGTACATGAAAAAATCATAAACATTCCTAATTATCAGAGAAGTGCAAATCAAAGCCACAATGAGATATCACCTCACACATTTTACTAGGGCTATTATAAAAAAAGATGGAAGATAAGTGTTGGTGAGGATGTGGAGAAAAAGAAACCCTGTACACTGTTGGTAGGAATGGAAATTAGTACAGCCATCTTGGAAAACAGTACGAAGCTTTCTCAAGAAATTATAAATATATTTACCCTATGATCCATCAATCCCACTTCTGGATATGTGTCCAAAGGAATTTCAATCAATATGTCAAAAAGAGACATCTGCAATTTCATGTTCATTGCAGCAATATTCATAATAGCCGTGAATTACAAACAACCTAAGTGCCTATCAACTGAAGAATGGATAAAAATATGTGGAAAAATTGGAACCCTTCTACACCACTGGTGAGACCTTAAAATGTAAAACAGTCTGGCAGTTCTTCAAATGGTTAAACATAGAGTTATCATATGACCCAGCAATTCCACTCCTATGTATTTACCAAAAAGAAAAGAAAACAAATGCTACACAAAAAGTAGTACACAAATGTTTATAGCAACAAAAAGTAGAAAAGAACAGAAATGTTCATCAACTGAGGAGTGGATGAATAAAATGTGGTGTGTCTATAAAATAGAATCTTATTTCTTAACAAAAGGGAAAAAAGTGTTAATGCATGCTCCAAAATGGATGAACATTAAAAATATGTTAAGCGAAAGAAGTGAGTAAGAAATGACTATGTGTTATTATGATTCCGTTTATGTGAAATGTCCAGAATAGGCAAATTCATAGTCAGAAATTAGATGAGTGGTCACCTAGACTAGGAGGGGTTTTAAAAAGGCTGGAAAAAATAGGAAAAGATTGCTAATGGGTGCAAGTCTCTTTTAAGGGCATTAAAATGTTCTAAAATTATCTTATGAAGATTATTTGTCCACCCAGTTAATATACTAAAAGAATTTGAAGTTTGTACTTTAAATGAGTGAATTACATAATGTATGAATTATATCTCAATAAAGCTGTGGAAAATTAAAAGCATATGTAGGATGCATACAAAAATACTACTTATCTTTATAAATGAATGAAATTCTGTCATTTGCAAAAACGTGGATGAATTTAGAGGACATTATACTAAGTAAAATAAGCCAGACACAGAAAGACAAATATCTCATGATACCACTTACATGTGAAATCCAAAAATGTGCACTCATAGAAGTTAAGAGTAGAATGGTGGTTTATCAGAGGCTGAGCAGGTCGGGTGGCGGGGGTGGAAAAAGGGGAAATATTCAATGGGATAATGCTTCAGTTAGGAGAAATACATTCTGGTGATATGATACACAGCAAAGTGACTGCAGTTACTCATAATATAGTGCATATCTTAAAAGCGCTAAAATAGTACATTTTAAATGTTTCACCATAATGTAATAAATATCTGAGGTGAAGGATATGTTATTTAGCCTAATTTGTCCACTTCACAATATTTACATGTATTGTACCACATTGTACCCCATATATATTTATCGATAAAAACAAAATTTTCAAAAGTTAGAAAAACAGATGTGCTAGATCTTCATCTAAAGACATTTCTGAGAAAAATGTATCTGTTTTCTTTCAGAAGAAATTTACACTTAATAGATATTATGGTAACTAAAGTAAGGCAGATAATTTTGGCCATCAGCTTATATTGTGGGATAATCTCTTTTTGCTGACCTTGAAAAGCTGTGGCATATTCACAACAAGTAGGAAAATTTTTTTATCATGATCAGGTAAAGGTTCTGCATGCTTCTATTTTGAATAATATTTTCCCCTTAGAATCACAAAGTGTGAATGCCTTTTATTTCAGAGGTCTAGCCCTAAATGGTTTAGTCAATTACATCATGCATTCTGAAATAAGTACTGGTGCATTTGTGAAGGTACTATATATAATTGTGTTTTTAATTTAACCATCATGTAAGTCTACTTTTCTAGTTAAGAGTCTATATTTTATAGAGGCCCTCCATATATATAGAAGAGCTTTTCTGACAGTATATCCATTAAATTGCAAAGATAAATAAAGGAACAATTTTGCTTTCATTTTTTATTATTGTTATTATTTTTCAAGGCTAGTCAAGTGAAGCAGTGGGAGTGGAGAAGGAACTGCTTTCATTTTTATATGTTGGTGTTACAGGCTGTATGTGACAGGCTATATATTTGTCTGCTGAATTTTAGAAACAAAGTGAAATATTTATTTCATATTTCATTAGATAGGGATGATGATTACATTGAGGGATTGGGACTAGACTGAAGGCACCACATCATCAATCACTTGGAAACAAAATTTTGCCTATGTGTTATGTTATATTGGCAAAAACTTTTATTGTGTCAGGCGATATAGCTCCCTATTGAAATATGTGAAAAATGCAGAGAAAAAAAGGCAGGATTGGTTATCAAGGGATATTTAGGCCTGAGATACATGATGCAAATATTGAAAACGTACACTTTTTAAAATTTAGATTTAAAATGTAAATTGAAGCAGAGCATTTAGAAAAAGACATAATATCTACTATAAAAGTCCTGGGTTAGAAAAGTTAAAATACTAAATGAAAAAATAATGCTTCTTGGGTGGCTTAAAATCAAATATGAGACAAAAAATTACTCAGAAATTTTTCTAAGATTAAAAACATGTATACAGTTTCTTTGATACAAAATGAAATAAATGTCTGGATGTAACTTTAATAGAATAGAATAGGGAGACAAGGGCAAAGAGCAGGTGTATGCAGAATGAAGTGAACATATTATTGTAACAATGAGAGGGACAGAGTTGAATGACTGCTCTTGGAGACAAGGAGTTTTGATGTCTAAGTTAATGACAAATCTTTTGTTTGCAAGTTAAAAAAATGTAACTTAAACTTGGTGAAGGAATAAAGGGTGGTTGGGGGGATGACTCTTTGTACATTAAACTTGTTTTAATGACTGATGAATTAATCATAAGTTCAAATGATTTTATGGAGGCCCTTTCTTTTTTATTTGATGTTTCTGGACTCCTTTTTTCTTTGTATTTGCTCCATTTTTACCTACTTGAACAATTTTTACCCTCGAAGTTTAGGAAACACTGTAACCAAATGTTCCAACAAGATGTGATCCCTGAAAGCATTTGCAGCTGGGGGATTAGAAAAAAAGGGCTTTCTCTTTCAACAAATGCATGTTAATCTCGATGAAAACTCAGAAGTTTAAACATGGTCCTCCTTGGGTCATGTGGCTACCCCAGGACCAATCATTGCACAAACATAGGAGATACTCTCAAAAGCCAGGCTGGAGTCAAGGTTATCCAGTGGAGTTTCCACTTTAAAAATCAGTTTTGTCAGCCTTTGTGTTTGCATATTACAGACATGATAGCTGTCTATTCCACTTCTATTAGAGATGAAAACTAAGAGCATATGCCCATTCAGAGGATTTTACATGAATCTTCATAGCAGCTTTACTTGCAACAGCCAAAACCTGAAAACATTCCAAATGTCCATGGCAGGTGAATTTGTGACTTATAAACTTACTATGGCATACGTATATAATGAAATAATACTCCCTAGTAAGAACAGAACAATTGATAGATGTAGCAACATGAATTAATCTCAAAAATAGTGATGCTGAGTGATCAGAAAGTATACATACCATATGATTTCATGTATTTGGAAATAAAAACTCATGGATAGTGACTGGAAGTGGATCAGTGGTTACCTGTGGAAGAGATGGGGGGATAGGCAGGAAAAAGTGAGTAGAAAAAACACAAGAAAACTTTGGTGGTAAAGGTAATGGATATGTTTGCTATTTTAATATGTTGCTGGTTTTATAGAGCTACAAATGCCAAGAATTACCAAAATGTACAATTGAAGTATGTGCAGTTTATTGCATGTAAATAAACCTTTTAAAAATTAACCGATACAAGTTGACTTACATGACCAGAAAGCTCTTGAAAAACTCTCCTGTTTTCTCCCCTATTTTTATTCTTGCATGCCCTTATAGACTGTGTTAACACATTTCTCATCTTACGGTTCTTTTGTGTCTACATTTCTCCAGGTCAATATAACTATCACCATGATTTCTTGGTTTCTCTTTAGTTCATCAGTAATTATGAGTAATGTATTGAAATGTTAATGATATGTTCATGCATTCAGAATCCTCTGCTCTCCGATCTACATAATAGTGAATTATGCTGTCAACGATTACACAGTATATTGCTTTTTTTTTCTTTTTTGAGACAGAGTCGCGCTTGGTTACCCAGGCTGGAATGCAATGACACATTCTGGGCTCACTGCAACCTCCACCTCCCGGGTTCAAGTGAGTTTCCTGCCTCAGCCTCCTGAGTAGCTGGGATTACAGGCATCTGCCATCATCCCCGGCTAATTTTTGTATTTTTATTGGAGACAGGGTTTCACCATGTTGACCAGGCTGGTCTTGAACCTCTGACCTCAGGTGATCTGCCTGTCTTGGCCTCCCAAAGTGCTGGGAATATAAGCATGAGCCACCATGCCCAGCCAGAATATTGCTACTTTTGCAAATAGCTACAAATGATCCTGATCTGGACACACTGAGTTGATCATAGCTTTGTAAAAGAGGATAGCATTGTAAAACTACAAAATTAGACTAATAATAAATAACATAGAATGCTTTCACTATAAGAAATAATACTATCCTAAGCAAAAATAAATAAATAAATAAAACTGGAGGAATTATATTTTCTGACTTCATATTATACCACAGAATTATAGCAACCAAAAGAGTATGGTACTGGCATAAAAATAGACCCATAGATCAATGGAACAGAATAGAGAACCCAGTAACAAATGTACAAATGTACCTACAGTGAACTCATTTTTGACAAAGGTGCCAAGAACATACACTGGTGGGAAATGGTATTGAAAAAACTGGATATCCATATGCAGAAGAATGAAAACAGACTAGTATCTATCACCAAATACAAAAGTAAAATCAAAGTTGTTTAAAGATGTAAAGCCAAGACCTCGAACTATAAAACTAGTACAGAAAAACTTTGGGGAACACCTCCAGGACATTGGTCTGGGCAAAAATATCTTGAGCAATACCCCACAAGCACAGGCAACCAAAGCAAAAATGGACAAATGGATCACATTAAGTTAAAAAGCTTCTGCACAGAAAATGATACAATCAACAAAGTTAAGAGACAATCCACAGAATGGGAGAAAATATTTGCAAACTACTCATCTGACAAGGATTAATAATCAGAATATATAGAAAACTCAAACAACTCTTTAGGAAACAATCTAATAACCTAGCTAAAAAAAGGGGGGCAAAAGATTTGAATAGGTATTTCTCAAAAGAAGACCTACAAATGGCAAATAGGTATAAGAAAAGTGCTCAATATCACCGATCATCAGAGAAATTTAAATCAAAACTACAACAAGATATCATCTCACCACAGTTTATATGACTTGTATGCAAAAGACGGGCAATAACAAATGCTAGCAGGGATGCAGAGAAAAGGGAACTCTTGTACACTGCTCCTGGGAATGCAAATTAGTAAAACCACTAAGGTGAACAGTTTGGATGTTTCTCAATAAACTAAAAGTGGAGCTACCATATGATCTAGCAATCTTACTGCTGGGTGTATACCAAAAATAAAGGAAATCAGTATGTCAAATACATATCTGCACTCCCGTATTTGTTGCAGCACTGTTTACAACGCTAAGATTTGGAAGAAACCTTAGTGTCCATCAACAGATGAATGGATAAAGAAAATGTGGTACATATACACAACGGACGACTATTCAGCCATAACAAAGAATAAGATCCAGTCATTGTCAGTAACATTGATGGAACATTATGGATCATTATGTTAAGTGAAATAAACCAGGCACAGAAAGACAAATGTCACATGTTCTCACTAATTTGTGGAATCTAAAATCAAAACAAACTCATGGACACAGAGAGTATAAGGATGGTTATCAGAGGCTGGGAAAGGTAGCGGCAGGGGGTGTTGTGGGAAGGTGGGGATGGCTAATGGGTATAAAAATAGAGAGTTAATAAGACCTACTATTTGATAGCACAATAGGGTGACTATATTCAATAATAATTTAATTGTACATTTTGAAATAACTAAGACTGTAATTGAATTTTTTATAACTTGAAGGATAAATGCTTGAGGGGAGGGATACCCTATTCCCCATGATGTGCTTATTTCACATTGCATGCCTGTATCAAAACATCTCATGGACCCCACAGATACATACACATACTATGTACCCACAACATTTTTAAACAATCTAATACAATTTTTTAAATGGCACTTACTTTTTGTTACCTTCAACTATTGTAAAATATATTCTATTATTTATGATTAGCCCTGTTGGAAAACAAATTTTAAAAACACTATTTAAAACCAAATAAATGGACTAGGAGTAACTTGCATAAAAATGACAGAAATTGCTGCTACTTCTTCTAATTATTGAGATGGTATTTCTGTATTTGTGAAATTATCTGTGATAGAAAGTTGAATTGTTTCCAACATTATTTTTATAATTAAATGTTATATTGCTATTTCTTTAAAAGTAGCCTTTAAAATATTACCAATCTACTTTAAAGTCTACTTGCCAAAATATTAAACTATTCTTAAAAAAAGTAATTTATTTAATTACCTAACTTCCTCAAAGCAATGTCCTAATTTTCTCAAGCAATTATCTGATTTTCTCAAGCAATTGATATTAGCAAGTTGTGCTAGTTAACTGCTGAGAATCATGGTCTACATATCAGATAAACCATCTGTCAATCCTTTAAAGAAGACTTTATGAGCCTTAGATATGTTAGTCCAATCTGTATCACTGACTTTAAACACTGGATAATTGACACTCCATGTTGCCTGTAAGCCTATTTCACAGCAGCTGAGTGATGTTAATAGGTACTTCTTGGAGTGCCATTTTCCTTGTAACCCTTAGATTAATTCAGATTGACTGAGTTCTGTGTCAGTGGAAATTGCCAGAATTACATCATTGTGCTTTGCATCTAGTTTCACTTTTCCAAAAGCCTACACAGATTTCAGATGTTTAGAAAATAGCTCTTGTTTTCCTTCTGGGTAATCTTTTTCATGTCACCACTCTTGTCAGCATCTGCACTGGGCAAATTTCCTAGGACCTCCCTTCTGCTTCTTTTAAAATACGAAAACAAAATCAATGTAGCGCAGCAAGCCAGGGAAAGTCTGCTTTGATTGACTTACGACCATAGTCACCCAGCAGTTCCTTCAGAGGTGGCTTCCCAAGTCAGACACTGAGTGCACGCGCTGTCCGCCTGCCTGCAGAAGTGGCTCTGAGAGCTGTTTGAGGAGAAAATGGGGGACTTTGGGCTTCAGCCCGAGGAGAACACGGTGGAGATGGAGGAGCCCCTGGGGGTCCGCAGGTTAACTGAAAACATGGGAGGACACAAGCGCGGGACCAAGTCTGTCACTAACCTGTAAAGAACTCTGACCAAGCTGACTGGGCACTCTGTCTGCGCGCCTTTCTTTGCCACCACGTGTGCGGGAATGCCTGGGGCACGACTGGGCCATCTCAGTGTTCTTGTTTCTAGCCATTCCGAGGTTACCCCTCAGCAAAACGCCAGAGGCCGGCAGACACAGTGGAGCATCCTGCAGTAGGGATCCGAAGCCGTGGAATCTCCAAAGGGCCACGACTGCTTCCCAGAAGCTCTAGCACGTTGCCCGGAAAGCCCAGGTGGTCTTTGGCAAGACCTCCCGGATTGTGGTTTTGATTTGCATTTCTCTGATGACCAGTGATGATGAACATTTTTTCATGTGTCTGTTGGCTGCATAAATGTCTTCTTTTGATAAGTGTCTGTTCATATCCTTCGCCCACTTTTTGATGTGATTGTTTGATTTTGTCTTGTACATTTGTTTAAGTTCTTTGTAGATTCTGGATATTAGCCCTTTGTCAGATGGGTAGATTGCAAAAATTTTCTCCCATTCTGTAAGTTGCCAGTTCACTCTAATGGAAGTTTTTTTTTTTTTGCTGTGCAGAAGCTCTTTAGTTTAATTAGATCCCATTTGTCAATTTTGGCTTTTGTTGCCATTGCTTTTGGTGTTTTAGACATGAAGTCCTTGCCCATGCCTATGTCCTGAGTGGTATTGCCTAGGTTTTCTTCTAGGGTTTTTATGGTTTTAGGTCTAACATTTAAGTCTTCAATCCATCTGGAAAAGTTAATAATAATAATAATAATGAAATATGGAAAAAATAAAAAAAAAAAAGACCTCCCGGAGACCAGGAACTTGGTCGGTGCTTGCGGCCTGAGATCGAGCTCTGGGGCACCTTCCTGTCCTTCTGCTTTTTCCTTGGCCGCCTTAGGGGGCGCGCCTCGCCATGGGTCTCCCTGCGGGCGGCGCGGTGGTGCTCCTGGATGTCACCTCCAGGCGCTTTTGAGACTGCGACCGGCATCGGGCGCCCAGCACCTGCGGATTGGCCTCCCCATGCCTGGCTCAAGGACCTCCAGCACTCCGCAGTGCGGGCTGCAGGCGACCTCAACGTGGAGCTGCTGCCAGCGCCACAGGCCCCAGGGAAGCCCAGGATCTGCTTCCCAGGCCCAAGAAGGGCAGTTTCGGAAAGTCTTTGGCGTGATGGAAGGCAGCGCCCATCTGGGGCGGGGCTGAGAACTAGGCTGGCGCCGCTGCCTGGTAAGCGGGTACCAAGAGGCCCACGGCCTCCATCAGGAACCAGGTGCTTCTCCAAATCCCGGACTTCAAGGAGCAGCAACGGCGTCAAGCTGGCTGACACCAGGAACACCCAGAAGTCCCCACTCCTGTCCTTCCGCACTCAGGAGTGGGGATGGCCACAGGGACACCATCCGCCCACAAACCACTGGCCTTTGCTGCCATGGTGCGCGGAGATGCGGTCCCCGAGGCCACTTTCGGCCAGGACGCCGGGATCTTATCAGCGGCAGCATCCCGCGCTGACACTCAGTATTGACTTTCCCCAGACATTGCTGGATTTTTTTCCTTTTTAAAACAATTTTGCAGTGGGAGAACAAAAAAGGGCATCCTCAGAGCTTTTACAAAATTCTCCTGGACCTGTGGTTCTATGGTGTTCACCTCTGCGTTTTACTGACCACTAATTGGCCAGAGCTCCTAAGGCCTATAGGGGTCCCCCTGCCCCACCGGGTGCTTTAGACACTCCTGAGGGACATTCATGGCTCAGGAGGATAAAGGTCCTCAGGGGCCTGCTGTGAGGAGGACATGCAGCCCCTCTGCCGCCGCATCTTCCGCCATTCCAGCCTGGAAAGAGAGACCTTGTCCTCCACCCCACAGGCCTTCATGACCTTGGGACCCACTCTTTAGAGGCCACGTGCGTTTCCACTGCCAAAGCAATGACACAGGAGATGGAAAGAAATTCTTGGCCTGGCGCGCTGGCTCACGCCTGTAGTCCCAACACTTTGGGAGGCCAAGGCGGGCGGATCACGAGGTCAGGAGATCGAGACCATCCTGGCTAGCAAGGTGAAACCCCGTCTCTACTAAGAACACACAAGAAGTTGGCGGGCACCTGTAGTCCCAGCTACTTGGGAGGCTGAGGCGGGAGAGTGGCGTGAACCCGGGAGGCAGAGCTTGCAGTGAGCGGAGATCACGCCACTGCACTCCAGCCTGGGCAACAGAGCGACACTACGTCTCAGAAAATAAAAAAAAAATTTTGCCTTCACTATATGTCCAAGTAATTTCTCGATTAGAGCCCAGAGTCGTGGGGCCCACACCGCCAGCTGACACATGAAAGTGTGGCAACGATGTGGTGGTGTCTGTATGGCAGTGTGTCCGCATTTCTGTGTGGTGGTGTATCTGTGTGGCAGAGTGTCTGGTGCTATGTCCATGTGGTGGTGTATCTGCATGGTGATGTCTCCGTGTGACAGTGTTTTGTGTATCTGTGTGACAGTGTCTGTGTGTCCTTGTGTCCACATGGCAGTGTGTGTGGTGGTGTGACGGTATGGAGGTGTGTCCATGTGACAGTGTGGCAGTGTGTGTGGCAGTATCCATATGGCAGTGTGTCGGTGTGTTCATGTGTGTGATGGTGTGTCCATGTGACAGTGTGATGTCTCGTGTCCCTGTGGTAGTGTGACAGTGTGTCCATGTGGTGATGTCTCCGTGTGTCTGTGTCCCTGTGATAGTGTGGTGGTGTGTCAGTGTGATTTCTCCATATGTCTGTGTGTCGTCCATGTGACTATGCCAGTGTGTTCGTGTGACTGTGTGACGGTGTCTCCATGTGGTAATGTCTCCGTGTGTCTGTACATGTGAGTCTGGTCATGTGTCCACGTGGCGGTGTGTCCGTGTAACAATGTGGCGGTGTTCCCTCCCCGGCTTGCGGAGCTAGCATCTTTCTCTCTCAGCCCAGGACGCCTGAAGAGGCCCCAGCTTGAACATAAAGTATTGATATTTTACACATTTGCACATAATTAGAATTTTGAAGCCGTAATTTCAGATAAGGTGTCTAGGACATAACAATATTGATGTAAGAAAGCCATAAGCAATGTTTATTTTCAATCAGATTTACTAAAAAATTTTATTGAACTGGTCAATTTTCTTTGCCAATATTACTGTATTCTTATTTCTAGTAATAGAAGTGTGAAAAAGCATCAAGGAAACTTAAATTGCATTCTCATACTGACTGCATACAATAATTCTGAAAACAGCGGAAGTTATATATATCCCCCATAAGTAAAACATGAGTAACACAACAAATGAAAAACGAATAGGAGACAATTCAAATAATGGCGACCTGTTATTCTCATCTAGTTAAGTACTATTATTTTCTAACAGGAATTTGCTATTTCAAATATATTATCTGAGATGTCTATATATTTATATTTTGAGATACTATACAAATTTGAGCCAATGACATAGAATTTTACAAATCAAGAAGCTTATTCTGGGGCCATTTCTTTTGACGTTTTCTCTAAACTACTAAAGAGGCATTAATGATACATAAATTATATTATCTACATTTACAGCATTTAAAATGTGTTCAGCATGAAATATTAGCTACAGGGGAAGCTAAATAAATTAAACATGGAATAAAGATTTGTCCTTAAATATAATCTACAAGAAGACTTTGATATTTGTTTTTCACAAGTGAAGCATTCTTATAAAGTGTCATAACCTTTTTGGGGAAACTATGGGAAAAAATGGGGAAACTCTGAAGGGTTTTAAGTATCTTACCTGAAGCTACAGACTCCATAACCTCTCTTTACAGGGAGCTCCTGCAGCCCCTACAGAAATGAGTGGCTGAGATTCTTGATTGCACAGCAGAGCTTCTCATCTAAACCCTTTCCCTTTTTAGTGTCTGTGTATCAGTATAAAAGTTCTATAAACTGTAGTTACTTATTTTAATCCCAAAGCACAGTAACAATATACTTCATCCTAGGGTTGGCAGTTTCTCTGAGTGTTTTGTTTAATTATCATTATTATATCTGCAGGATTCCAAAGCGCCTAAAAAGTAAAATATTTTAAAAAGGGGAAAGAGAGAAAGAGGAAGAAAATAAAATTAATAGCCCATTCTGTCACTGTTATTACACACCAGAATACCTTTTTGTTAATCTAATTAAAATTAGTGACATCATTTAACATTTATGTCTTCAACAAAAGTTTGGAATCCTGAAAAAGCCATTTAATTTGCTAATAAATATATTTGAATTGAATTGAAATCCTTATGTATTACTTTAAATAAAGAACACAAGATGAATTATGATGTAGAAAATTCTATCCCTCATTGTCCAAAATCTAATACTTAAATTGAACTTGTTAAATAATATTTTTGTCCAGGCGTGAGGCTTACACCTGGAATCCCAATAGTTTGGGAGGCAAAGGCAAGTGGATTGCTTGAGCTGAGGAGTTGCAGACCAGGCTCGGCAACATGGTGAAACCCAATCTTTACCAAAAAAAAAAAAAAAATTAGCCAGGCATAGTGGCTTGCCTGTAGTCCCAGCTACTCAGGAGGATGAGACGGGAGGATCACCTGAGCCTGGGGAAGCTGGGGCTGCAGTAAGCCATGATTGTGCCACTGTACTCCAGCTTGGGTAACAGACTGAGACCCTGTCTCGAAAGAAGGAAGGAAGGAAGGAAGGAAGGAAGGAAGGAAGGAAGGAAGAGAAAGAAAGGAAGGAAAAAGAAAGAAAGAAAGAAAGAAAAGGAAAGAAAGAGAAAGAAAAAGAAAGAAAAAGAAAGAGAAAGAAAGAAAGAAAGAAAGAAAGAAAGAAAGAAAGAAAGGCAGGCAGGTGAGAGAGCGAGGAAGGAAGGAAGGAAGCAAAGAAGGAAAGAAGGAAGGGAGGAAGAAAAATAATGGTTTTGGTGCCAATAATCTTTGTGGAATTTTGCTTTAATGAAATAGATTTAACTAAGTAGTGACATGATCTGCTTAAGTGTACTGACCCTAGCAATCAGAGGCATCTGAATCCCCACAATGACTTGACACTTACATTTGACAAACATTGATTCTCCTATCATACCTAAGGCATAGTCGGAATTTCAGAATTCCAACTTTCCCTATGCTATTTGAGCACATTGCTTAACATCTCTAAGACTCGATATTTTTACTCTTAAGATACTACTAATAATAGTACATAGTTTATATGATATAATGTGTATCAAAAGCATTATACTTTCAGGCAGACAGCAATTTCTCAATAAATATTTGCTAATGTTTTAGTACAAACAGGAGAATTGGATTATGATACTTATGACACTGTTGATCCTCCTTCTAGAAACATTTGTTTCTAAAACTTGTTTTCAAGTTAGAGCACTATTTTGTGTTCAAATTGAAAATACTGTATGTTCAGATTTTTTAAAAAACAGTATTGCATTAATGTTTTAATAAAAATATTCCTAAATGAGCTTGAGCAAGGAGGATGGGCAGATAAGTAAAATAAGGCTTTGTGGCATAGGAGACATTTGGTGGAAATCTTTCAGCTCAACTAAGATTTGAAAAAAAAAAAAGAGAATTTTTATAAAAAATGTAAAGGCAGGATTTACCCTGATGAGCTTGTGGAGAAAATACAAAGTCTAACGTAATTCAAAAGAGACTAATCAGTCAAAGTAGTTTTGAAGGAAATATCTTGAAGAGAGAGAACATAAAATGAAGATCAGGTATGTAATTATTTTAATAATCTATCCATGAGATAAAAAGCATTGGGATTTTTTTTATTTGTCAAAAAGGGACAATAGTTTTAAGAACCATTCTTTGTTCAGCCTAAAGAGGATTTTACATTTTGAGCCAGTGACATATTGTGCTAAGTAGGATAATATCCTAATTTGTGTCTATATCAACAATTTTGTTCTCAATAAAAACACTTTATTCACACAACTGATGATCATCTGCATTTGATTTAGTGCTGAACTGTCAAAGGGGGGCTAATAAAAACAAAATATTAGAGTTGCAAGTGGCATAAGTGGAAAATAATGATCATACTCATCACTACTGAAATAATAAAACAAAGCAAAAAATAAATAAGAAAAAAATTGACTACATGAACATTTGCTTCTCTCCTAAGAATCAAAACCCTTCGTTTTCTGTGGCAAAAAAGCATCTGGGTCCATGAACCCACGCAAAAGTCTACTGTTTCTGGGAGATAAGAAGCAGCAAAACACATCAGCTTTCCGAGAAGGTTAAGAAACCTCTCATAGCCTACCCTATCCCACCTGAGACCAGGCAAAGGATCACTGCTTCTGGGGGAGGGATGCAAGAAAAATACTTCTCCATCAGGAGAGGAACAAGGATTGTTTTGGGGCCCAGGATTTTGCACTAATGCAGAGTTGTGCTACTGTGGTAAAGGGTTGGAAAATCTCCATCCAGTGACACAGACAAAGGTGCATTGTTCCTATGGAAGAAGAAATAAAATAGTATGTCCTTAGTGTGGGGTTGAAAACTTGCAATGATATAAATCAAAGGTTTTCTACCACTGAGGTGGGAGGAGGGCAAGGTATCATTTCTTCCTCAAAAAACAACACAGATATGAGACAGTTTGATTCCCACTAGAATAAGAGTCAGGAAGTGCTAAAAATACCCCTTCTCTGAGTGTCCAATGATGAAACTGGCTCAAAAATAACATGAATCATCCCTCTGCCCCCAACCTGAATTTTCTGCCTAGTCACACACACACACACACACACACACACACACACACACACACAAAATGATGTTCTACAGTTAGAGAGGAACAAGAAAGTGGAGAGAGACCCTCCTATGACATATGTGGTAAGGACTATGGAAAGATAACTGGAACAGGAGCACTGGAATATGCCCTCCAGAGCCTAAGGCCCCACACAAGGCACATGATATAGCAGCCTGCTGCTGGAGAAATCTGAGTTACGTGGTTCACTGAATGTTTCAGACACCGTGGCAAAAACCAACCTTTGTTCCTGCCCACACTAATAGCATGACACAAACCAAAATGAAACATAAATATAAAACAATCTCAACATAAACAATTATCTCATGATCTACTGATTTTCTACATCTGATGATTTGCATTTTTTAGAAACTGGGAGACACATAAAACCAAGTTAGAAATTTGGGTTATGAGTTATAATATTTTCAAAAGATAAAAAGTCAACAGAATCAAATTCAGAGATAATTCAGATGTTGGAACTAAATGCAACTAATTTAAAATAATAATGATCAAAATGTTAAAGAATCTACTTAAAAAAAGACAACATGTATGGAAAAATGAGGAATTTCAGCAGAGATGGGAACAGTAAAAGGCAAAAGCTAGAAATAAGTGAAAGCATGAGAACAGAAATGAAGAATTACAACAGCAAGCTGATTAGCAGACTGGTCATCAGAGCTAAAGAAAGAAGCAGTAAATTTTATGCTAGGTCAATACAAATTATTTGAATGGTAGCACAAAGGGAGGAAAGAGAAAAACAAAATAAACCAATGAGCCAAGCAAATAAAATACTCCAGTGAATCCAAGAATTCTCTGGTAACATGAAATTAAGTAAAATACAATTAATTGGAATTCCAGGAGAGTAAAAACAGAATGTAAGGGAAGAAAAATTTGAAAAAGATGACTAAGGAGACCAAATAAACTCAAAAAGATCCAAGAAAGATAAATACAAAATTTAAAGAACGCTAGAATAATCACACTAGTCAAACTGCTGAAAACCAACGATTAGCAAAAATCTTGAATTCAGTCACAGAAAAATAGGAACACTGTGTAGAGAGATAAACAGAAATAGCCATTACAGTGAACTGCGTGTCAGCAACTCTACAAGTCAGAAACCAATGATACAAAATTTTTAAATAACTTAAAAAAAGTCAACCCCCAATCTTACATCCATTAACTATATAGTGAAAATAACAATGAAATGAAGACATTTTCAGATTAACACTGCAAGAGTCCCTTGCTAACAGGTCTGCACTAAAATAAATGTCAAAATCATTTCTTGAGGCAAAAGGAATATGGAAGCAGATGAAAGTTGAAACTACACAAAGAAATAAAGAGTGCCAGAGAAGATATAAAGATATATAGCCCAATTATTTTACATTGCTCTAAAGATAATTGTCTTATTTTTTTAAAAAAAGAGTAACTTTATATTATGGAATTCATAATATTTGAGACTATAATGCATGACATAAATAGTATAAAGGAGAGAGAAAACAAAAATATACATTTTAAGGTTTTTATACCATAGTTGGTATAATACAAATTATAGGTTACTATAATAAGCTAGAATAGGTATTGAAATCTCTAGAGAAACAATGAACATTTTCAAAAGATGGTATGTGCATTAATATTTTCATACAACTTCCAGCTTTTGTTTTTCTTCATTTAATTTTATTTATTTATTTATTTATTTATTTTTGAGATGGAGTCTCACCCTGTTGCCCAGGCTGGAGTGCAATGACCTGATCTCAGCTCACTGCAACCTCCACCTCCCAGGTTCCAATGATTCTCCTGCCTCAGCCTCCCAGATAGCTGGGATTACAGGTGCCCACCACCATGCCTAGTTAATTTTTGTATTTTTAGTGGACATGGGGTTTCACCACGTTGGCCTGGCTTGTTTCAAACTCCTGACCTCGTGATCGGCCCACCTCAGCTTCCCAAAGTGCTGGGATTACAGACTTGAGACACTGTGCTAGGCCCCAGCTTTTATTTTTTAAGGTAGTTGTTGTGTTATTACATGTGAAGTAAGGTTATTCTTGAATATCCACGTTTTGAGAATAATGACAAATTAATTTATCTCAACCTAAATAACATTTTATTATTGAATATTTAAATATTTTTATTATTTTTACTTTGTAACAGAAGTCATTCTAACTGGTGTGAGATGGTATCTAATTGATGTTTTGCTTTGCATTCTCTAATGATTAGTGATGGTATGCATGTGTTAATATGTTTGTTGGCCACGTATGTGTTCTTTTGAAAACTGTCTGTTCATGTTCTTTGCCCATTTTTTAATGGGGTTATTTTTTGCTTCTTGATTTGTCTAAGTCTCTTATAGATTCTGGATAATAGGCCTTTGCTGTATGCATAGTGTGTGAATATTTTCTTCCACTCTGTAGGCTGTCTGTTCAATCCCCCTTGAGAGTTTCTCATGCTGTGCAGAAGCAGCTCTTTAGTTTAATTAAATCACACTTCTCAATTTTCGTTTTTCTGGCAATTGCTTTTGAGGACTTACCCATAAATTCATTGCCAAGTGCAATGTCCAGACGAATATTTCCTAGGTTTTCTTCCAGGATTTTTATAGTCAGAGGATGTAATCTTATGCCAACGGGTCTTAATAATCAAATGACTCCACAGTGAGAATCATTACTCTGAAAAATTGATTTTGTTATAATGATGGAAATTTAAATATTTGAAAGTAAAAACACATGCCACCTTTTTCCTAGAACTCTGCAAGGCAAATTGCTGTAAGACAGGCAGAGGAAGCACAATATATATACATATCCAAAATATAATTTGCAGTGAAATAAATGAAAGCAAATTATAAATAAACTTACCTGATTTTACAAACTAACCTTTAAAGGGATTTCTACTAATTTTTCTATTGCCTGCATTGCCCTTTCTTCTAGATCCAATTTATATTTTTGTACTTCACCAATGTGTCTTCACCATTGTGTAGTTTCCATATGTTTTTTAAGATTTAATATTACTTTTTCCAACATCTTTTTATCCTCTTCAAGTTTTTTATATTCCTGTTGTATTTTTTTATAGATAATAACTCCTGTTGAATAACTTTTTAGTCAAATAGACATATTTTGAAGATACAGCTTTCAGCTTTGCTGTAAGATCATCGAACTACATTAATAAAATAATATAGCTTGATAATGAAGTAGGCTGAGAATAATCGCATACAAAACCAATAACAAATTTTGAAATACATTTACTTGCAATAAAATGTTATCTATAATGTAGATTCTTTAAATGTTAACCCGTACTCAGAAATTCAAGAACAAAGTAAAAGCCACCATGAGTCACAAACATATATTCTTTACTCTCATCATCTTTGCCACAGAACTTTTGCACTTGATCTTACTGTTGTTTTTCTGATAATTTGTGTTTTTTCCTTTCTTAAATGGCTCTAAGTTAACTCTTATTAGAAAGTTTCAAACCCCCTTCTCTCATCATCATGCCCCAAAACTTGTCAAAAAAAAGTTTCAGAGATATTATATTGAGTTATTTAGGCCAAAGGCAATAAATGGCTCTTACAATAAGACTTTGAAAATAATGTAATACTCTACAATAGGCATGGTGTATCATGCATATAATCCTAGCACTTTAGGAGACTGTGGCAGAAAGATCCCTTGAGGTCAAACATTTGAGATCAGCCAGAGCAACATAGTGATACCATAATCTCGACAAAAAAAAAAAAAAAAAAAAAAAAAAACGTGAAAAAATTAGCCACGCATGATGCCTTATGCTTGTAGATCCAACTGGTTGGGAGATTAAGGCAAAAGGATGGCTTGGACTCAAGAGTTCAGGGCTGTGGTGAATTATGATCAAACCACGGCACTTCTGCCTCGATGACAAAGACCATATCTCAAAAAAACACAAAATAATCCTATAAATAAGGATTCTAATGCCACAAGCCTTTCCATAGGCTGTAAATGTTTTATGCTAATTTGAATTGCATTTTAAAAAGTAATGATTCTTGGGGTAAAGGCCATAGAATACAGTCCCAAGAAATAAATCCACATATTTACCTTACAAGAAATAAATCCACATTCTTGTGTTACAAGAGCTCCTGAAGGAGACACTAAACGTAGAAAGGAAAAACCAGTACCAGCCACTACAAAAACATATCAAATTGTAAAGACCATTGACACTATAAAGAAACTGCAAACTAATGGGAAAAATAAAAAGCTAGCAACATCATGACAGGATAAATTTCACATGTAACAATACTAAATTTAAATGTAAATGGGCTAAATGCCCCAGTTAAAAGACACAGACTGGCAAGTTGGATAAAGAGTAAAGACCCATTGTTGTCCTGTATTCAGGAGACCCATCTCATGTGCAAAGACACACATAGGCTTAAAATAAAGGGATGGAGGAATATTTACCAAGCAAATGGAAAGCAAAAAAGAGCAGGGTTTGCAATCCTAGTCTCTGATAAAACAGACATTAACTGAAAAAGATCAAGAGAGACAAAGAACAGCACTACAAAGCAGTGCCATCTGCTTTTCCTCAGGCCTCTGCTCCATCAGCCATCAGGTGGCAGCCACTCAGGATGTTGGAACCTGGCCATCCCTGCTTCTTTCAGTGGGTGAGGTTGGTGGCTGCTCCACCTGCTCCAGGCACACCCTTAACAGAGGTGGCTGCTTGCTCTTTAAGCCAGCTTGGCCTTGCCTGGCATGCACAGGCCCCAGGGACCGACATGCTGCTCTGACTGAGACTGTCCTGACTTTGTCAAATTCTACGTCTGGCCTGGGCCACAGAAGCACAAGTCCCCTGGGTGGTACCACTGGCTGCTTTCTGGACTGGAACATAAAGTCCTCCTCAAGATGACCTGTGGTCTGCCTCTTGGCAACCAACACGCCCGCAGTGTCATACGACCCATGAGACATGGACTGAAGGCCCAAAGGGAGTGCACACCATGCTCCAGAGCCAGCTGCTCCTTTCCTCTATATGGCCCCATTTGTAGCACAGTTGTTGCACTGAGGCTTGTGCATGCTGGGCAAGGGCAAGCTGGCTCAAAGGGCAACCAGCTATCTTTGCACGGATGTGCCAGCAGCAGGCAGACCAGCCATCAACCTCACACGCTGCCAGTCAGGCTAAATCAGCTCTTCTACCATAAAGGTAGGGCCACAGTGCCATCTGGTTTTCCTAAGGCCTCTGTTTCTTCAGCCATTAGGTGGCACCCACTCAGGCTTTGGGAACCTGGCTACCCCGGCTTCCTGGAGTGGGTGAGCTGGTGGCTGCTCCACCTGCTCTAGGTGCACCCTTGCAGAGGTGGCTGGTTGCTCTTTGAGCCAGCTTGGCCTTGCCTGGCATGCACAGACCCCAGCTACAGACACGCTACTCCAAGTGAGCTTGTCCTGTCTACGGCCAAATTCTAAGTTTGGCCAGGGCCACAGAAGGCAGAGTCCCGAGGGTGGTAATCCTGGCTGCTTTCTGCACTTGAACATAAAGTCCTTCTCAAGACAGCCTATGGTCTGCCTCTTGGCAACCAAGAAGCCCACAGTGACATAAGACCCTTGAGGCAAGGACTGGAGCCCCCAAAGGCAGCATACACCTTGCTCCTGAGATGGCTGCTCGTTTCCCCTATATGGCTCCATTTGTAGCACAGTAGTAGCACTGAGGCTTGTGCATGCTGGGCAAGGCTAAGAGGGCTCAAAGAGCAACCAGTCACCTCTGCGAGGGTGTGCCAGGAGCTGGGGGCACAGCCACCAACCTCACTCGCTGCAGGACATGGAACATCAGTTCTTCTAACAAGAAGGTAGGGCCAAGGGCCACCTGCTTTTCCTAAGGCCTTTGCTCCATCAGCCATCAGGTGGCAGCCACTCAGGCTGTGGGAACATGGCCATCCACTTCCTTGACTGGGTAAGGTTGGTGGCTGGTCCACCTCCTCCAGACGCACCCCTGCAGAGGTGGCTGGTTGCTCATTGAGCCAGTTTGGCCTTGTCTGGCATGCACAGATTTGAGGTACTAACACGCTGCTCTGAGTGAGCTTGTCCTGCCTTGGCACAAATTCTATGTCTGGCCAGGGCCACAGAAGACCAAGTCCCCTGGATGGTGATCCTGGCTGCTTTCTGCAGTGGAACATAAACTCCTTCTCAAGATGGCCTGTGGTTGGCCTCTTGGCAACCAAGAATCGTGCAGTGGCATAGGAGCCCTGAGGCATGGATTGGAGAGCCGAAGGCAGCGCATACCCTGCTCCTGAGCCTGCTGCTTGTTTCCTCTCTGTGGCTCCATTTGTAGCACAGTTGTTGCACTGAAGCTTGTACATGCCCGGCAAGGCCAAGCTGGCTCAAAGAGCAACCAGCCACCTCTGCAAGGAAGAGCAGGTGCACCAGTTACCAACTACAGGTCGGAGATGGTACATCAGTTCTTCAACCCTAGAGTTGGGCCACAGTGCCATCTGCTTTTCCTAAGGCCACTGCTCCATCAGGAATTAGGTGGCAGCCAAGGCAGGACAAGCACACTCGGAGCAGTGTGTTAGTACCTGGGGCCTGTGCATGCCAGGGAGGCCAAGCTGGCTCAAAGAGCAACCAGACACCTCTGCAAGGTTTGGCCAGGGCTATAGAAGGTCCCCCTGGATGGTAATCCTGGCTGCTTTCTGCACTTGAATATAAAGTCCTCCCCAAGATGGCCTGTGGTCTGCCTCTTGGCAACCAAGAAGCCCGCAGTGCCATGTGACACCTGAGGCATGGACTGGAGCCCCAAAGGCAGGGTACACCCTTCTCCTGAACCTGCTTCTTGTTTCCTCTATATGGCTCCATTTGTGGCAAAGTTGTTGCACTGAAGCTTGTGCATGCCGGGCAAGGACAAGCTGGCTCAAACAGCAACCAGCCACCTCTGCAAAGGTGTAGCAGGAGCCGGTGTACCAGTCACCAATTAGCGTCCGGACATGTACATCACTTCTTCCACCCTAAAGGTAGGGCCACAGTGCCATCTGCTTTTCTTAAGGCCTCTGCTCCATCAGCAATAAGGTGGCAGACACTCAGGCTGTGGGAACCTGGCCATCCCCACTTCCTCGAGCGGGTGAGGTGGTGGATGCTCCGCCTGCACTAGGCGCACCCTTGCAGAGGTGGCTGGTTGCTCTTTGAGCCAGCTTGGCCTTGCCTGGCATGCATAGGCCCCAGCTACTGACACGCTGCTCCGAGTGAGCTTGTCCTGCCTTGGCACAAATTTTAAGTCTCGCCAGGGCCACAGAAGGCTTAGTCCCATGGATGGTAATTTTGGCTGCTTTCTGCACTTGAACGTAAAGTCCTCCTCAAGAAGGCCTGTGGTCCGCCTCTTGGCAACCAAGAAGCCTGCAGTACCATACGACCCGAGGCATGGACTGGAGCCCCAAAGGCAGCGCACACCCTGCTCCTGAGCCTGCTGCTTGTTTCCTCTCTGTGTCTCCATTTGTAGGACAGTTGTTGCACTGAGGCTTGTGCATGCCAGGCAAGGCCAAGCTGGCTCAAAGAGCAACCACCCACCTCTGCAAGGGTATGCCAGGAGCAGGTGCACCAGTCACCAACTAGCGGCCGGACATGGTACATCTTCTTCTACCCTAAAGTTGGGCTACAGCGCCATTTGCTTTTCCTAAGGCCGCTGCTCCATCAGCAGTTAGGTGGCAGCCAAGGCAGGACAAGCTCACTCAGAGCAGCGTGTTAGTACCTGGGGCCTGTGCATGCCAGGGAGGCCGAGCTCGCTCAAAGAGCACCCAGCCACCTCTGCAAGGTCTGGCCAGGGCTACAGAAGGCCCCCCTGGATGGTAATCCTGGCTGCTTTCTGCACTTGAACATAAAGTCCTCCTCAAGATGGCCTGTGGTCTGCCTCTAGGCAACCAAGAAGCCCGCAGTGCTACCCGACCCTTGAGGCATGGACTAGAGCCCCAAAGGCAATGCACAACCTGCTCCTGAGCCTGCTGCTCGTTTCCTCTCTGTGGCTACATTTGTAGCAGAGTAGTTGCACTGAGCTTTGCGCATGCTGGGCAAGGCCAAGCTGGCTCAAAGAGCAACCAGCCACCTCTGCAAGGCTGGGCCAGGAGAAGGTGGACCAGTCACCAACCTCACTTGCTTCAGGACATGGTACATCCGTTCTTCTACTCTAAAGGTAGGTCCAAGAGGCAGACCACAGGCCATCTTGAGGAGGACTTTATGTTCAAGTGCAGAAAGCAGCCAGGATTGCCACCCTGGGAACTCGGCCTGCTGTGGTCCGCAGTGCCATACGAGCTCTGAGGCATGGACTGGTGCCATGTGCTTTATAGAAAAATTAACTTAAGATCCATTAAAGAGCTAAATGTGCCATCTGATTTTCCTCAGGCCTCTGCTCCATCAGCTATCAGGTGGCAGCCACTCAGGCTGTTGCAACCTGGCCATCCCTGCTTCCTTGAGTAGGTGAGCTTGGTGGCTGGTCCAACTGGTCCAGGCCCACCCTTGCACAGGTGGCTGGTGGCTCTTTGAGCCAGCTTGGGCTTCCCTGGCATGCGCACGCCTCAGGAAATAACACGCTGCTCCCAGTGAGTTTGTCCTGCCTTGGCACAAATTCTAAGTCTGGCCAGGGCCACAGAAGGCCGAGTGCCCTGGGTGGCAATCCTGGCTGCTTTCTACACCTGAACGTAAAGTCCTCCTCAAGAGGACCTGTGATCTGCCTCGTGGCAACCAAGAAGCCCACAGTGACATACGATGCCTGAGGCATGGACTGGAGCCCCAAAGGCAGTGCACACCCTGCTCCTGAGCCTGCTGCTCGTTTCTATATGGCTCCATTTGTAGCACAGTTATTGCACTGAAGCTTGGGCATGCCGGCCAAGGCCAAGCTGGCTCAAAAAGCAACCAGTCACCTCTGCAAGGGTGTGCCAGGAGCAAGGGCACGAGCTACCAACTAGCAGCCGGACATGTACATCACTTCTTCTACCCTAAAGGTAGGGCCACAGTGCCATCTGCTTTTCCTAAGGCCTCTGTTCCATCAGCAATTAGGTGGCAGCCAATCAAGCTGTGGGAAGCTGGCCATCCCCACTTCCTTGTGTGGCTGAGGTGCTGGATGCTCTGCCTGCTCTAGGCGCACCCTTGCAGAGGTGGCTGGTTGCTCTTTGAGCCAGCTCGGCCTTGCCTGGCATGCATAGGCCCCAGCGACTGACACGCTGCTCCGAGTGAGCTTGTCCTGCCTTGGCACAAATTCTATGTCTGGCCAGGGCCACAGAAGGCCGAGTCCCCTGGATGGTAATCCTGGCTGCTTTCTGTACTTGAACGTAAAGTCCTCATCAAGACGGCCTGTGGTCTGCCTCTTGGCAACCAAGAAGCCTGCAGTGCCATACGACCCCTGAGGCATGGACTGGAGCCCCAAAGGCAGCGCACACCTGGTTCCTGAGCCTGCTGCTTGTTTCCTCTCTGTGGCTCCATTTGTAGCACAGTTGTTGCACTGAAGCTTGTGCATGCTGGACAAGGCCAAGCGGGCTCAAAGAGCAACCAGCCACCTCTGCAAGGGTGTGCCAGGAGCAGGTGCACCAGTCACCAACTAATGGCCAGACATGGTACATCACTTCTACCCTAAAGGTGGGCCACAGTGCCATCTGCTTTTCCTAAGGCCTCTGCTCCATCAGGAATTAGGTGGCAGTCATGGCAGGACAAGCACACTCGGAGCAGTGTGTTAGCACCTGGGGCCTGTGCATGCCAGGGAGGCCAAGCTGGCTCAAAGAGCAACCAGACACCTCTGCAAGGTCTGGCCAGGGCTATAGAAGGTCCCCCTGGATGGTAATCCTGGCTGCTTTCTGCACTTGAATATAAAGTCCTCCCCAAGATGGCCTGTGGTCTGCCTCTTGGCAACCAAGAAGCCCGCAGTGCCATGTGACACCTGAGGCATGGACTGGAGCCCCAAAGGCAGGGTACACCCTTCTCCTGAACCTGCTTCTTGTTTCCTCTATATGGCTCCATTTGTGGCAAAGTTGTTGCACTGAAACTTGTGCATGCCGGGCAAGGACAAGCTGGCTCAAACAGCAACCAGCCACCTCTGCAAAGGTGTAGCAGGAGCCGGTGTACCAGTCACCAATTAGCGTCCTACCCTAAAGGTAGGGCCACAGTGCCATCTGCTTTTCTTAAGGCCTCTGCTCCATCAGCAATAAGGTGGCAGACACTCGGGCTGTGGGAACCTGGCCATCCCCACTTCCTCGAGCGGGTGAGGTGGTGGATGCTCCGCCTGCACTAGGCGCACCCTTGCAGAGGTGGCTGGTTGCTCTTTGAGCCAGCTTGGCCTTGCCTGGCATGCACAGGCCCCAGCTACTGACACGCTGCTCCGAGTGAGCTTGTCCTGCCTTGGCACAAATTTTAAGTCTCGCCAGGGCCACAGAAGGCTTAGTCCCATGGATGGTAATTTTGGCTGCTTTCTGCACTTGAACGTAAAGTCCTCCTCAAGAAGGCCTGTGGTCCGCCTCTTGGCAACCAAGAAGCCTGCAGTACCGTACGACCCGAGGCATGGACTGGAGCCCCAAAGGCAGTGCACACCCTGCTCCTGAGCCTGCTGCTCGTTTCTATATGGCTCCATTTGTAGCACAGTTGTTGCACTGAAGCTTGGGCATGCTGGCCAAGGCCAAGCTGGCTCAAAAAGCAACCAGTCACCTCTGCAAGGGTGTGCCAGGAGCAAGGGCACGAGCTACCAACTAGCAGCCGGACATGTACATCACTTCTTCTACCCTAAAGGTAGGGCCACAGTGCCATCTGCTTTTCCTAAAGCCTCTGTTCCATCAGCAATTAGGTGGCAGCCAATCAAGCTGTGGGAAGCTGGCCATCCCCACTTCCTTGTGTGGCTGAGGTGCTGGATGCTCTGCCTGCTCTAGGCGCACCCTTGCAGAGGTGGCTGGTTGCTCTTTGAGCCAGCTCGGCCTTGCCTGGCATGCATAGGCCCCAGCGACTGACACGCTGCTCCGAGTGAGCTTGTCCTGCCTTGGCACAAATTCTATGTCTGGCCAGGGCCACAGAAGGCCGAGTCCCCTGGATGGTAATCCTGGCTGCTTTCTGTACTTGAACGTAAAGTCCTCATCAAGACGGCCTGTGGTCTTCCTCTTGGCAACCAAGAAGCCTGCAGTGCCATACGACCCCTGAGGCATGGACTGGAGCCCCAAAGGCAGCGCACACCTGGTTTCTGAGCCTGCTGCTTGTTTCCTCTCTGTGGCTCCATTTGTAGCACAGTTGTTGCACTGAAGCTTGTGCATGCTGGGCAAGGCCAAGCTGGCTCAAAGAGCAACCAGCCACCTCTGCAAGGGTGTGCCAGGAGCAGGTGTACCAGTCACCAACTAACGGCCAGACATGGTACATCACTTCTACCCTAAAGGTGGGCCACAGTGCCATCTGCTTTTCCTAAGGCCACTGCTCCATCAGGAATTAGGTGGCAGCCAAGGCAGGACAAGCACACTCGGAGCAGTGTGTTAGTACCTGGGGCCTGTGCATGCCAGGGAGGCCAAGCTGGCTCAAAGAGCAACCAGACACCTCTGCAAGGTCTGGCCAGGGCTATAGAAGGTCCCCCTGGATGGTAATCCTGGCTGCTTTCTGCACTTGTATATAAAGTCCTCCCCAAGATGGCCTGTGGTCTGCCTCTTGGCAACCAAGAAGCCTGCAGTGCCATGTGACACCTGAGGCATGGACTGGAGCCCCAAAGGCAGGGTACACCCTTCTCCTGAACCTGCTTTTTCTTTCCTCTATATGGCTCCATTTGTGGCAAAGTTGTTGCACTGAAACTTGTGCATGCTGGGCAAGGACAAGCTGGCTCAAAGAGCAACCAGCCACCTCTGCAAAGGTGTAGCAGGAGCCGGTGTACCAGTCACCAATTAGCGTCCGGACATGTACATCACTTCTTCCACCCTAAAGGTAGGGCCACAGTGCCATCTGCTTTTCTTAAGGCCTCTGCTCCATCAGCAATAAGGTGGCAGACACTCAGGCTGTGGGAACCTGGCCATCCCCACTTCCTCGAGCGGGTGAGGTGGTGGATGCTCTGCCTGCACTAGGCGCACCCTTGCAGAGGTGGCTGGTTGCTCTTTGAGCCAGCTTGGCCTTGCCTGGCATGCATAGGCCCCAGCTACTGACACGCTGCTCCGAGTGAGCTTGTCCTGCCTTGGCACAAATTTTAAGTCTCGCCAGGGCCACAGAAGGCTCAGTCCCATGGATGGTAATTTTGGCTGCTTTCTGCACTTGAACGTAAAGTCCTCCTCAAGAAGGCCTGTGGTCCGCCTCTTGGCAACCAAGAAGCCTGCAGTACCATACGACCCGAGGCATGGACTGGAGCCCCAAAGGCAGTGCACACCCTGCTCCTGAGCTTGCTGCTTGTTTCCTCTCTGTGGCTCCATTTGTAGGACAGTTGTTGCACTGAAGCTTGTGCATGCCGGGCAAGGCCAAGCTGGCTCAAAGAGCAACCACCCACCTCTGCAAGGGTATGCCTGGAGCAGGTGCACCAGTCACCATCTAGCGGCCGGACATGGTACATCACTTCTTCTACCCTAAAGGTGGGCTACAGCACCATCTGCTTTTCCTAAGGCCACTGCTCCATCAGCAGTTAGGTGGCAGCCAAGGCAGGACAAGCTCACTCAGAGCAGCGTGTTAGTACCTGGGGCCTGTGCATGCCAGGGAGGCCGAGCTCGCTCAAAGAGCAACCAGCCACCTCTGCAAGGTCTGGCCAGGGCTACAGAAGGCCCCCCTGGATGGTAATCCTGGCTGCGTTCTGCACCTGAACATAAAGTCCTCCTCAAGACGGCCTGTGGTCTGCCTCTAGGCAACCAAGAAGCCCGCAGTGCTACACGACCCCTGAGGCATGGACTAGAGCCCCAAAGGCAATGCACAACCTGCTCCTGAGCCTGCTGCTCGTTTCCTCTCTGTGGCTACATTTGTAGCAGAGTAGTTGCACTGAGCTGTGTGCACGCCAGGCAAAGCCAGGCTGGCTCAAAGAGCAACCAGCCACCTCTGCAAGGCTGGGCCAGGAGAAGGCGGACCAGCCACCAACCTCACTCCCTGCCAGACATGGTACATCCTTTCCTCTACCCTAAATGTAGGGCCAAGAGGCAGACCACAGGCCGTCTTGAGGAGGACTTTATGTTCAAGTGCAGAAAGCAGGCAGGATTGCCACCCAGGGGACTCGGCCTGCTGTGGTCCGCAGTGCCGTACGAACTCTGAGGCATGGACTGGTGCCATGTGCTTTATAGAAATATTAACTTAAGATCCATTAAAGAGTTAAACGTGCCATCTGATTTACCTCAGGCCTCTGCTCCATCAGCCATCAGGTGGCAGCCACTCAGGCTGTTGTAATCTCGCCATCCCTGCTTCCTTGAGTGGGTGAGCTTGGTGGCTGGTCCAACTGGTCCAGGCACACCCTTGCACAGGTGGCTGGTGGCTCTTTGAGCCAGCTTGGCCTTGCCTGCCATGCACAGGCCCCAGGTACTAACACGCTGGTCCAAGTGAGTTTGTCCTGCCTTGGAACAAATTCTAAGTCTGGACAGGGCCACAGAAGGCCGAGTGCCCTGGGTGGCAATCCTGGCTGCTTTCTACACTTGAACATAAAGTCCTCCTCTAGACAGCCTGTGGTCTGCCTCTTGGCAACCAAGAAGCCCACAGTGCCATATGACGCCTGAGGCATGGACTGGAGCCCCAAAGGCAGTGCACACCCTGCTCCTGAGCCTGCTGCTCGTTTTTATATGGCGCCATTTGTAGCACAGTTGTTGCACTGAAGCTTGGGCATGCCGGCCAAGGCCAAGCTGCCTCAAAGAGCAACCAGCCGCCTCTGCAAGGGTGTGCCTTGAGCAGGTGCACCAGTCACCAACTAGCAGCCAGACATGTGCTTCACTTCTTCTACCCTAAAGGTAGGGCCACAGTGCCATCTGCTTTTCCTAAGGCCTCTGCTCCATCAGCAATTAGGTGGCAGCCAATCAAGCTGTGGGAAGCTGGCCATCCCCACTTCCTTCAGTGGGTGAGGTGGTGGATGCTCTGCCTGCTCTAGGCGCACCCTTGAACAGGTGGCTGGTTGCTCTTTGAGCCAGCTTGGCCTTGCCTAGCATGCATAGGCCCCAGCGACTGGCACGCTGCTCCGAGTGAGCTTGTCCTGCCTTGGCACAAATTCTCAGTCTGGCCAGGGCCACAGAAGGCCGAGTCCCCCGGACGGTAATCTTGGCTGCTTTCTGCACTTGAATGTAAAGTCCTCCTCAAGACGGCCTGTGGTCTGCCTCTTGGCAACCAAGAAGCCTGCAGTGCCATATGACCCCTGAGTCATGGACTGGAGCCTGAAAGGCAGCGTACACCCTGCTCCTGATCTTGCTGCTTGTTTCCTCTCTGTGGCTCCATTCATAGCACAGTTGTTGCACTGAGGCTTGTGCAGGCCGAGCAAGGCCAAGCTGGCTCAAAGAGCAACCAGTCAACTCTGCCACGGTGTGCCAGGAACCGGTTCTCCAGCCACCAACCTCACTCGCTCCCGCAAATGGCACATCAGTTCTTCTACCCTAAAGGTAGGACCAAAGGGCCATCTGCTTTTCTGAAATCCTCTGCTCTATCAGCCATCACGTGGCAGCCACTCGGGCTGTGGGAACCAGGCCATGTATTTCCTTGGTTAAGTGAGGTTTGTGGTTGGTCTACCTGCTGCAGGTCCACCCTCGAATAGGTGGCTTGTTGCTTTTTGAGCCAGCTTGCCCTTGCCTGGCATGCACACGCCCGAGCGACTGCCACACAGCTCCGAGTGAGCTTGTCCTGCATTGGCCCAAATTCTAAGTCTGGCCAGGGCCACAGAAGGACAAGTACCCTAGATGGTAATCCTGGCTGCTTTCTGCAGTTGAACATGAAGTCCTTCTCAAAACGGCCTGTGATCTGCCTCTTGGCAACCAAGAAGCTCGCAGTGCCATACCATCCCTGAGGCACGGACTGGAGCCCCAAAGGCAGTGTACACCCTGGTCCTAAGCCTGCTGCTCATTTCCCCTATGTGGCTCCATTTATAGCACAGTTGTTGCACTGAAGCTTGTGCATGCCAGGCAAGGCCAAGCTGCCTCAAAGAGCAACCAGCCACCTCTGTAAGGGTACGCTTGGAGCAGATGGACCAGCCACCAACCTCACCCACTCAAGGAAGCAGGGAATGCGCGTTTGTACCATGCATTTCACTACAAGTATATTTCCCCTGAGGTTGGTGGCCTATGTTTTCTTCTAGGTTTTTTGCTTTTAGGTCTTACATTTAACTCTTTTATCCTTCTTAAGTTAATTTTTGTATATAAAGTGTAAGGAAGTGGCCCAGTTTCGGTTTTCTGCATATGGCTAGCCAGTTTTTCTAACACCATTTATTTATAAAATGGGGAATCCTTTCCCCAGTGCTTACTTTTGTCAGTTTTGTCAAAGATCTTGTGGTTTTACAAGTGTGGTGTCATTTCTGAGGCCTCTGTTCTGTTCCATTGGTCTATATACTTGGTTTTGTACCGGTACCATGCTGTTTACGTTACTGTGGCCTTGTAGAGTAGTTTGAAGTCAGGTACTGTGATGCCTCCAGCTTTGTTCTTTTTGCTTAGGATTGTCTTGGCTATGCGGACTCTTTTTTGATTCCATATGAAATTTAAGGTAGTTTTTCTAATTTTTTGAAAAAAGTCAGTGGTATCTTGATGGGGATAGCACTGAATCTATAAATAACTTTGGGTGGTATGGCATTCAGGCACAGAAATGTCCTTGTGTTAGGCAATACCATTCAGGACACAGGCATGGGCAGAGACCTCATCACTAGAACACCAAAAGCAATGGCAACAAAAGCCAAAATTGACAAATGGGATCTAATTAAGCTAAAGAGTGTCTGCAGAGCAAAACAAACTATCATCAGAGTGAACAGGCAACACACAGAATGGGAGAAAATTTTTGCAATCTATCCATCTGACAAAGGGCTAATATGCAGAATCTACAAAGCACTTAAACAAATTTACAAGAAAATAAACAACCCCATGAAAAAGCGGGCAAATGATATGAACAGACACTTCCCAAAGAAGACATTTATGCAGCCAAAGAACACGTGAAGCAAAGCACATCATCACTGGTCATTAGAGAAATGGAAATCAAAACCACAATGAGATACAATCTCACACCACTTAGAATGGCCATCATTAAAAGATCAGGAAACAACACATGCTGGAGAGGACGTGGAGAAATAAGAATGCTTTTACACTCTTGCTGGGAGTATAAATTATTTCAACCATTGTGGAAGACAGTGTGCTGATTCCTCAAGGATCTACAACTAGAAATACATTTGACCCAGCAATCCCATTACTGGGTATATACTGAAAAAATAATAAATCATTCTAATATAAAGACACATGCACACGTATGTTTACTGCGGCACAGTTCACAACAGCAAAGACTTGGAACCAACCCAAATGCCCATCAGTGACAGACTGGATAATGTGGTATATATACACTACGGAATACTATGAAGCTATAAAAAAGGATGAGTTCATGTCCTTTGCAGGGACATGGATGAAGCTGGAAACCATCATTCTCAGCAAACTAACACAAGAACAGAAACACATGTTCTCACTCATAAGTGGGAGTTGAAAAATGAGAACACATGGACACAGGAAGGGGAATATCACACACCAGGGCCTGTCAGCGTGGGGGGCTAGGAGAGGGATGGCATTAGGAGAAATACCTAATGCAGATCATGGGTTGATGGATGCAGCAAGCCACCATGGCATGTGTATATTATACCTACGTAACAAACCTGTATGTTCTGCACATGTACCCCAGAACTTAAAGTATAATTTTAAAAAAACAAATTTTCTTTTAATTAAGCTTTTATCATAGAACTTGTAAAGAAAATCGTTTTGAGTCTCTTACTACCACATCATAGCTGGGACAAACTGCTGATATTTTAAAAGCAACACAAATATCAAACAGAAAGAACTAGACTTAGGAACCAAACTCAGGTTTCTGTAGTGAACAGGGCAGAATCTTAACATTCGGTCCCCACCATTACTCCTTCAGTTTGGCCTTTGCTAGCAAAAGATGGCCTTGTTATGTAGATGAGACCACTTATATAAAAAAAAAGTTTTAAAAAATTTCCAACTGGATTTTCTGTGTTTTTTTTTTGTTTGTTTTTTGGGTTTTTTTTTTTGTTGTTGTTGTTGTTGTTGTTGTTTTGCCTTTTTTTGTTTTTTTTGGGGGTTTTTTCTTTTGGCTTTTTTGTGTTTTTTGTTTTTGTTTTTCATTTTTTGTGTGTGTTTATTTTTTTATATATTTTTTTTTATTTTTATTTTTTGCAGCCACAGGAGTTTTAGCCATTTCAGATGCCTTGCTCCCCACAATTTGGAAGATTCCTTTGGATTTGACCAAGTCAGGAAGAGATGGGAGAAAAGTGAAACAACAACAATAAAACCCCAAACATAAACAAACAGAAAGAGTTAAGCAAAACAAACAAATGCACAATTCATATGATTACTGAGTGTTCTAATGCTAAGGAGAAATTAAAAGCAGCTGGTGGGTAATCTTACATTTTATTCATTAAGGAAAAATTTTAAGACAAAACTCTAATTCAGCTACTTACCTGGAAATAAGGCTCAGGCTGGTGATCGTTCTCTGCCATCTTAGAAGCTGGAAAAAACTTACACTCACCTTCCCTGTCAGAAGCAAGCTGAAACTCAGGAAAGGAGATGCCTGCTCTCCATCGTCATGGAAGCAGGAAAACTTGCCTTCCTTTTTGGAAATGAGTAAAACTTCAGAAAAGGAGTTGTACAGCAAAATCAACCTTACATCTCAACCAAATTTTGGGAGATCAGGGACTCTCTGCAGGGGAGAAGCTCCACAACCTCAGCAAATTATCCTATTGGTTTGGGCAATTAAAACAGCCCAGGTTGGTATCAAGCAATGAGATTTATCAAAGGTCAGGACCACCTTTGTAATGTCCTTCTCTTTTTTATCTTTATTCGCATAGTCTGTTTTGTCAGAAAGTAGGAGTGCAACACCTGCTTTTTTCTGTTTTCCATTTGCTTGAAATATTTTTCTCCATTCCTTTATTTTGAGCCTATGTATGCCACCGCATGTGAGATGGGTTTCTTGAAGACAGCATACTCCAGTGGGTCTTGGTTCTTTATCCAGCTTGCCCCGTGTCTTTCAATGGGAGCATTTAGCCCATTTTCATTTAAGGTTAGTAATGGTATGTGTGGATTTTATCCTGTCGTCATGCTGTCAGCTGGTTATTTTGCAGACTTAACGTATGTGGTTGGTTTTTAGCATCACTGGACTGCGTAATTCACTGCGTTCTTCACTGCATTTTTGTAGTGGCTGGTGATGGTTTTTTCTTTCCATATTTAGTGCTTCCTTCAGGAGCTCTTGTAAGGTAGATCTGGTGATATTGAATTCCCTCAGCATTTGCTTGTCTGAAAAGGATCTTATTTCTCCTTCACTTATGATGCCTAATTTTGCTGGACATGAAATTATGGGCTGAAATTTCTTTTCTTTAATGGCAGTTGATGTGGGTTGGGGTGTGTGCTGCCCTCCTGTGTGCTGTCAGTGCAAGTAAAGCAAAATCCACCTGTGTAAACACACACAGCAAAGTGATGTAGGAAGTTTCCATATAAAGGGCTGCAGTATGGAGAGGTAATGTGCAGGCTGGTGCGTGGCCGTAGGGGCCACCTTGCTGCAGCTCTCCACTGATATGGTACGGTCCACTAGCACAGAAACTATGGTATGGGCATCTGAGAGTGCCCTGTAAGCAGGTGTGGCCAGGCTGGGGCCCTGGGAGAGGCAAGCAGACTAAGGAGTGCTGAGATCAGACCAGCCCCATCTCATGTGCAAGACTGCCCAGCCTCTAAAGATCAGGTCTCAGAGGAGAACTCTCTCAAAAGTGAATCTCCAGCACAGCACAGCTGCTCTACACAATCGTGGCTAGACTTCTTTTTTAAGCAAGTCCCCTTTTTTAAAAGGGGAACTCTCAGACCTGATGTCTGCTGGGCAATCTTGCACATGAGATGTGGCTGGTCTGACCTCAGCATTCCTAAAGTGCTGGGACAAAGTGTCTCACAAGGGCAAGTGGAGCCTAGAGAGATAGCTGTCCCTGCCCTCTGGGCTCCACATCACCTGACTTGCTGCTCCACCACTTTGCTTGTCTCCTGGGTGCTCCATCCCAGAGACATGTGAGTTAGCAATCACTCAGTGTAATCGGCCCAGGATGGAGGGTCTGTGCTGTGGGCCCAAGCCAGGGTTCCCTGTCTGGTGATGAGTAGTGGAGTGTGTGTGGTACCTATGGGAGATGGATTGGCTTGTTCTTTGGGTCAACTGCAGCTTATTGGAGGTGTTGATATGGCACTTAGGGTCTTTGCTCCCGTGATATATCTTCTGAGGATAGCAAGGGCAGTTCACTGCAAAGGCAGTGGCAGAAAGGATTTCATTTGCTCCTGGAAGCTCTGTCCAAGGAACTGCTGAGTTGCTACTGGCTTGATAGCTCCAGTGGTGGGCTGGCTAGAGACACAGGCCAGGAGGATCTGCCCATCAAGTACAGAGTCTGGCCACTTTTCTGAAGGGCTGCTGTGGAATGCTGGGGGTCCCCTCAAGTCCCTAATTGACTCGTATTTTCCAGGGAAGATGATAGCCTACCCCTTCCTCTGGGAGCTCTGTACCACTGAGGTACGAACCTGTTGCCAATCTGAACACACCAATAAGATGTGGCTGGAGGCAAGTTGAGAAGTCTTACCTAGTCAGGAGGAATAAGAACAGGGACTTGCTTAAAGAAAAAGTCTGGCCACGTTTTTATAGAGCAGCTGTGCTGTGCTGGGGGTTCACTTCAGCCCCTGGCTACCTCAGACACTCTGAAGCCCTAAGGCTGAAATGGCTGGGTCACCCAAACAGCAAAGATGACAATCTGGTCCTCCCCCCGGGAGCTCTGACTCAGGGAGGCCTGAGACCTCTGTCGGCCAGAGAACAGCAGTCAAGGTAGCCAGAGACCCTGGTTGAAAGACTTCACCCACTGACTAGAAATGTGTTCGGGGACTGACTTAAACAAGAGTCTGGCCATGTTTTCGTAGCGTGGCTGTGCTGTGCTGAGGCACCTCTTCTACCCCTTGTCAGCTTGGGCTCTCCAAAGCCTGCAGGCCAGAACGGCTAGTCACCCAAACAGCAAAGGTGGTGGCCTGCCCCTCTCTCCAGGAGCTCTGTCCCAGGAACATTTCAAATTTCCATTGGCCAAGGGATGCTGGTGGGGGTAGCTGGAGGCCCCAGTTGGGAGGTCCTGTCCAGTGAGGTGGAACAGGATCAGGGGCCTGCTTACAGAAGCAGTCTGGCCATGATTTGGTAAAGCAGCTATGCTGTGCTCTGGGATCTCTTCTTTCCCTGGTCAGTTTGTACTCTCCAAAGCCCTCAGGCTGGAATGACTAAGTTGCCCGAACGGGAAAGATGGCGGCCTGCCCCATCTTTTCTCTCAGAGTTTTATCTTGTTTCATGGAACTTAATTTTTAGCCTGTTGATTTTACTGTCTACATTAGACTTGTTGAGAAAGATTCTGTAATCTTTTAGGTTAGACAAATGAGAATTCATTGTCTTCTGTAAATAAACCTGTTCATGTCTTGTTCTCTGGAAAGAAGTCTCTTTCAGCTCTCTGACTTTGGTCACAATCATGTAGAGCAGTAGCCAGTCTACAATGATGTAATTGAATTTCCATTTCCAGTGTTTCGTCGTTGTGTCTTACATTGTCCAGTTCAGAACTGAGCATTTTATTCTCAGTTGTCAACATGCTAAGCTGTCCACTGTACAGAAATACTGTTTTTGTTAATGCTTCCTCATTGAATTTTTTTTAAGGTGTGCACTTTTTTCCAACTCTCCTTAAGTCAGAGTACAGGTAAGCCCTGGCTGCCTCCAGCCACTCTCAGGGAGACCAAAAGCCTTCATACACCCCAAGTTGGGGTACAAAAAAGGGGGGCCGCGAAGGCTGATCATTCTAAATAAAACAAAATTAAAAAGTATTTAGGCAAAGATTCAAAAAATTCTGCATTACGTAATTTGCATGAAAGCAATGCCATCACCTCCCCTGTGTGAATTAGGGAGAGGACTGGGCCATTCTCCTTAGAGAGAAGTGGGGTGGCTTTTAGAAGGGCAAGGGGCTTCCTGAAACAATGCATCTCACAATATTTGGAATGACTATTGAAAAGAAAAACAATGTACGATCAAAGTCCTCAGCCACATTGTAGAACTTTGGGGGAAGCTCACTCCAACCAACTGCTCTCGCCTTCACCATTCCAGTTTTTAAATCCTGAGTCAAGCCAATAAAAAACAAAACAAAAAATGAAATAAGAAAACAATTAAAGCCATACCAATCTCATGTGGCTTTCTGCGAAGTTTGGTTTTGTCAAGAAAGGGTGTAATGCAACTAAGTCAGCGTCCACCTAGAAGCATTTGCGGTGGACAATGGAGGGGCCTGACTCATCATACTCCTGCTTGCTGATCCACATCTGCTGGAAGGTGGACAGCGAGGCCAGGATGGAGCCACCGACCCACACGGAGTACTTGCGCTTGGGAGGAGCAACAATCTTGATCTTCATCGTGCTAGGCGCCAGGGCAGCGATCTCCTTCTGCATCCTGTGGGCAATGCCAGGGTACATGGTGGTGCCACCAGATAGCACTGTGTTGGTGTACAGGTCTTTGTGGATGTCCACATCAGACTTCATGATAGAGTTGAAGGTAGTTTCGTGGATGCCACAGGATTCCATGCCCAGGAAGCAAGGCTGGAAGAGCACCTCGGGGCAGCGGAACCGCTCGTTGCTAATGGTGATGACCTGGCCGTTGGGCAGCTCATAGCTGTTCTCTAGGGAGGAGCTGGAGGCCGCTGTGGCCATCTCCTGCTCGAAGTCCAGGGCAACATAGCACAGCTTCTCTGTGATGTCACGCACGATTTCCTGCTCGGCCATGGTGGTGAAACTATAGCCACGCTCGGTGAGGATCTTCATGAGGTAGTCAGTCAGTTCCCGGCCAGCCAGGTCTAGGCGCAGGGTGGCATGGGGGAGGGCATTCCCCTCATAGATGGGCACAGTGTGGGTGACCCCGTCACCAGAGTCCATCACAATGCCAGTAGTACGGCCAGAGGTGTACAAGGACAGCACGGCTTGGATGGCCACGTACATGGCTGGGGTGTTGAAGGTCTCAAACATGATCTGGGTCATCTTCTCACGGTTGGCCTTGGGGTTCAGGGGTGCCTCGGTCAGCAGGATGGGGTGCTCCTCGGGAGCCACACGCAGCTCATTGTAGAAGGTGTGGTGCCAGATCTTCTCCATGTCGTCCCAGTTGGTGATGATGCCGTGCTCCATGGGGTACTTCAGGGTCAGGATGCCTCTCTTGCTCTGGGCCTCATTGCCCACATAGGACTCCATCTGACGCATGCCCCCCATCATGTTCTGGTGCCTGGGGCACCCCACGATGGAAGGGAAGACAGCCCGGGGGGCATCGTCACCTGCAAAGCCGGCCTTGCACATGCCAGAGCCGTTGTCAATGACGAGCACGGCAGTATCATCATCCATGGTGAGCTCATTCAGTTGTAGACCCTTTAAAAGATTATCATTCTTTTTTTCCACACTTTCAATTTCCTCCAAATATTTCTTTTCTCTTAGCTGGCTCTGATGTTTCATTACGTCTAGTTCCAGTCTTAGCATGACAATTTCTTCCTGCAACGTACTATTTTCATGCAAGAGGTCTTTTTCTTTCTTATAACTAAGAGAAAGCTAAGTAAACAAAGGGAACTTTTAGTTAGCACTCAATAGATTGATATACCATGATTTCTTCTGAAATTAAAAAATAACATCTGTATTTGTATAATGAAAGAATCCCCATAGTGGATATTTAACTGGAAAAAACTGGACAAAACTCCAAACCTAGCAGAGTGTAAATTCCTCCAGTGATTTATTTTTCATAGTCTTTAAATAAAGATTTAAACTTTTAGGAATCTGCTCCTGAATTCCTAAAAGTTTAAATATTTATTTAAAGACTATGAAAAATAAATCACTAGAGGATTTTTAAGAATCTCAGAATTAAAAAAGCCTTTCTCTGAGTTACAAAAAACCCAGAGGCATAAAATATAAGATTAATACATTTGACTATATTTTTAAGATTAGGTTTATACTCTGATATCTAACCTATCAACCACACCATCCTAAGAGCCTTAGCTATGCATATATTTGGACAGAAGCAATTTCTCAAAGTTCTTTAAGTTTCTTTTACTGAAGAACGTTTTACCGATATTCTACATTTCTAATATTTTTATACTCAGTTATAAGAATTATATTTATTCATAACTTAAATCTAAGCACTGTACCCTTCTACACTGTACACATCTGTATCTAAGCATTGCACTCCTACATACAACACTGAACTCATTTAAGATCGTGATTCTTAAAAGGAGAAGTCAAAAAATATATACAAGATGCAGGATTTTCCCCAGGTCTGCTGATGCTACTTCTAGTGATCCTCCACAAAACCACAGTTACTTCTGTGGTGTAAATATATAAATACAAAAGAAGCCTTTTGTTTCAAAATATGAATGGTAAGTAAGATGCAACTTATAGAGATTTTCTTAGAAATCATGAGATTATTTGTCATTGTGATAACTTTTATTTCCTCTTTATAATGTTTGAAACAGTAGTAACTGTGAAATAGGGGAAATATACTCAACTATTTCTCTAGGAACAAAATACTTATCAATAAATTATCACTAAATGTATATCATGGCATGTCATTGTTTTCAAACCTCTTTACATTGAAATGAGAAATTACTTGGAGCAAAGTGTTCCTCTCCACAAAAGTAAGGATGATGACATCCACAATGTGGCCTCTGACCCAACTATACATTTCCTACTTTCCTATCAGTGAAAACCATCAATTGACTTCTCTATTAACATTTTTTAACAAAACTAATGTCCAAAAACTAGAAAATTTGTTTTTAGTAGCAAAACTTAGTTTTGATATGGAAAGATCATCAATTCTTATGAAAAATATCAAATGCTTCTCCTTTGGATTGAGGCCATTGTGAAGGTCACTACTCGACTGTTGCAGGCAAATGGAGTTGAATTAAGAACATGGCTTTCTCCTATATGTACAGATATAGATACATGACAAAGGATATATAGAATATATACACACATATATATGACTTAAAAATCCTTTGTATATCCAAAATACATAGTTTTTAAAAAATATATACACATATAAAAACATTTGAAAATAACTAAATACCTCAGAATTCATTTTCAGCCACTTCTATCTGCTTTTCTTCATGAATCAGAATCTCATCTTGTAATATTCCAGTGTTCTGTTCTTCAGAAAGTTGCTTCTGAGTATCATTTTGTTCATCACTAGAAAAAAAATTAATTTTCATGAAATACTGGAGGTGTCCCCAAAATGATCTACAGGGCAAGATGGCGCCATCAGATGTCATTCACACAATGTATATCTGCACATTATTCCAAGACAAGGCAAAGGGGTCTCACATCTGTTAACCGAGTATCCCCAACCATGCTGGCACCAGGGACTGGTTTTGCGGAAGATAATTTTTCCAGGAACCTGAGGTTTGGGATGGTTCCAGGATGATTCAAGTACATTACATTCATTGTGCACTTTATTTCTATTATTATTAATATATAATGAAATAATTATATAACTCACCAAAATGTAGAATCCGTGGGAGCCCTGAGCTTGCTTTCCTGCGACTAGATGGTCCCATCTGGGGGTGATGGGAGATGGTGACAGATCATAAAGGCATTTGATTCACATAAGGAGTGAACAACCTATATCCCCTGCATGAGCAACTTACAACAGGGTTCAGGTCACACTCTTAGGACGATCTAATGCCACCGCTGATCTGACAGGAGGAGCAGCTCGGGTGGTAATGCGAGCGACAGAGAGTGGCTGCAAACAGATGAAGCTTTGCTTGCTCACCTGCCTCTAACTTCCTGCTGTGTGGCCCAGGTCCTAACAGGCCAGGGACTGGTACTGGTCTATGGCCTATAACTCATACTTTTTGTGTTTATTTTTTGGAAACATTTTCCACTTATATTCTTGATTCCTATGTATTTTATAAACAACTTAGAAATTCCTTTTAGAACAAGACAGGGTCTAATATTATGTTTTTAACATAGGACTTTGAATTAATTTTATCTGTGTATGAGAGAGAGATGTGAAATAAACTCATCGTTAAGCACTTTCCATTTTACTTTTATTTCATGCATATTAAGAATAAAACTGGGAAGTCCTAGGCAAAGCAATTGGGCAAGAGAAATAAAGGGCATCCAAATTGGAAAAGAGGAAGTCAAACTATCTCTTCACCAATGATATTACCTTATACCTAGAAAACCCTGAAGACTCCTACAAAACACTCCTAGATTTGATAAATGAATTCAGTAAAGTCTCAGAGGTTACAAAATGAATGAATACCAATCAGTAGCACCACTACACACCAACTACGACCAAGCTGAGAGTTCATATCAACAATCCAATCCCTTTTACAGTGGCTGCAAAAAAGTGTGAAATACCTAGGAATATGCTCAATGAAAAAGGTGAGTGATCTATATAAAGATAACTGGAAAACACCACCAAAGAAAATAACAGATGACACAAACAAATGAAAATACATCCTATGTTCATGGACTGAAAGAACTGATATAGTGAAAATGACCACAGTGCCCAAAGCAGTCTACATAGTCGATACAATTCCTACCAAAGTACCAATGTCATTCTTCACAGAATTATTTTAAAATGCTGACATTCATGTAGGACCACAAAAGAGCCTGAATAGCAACAGACATACCAAGCAAAAGGAACAAATATGTTGGCATCACGTTACCTGACTTCAAATTATACTCTAAGGCCACAGTAACAGAAACAGCGTGGTACTGGTATAAAAACAGATACATAGATCAACGGAACAGAACAGACAACTCAGAAATAAAGCCGCTACAACCAAGTGATCTCTGAGCAAGCATACAAAAACATACACTGGAGAAAGTACAGGTTATTCAGTAAATAGTGCTGGGAAAAAAAGAGAGCCACATGTGGAGGAATGAAACTGGATCTCTATCTCTCAACATATACAAAAATTAATTCAAGATGGATGAAAGGCCCAAACCTAAGACCTGAAAACATTGGCCTAGGCAAAGAATTTATGATGAAGACCTTAAAGCCAATGCAACAAAAATGAAAATAAATAAGACCTAATTAAACTAAAAACCTTCAGCACAGCAAAAGAAATAATCATCAGAGTAAACCAACAACCTACACAATGGGAAGAAAATTTGAAAATTATGAATCTAACAAAGGACTAGTATCTATAACCTACAAGAAACTCAAACAAATCAACAGGAAAAACACAAATATTTCCATTAGAATGTGGCCAAATTACATGAATAGCCATTTCTCAAAAGAAGATGTACAAACGGTAAACAAGCATATAAAAACATGCGAAATATCTCGAATCATCAGGAAAATGCACAATAAAATGACAGTGAGATATCACCTCGCTGCAGCCAGAATGGCCACTATTAGAAAACAAAAAACAACAGATGTTGTTGTGGATGTGGTGAAAGGAGAACAGTGATACACTGCTGGTGGGAATGCAAATTCATACAAATCTATGGACAACAGTATGGAGAGTTCTCAAAGAACTAAAAATAGATCCTACCATTTTATCCAGCATTCTCATTTCTGGATAGCTACACAAAATAAAAGAAATCGTACTCTCACAAAGACACCCGCACACATATGTTTACTGCAGCACAATTCACAATATGCAAAGATATGGAATCAGCCAGTGTCCATGAACTGATGAATGGAATAAAGAAAATGGAGATATATAAAAATATATATATCTCACATCACATATATATATCACATATACGTATGTGTGTATATACACTCACACATATACGTATGTACATACCCGAGACTGGGTAATTCATACACATACATACCTGAGACTGGATAATTCATAAAGGAAAGAGGATTAATTGATTCACAGTTATGCATGGCTGGGGAGGCCTCAGGAAACTTAACAACCATGGTAGAACGTGAAGGGGAACCAGGAACCTTCTTCATAAGGCGGCAGGAGAGAGAGAATGGAAGGGGAAAGAGCCCCTTATGAAACCGTCAGCTCTTGTGAGAACTCACTCACTATCACAAGAACAGCACGGAGGAAACCGACCCCATGAGCCAATCACCTCCCAGCTGGTCTTTCCTCAACACCTGGGAATTACAATTTGACATGAGATTTGCATAGAAACACAAAGCCAAACTATTGTGGGGGGGTATCCTTATTTTTAAAATATCTAAATGTCATTATTTATAATTCAAAATAATAATTTTTATTAGTGATGATTTTGTTTGAAAATAGAATGATCTGATAAATTTTTTTCACTTTTAACCTATTCAGTCAAAATATATAAAAAGCTAGATTTGCCAGCAGAATATTGTAACTACTTTTTAATGAGATAAAAATGTATAACAACATCACTATTATTGTACAGAGAAAAAAGTGAACATAAAAAGGAATTTAAAAAGACAATATGACAATATGACTATCATATACATACATGAACTGACAGACTAAAATCTCCTACTGGAGATTATGTTAGGACTTGAGCAAAAGCTTCTAAAAATACCCAAAACAAACACAAAACAATTATTTTTAAGAAATAAATTATACAGAGAACTCTTCTGGTTAAGACGATGTATCAAAAAAAAATCTCCGTGAGAGCTATTATTAACCAAGTCATCATAACCAAAACTTTAAATCCACAATTCTGAAATATTAAAAAGTTTCATTTTGAACATAGTTAATGGAAGGCAACTTTTGAACAGAAAATTTCTGTTTAAAGTTGACTCAAACTTAGGAAAGAATTGACCTGTAGCCATGGTAACAAGAAGCCACCCAGAGCCAGTTCAAAATCTAGTCAATCGATCAATGACCACTGGCTTTGCTCACCAACCAATATCAATGTGAGCAGCTTGCTTCTGAAAGACAGCCAAGCAGCAACAGCTGCTTCATCAGAATAGACAGTGCCTGACCAGTATAGTCTTACTATCCGAAGCAAAAGATTCCAACTGTCTTTTTATTTCAAATACCAAAGGTCTATAATCCCTTGGAAACAATTTGTGAGTCCATTACATTTACCACCCTAATATTTTTTTAAATAAAATGCTAGTGGCCGGACATGGTGGCTTACGCCTGTAATCCACCCAGCACTTTGTGAGGATAAGGCGGGTGGATTGCCTGAGGTCAGGAGTTCGAGACCAGCCTGACCAACAGGGTGAAACCCCGTCTCTACTAAAAATACGAAAATTAGCCTGGCATCATGGCACGCGCCTGTAATCCCATCTCCTCAGGTGGCTGAGGCAGGAGAATCACTTGAACCCAGGAGGCGGAGGTTGCAGTGAGCCGAGGTCACGCCACTGCACTGCAGCCTGGGTGACAGAGCAAGACTCTATCTCTAAATAAATAAAATACCAGTAAAGTTTGCAATTCCTCTGACTCATTTTACCATAATTGCAATTATCATGATTACCAGTAAAAGAATAGTGAATAACCACAATATTGGACTTTTCTCCCTAAGTGAAAAAATATTAACATAAAGAATGTAGATTATAAAAAGCCAAAAGAATTTTAAAAATACATATAATTACCAGGCAAAATTGTTAAAATGAACTCTGTCAAACACTTTTTAAGTGAGAATCAATCAAACAATATAGCCAGGATAAACTCCATTCATTCATTTAATACTTATTTATTAGGTAGCTACGTCTGATAGGCTAGGCCTTTTTCTAAGAAGTAAGGATATGGTAATGAACAATAAAAACCCTATTCATGAGAGTGAGATAAACACACAATAACAACAGACAGATAAGGCAAAATACACAGTACATTAGAGGAGAAAAACTAAAGCAGGAAAATGAAATGTTTACCTGTTTGATGGGAAGGGTCGTGGGAAAGTTGGGATGGCCAGAAAAGTCCCTGATGAGAAAGAGGATTTTTCTTTAACACAAAGAAACTTTTATTTGTACATCAAAGACTCTAAAAAATGATGATGTTAACAGAGTTGATGTCAAGACACAAATAGGTTTGAAGTTAGAGATGATAAATCACTGTTTCATTGAACCTTCCCTCAATTACGTTAGAGAGAATCCCTGGTATGCTCCCAATTGAATCTTAAGCCTGATGCGTCCTGGTGATACAATCGTAATTCCTTTCTGTTAGTCCTCGTTATCTCTTTTTCTTTTTCTTCATTTTTCTCTGGACTAGGAATTGTGCTGGTACATGGTTCTTCCTCCGAAAGTGGTTATTCCTTAATGTGTTTCTTTTTACCCTTTTTCTTCTTCTTAGAAAGGGGATTTTAAGTAAAAAACTGAAGTAATGGAAACAGTAAGCTAGAAGAATATCTGGGGAAAAAGCATTCCAGACACGGGGAACTGCTAAGTGCAGAGGTGTGACTGGAGTTTTTAAGCACTAGAGATAGGTAAGGAATAGCAAGAAGTTCAGTGTGGCTGAAACAGAGCAAAAGAGATAAGAAACAGAAGTTTAAGCAGGAGAGATAACATGCCAGATGGTTGACTGCCTTTTAGTTATTAGGAGGAACTCTGACACATACTCAGCATGAAATGGGAGGCAATCAGAAGGGCTGGGGCAGGGGAATGACACAATTTGACTTATGTTTTAAATACATCCACTGAGTTAAGAATTGATGAAAGGGGAAATTTTTAAAAACCAGGACTATCAATTCCCAGTCTATGACACTCATCTAGATGGCAGATGATGGTGGCTCACATGTACAAGATATGACTGGCTTCTGGACATATTCTTCAGGTAGACCTGACGAGATTTACTGAGAGATTAGATGTGAAGTGTCAAGAGAGAGAGAAAGATGAGTCTAGAATGACACCGAGGTTTTTGGCAGAGCAACTGGAAGAGTTGCCATTAACCAAAGTAGGAAAGACTACATGAGGTGTAGATTTCAGGAAGGCCATCAGTAGCCCAATTTTGGATCTGACAAGTGTGTGATACTCAACAGCTAATCAAATAACTATTTATTAGGTAGCTACGTCTGATAGGCTAGGCCTGTCAAGTAGCCAGGCTGATACAGAGATCTGGAATTAAGGAGTGAGATCTGAGTTGGAGACATGCATTTGGAAATCACTAGCATATATACAGTAGAAAAAGTCAGGAAGGGCCAGGCACTGTGGCTCATGCCTGTAATCCCAACACTTCGTGAGGCCAAGGCAGGCAGATCACCTGACATCAGGAGTTTGAGACCAGCCTGGCCAACATGGGGAAACCCTGTCACTACTAAAAATACAAAAATTAGCCAGGTATGGTGTCACACACCTGTAATCCCAGCTACTCAGGAGGCTGAGGCAGGAGAAGCGCTGGAAGCCAGGAGGCAGAGGTTGCAATGAGCCAAGATCGTGCCAATGAACACCAGCCTAGGGGACAAAGCCAGACTTCATCTTAAAAAAAAAAAATGTCATGAGAAAGAAGATTGAGGACTGAGCCATGAGAAACAGCAATGTCCAAAAGGAGAAACATGAGGAGGAGCAAGCAAAACAGACCGTGATGAATGGACTAGAAAGGCAGGAGTAAAAGCCTGAGGGAGTGAGGTCCTGAAAGCCAAGTGAAGACGCCGTTAGGGAGAAGATGCCCTCCATTGGCTCAAATATTGCTGACAGATTAAATAAAATGAGGTGTAAGAAAAAAATGCATAGATTTATTTACAGAAAAAAGTAGTGATAACCTTGAGAAAAACAACTCTGGAGGAGTGCTGAAATTGAAGACTTACTGGCATTGAGATCAAGAGTGAATGGAAAGAAAATTTGAGTTCGTGAGTGTAGACAGTTACTTAAAGGACAACATACTTAACACTCACGACTGAGAATGATGTAATTTTCATCCACAGTCATGGAAAAGTGATAGACAAGAAATAGTTTCCAAATTTTACATAACAGGTGGAGGTTTCAAATGCTATGTAACAATTATATATTTCAAAGGTTATAAAAATTATACACATGTGGCATTAAATGCCAGACCAAGGTTTTAAAGGCCCCTAGAACATTTCTAGATTACATAAGCTGATTATCATTTTGTTCATGCTTATACATAAAGACCAAGAAATACTAAAGGTCTCAACGAGAATATTTCTTGCTTGATAAAAATCAGCCAATTCTAGGACAGTTGACACTCATCAAATATACAAAGTAATTGATCACAGTAAAATACTGAGTTCTATTAACAGGAATAAAGAGAGAGAAATGCAGAAAATAATCTTATTTTATAAATGAAGTTTTTAAAATTATATGAAGTCACTGTGGAAAAATATGGTGAGGTGAATACTCAAATATATCCTTTTCTCAAAGGAAAGATAATGTCACCCATGCAGGACACTTTTACATATAAGAGTCAATGCATTAGCAGCACCTTCCTTTTAGCACAAAGGTCAGCAAATAAGCACCTGTGGGCCAAATCCAGCCCACTGACTGTTTTTGTAAGTCAAGTATCCTGGAACACAGCCATGCTTATTCACTTTACAGTCCATAGTGACAATTAGCTGGGTGTGATGTTGCACACCTGTGGTCCCAGCTAGTAGAGAGGCTGAGGTGGGAGGATCACTAGAGCCCAGAAAGTCGAGGCTGCAGTGATCACACAACCATGATCACACAACTGCACTCCAGCCTGGGAAACAGAGCCAGACCCTGTCTCAAGAAAATAAATATATGTAGTCCACAAAGCCTAAAATATTTACTAATTGGTTCTTTGCAGAAAAAGCTGGCCAACTCTTGGTTTAGTAGATCAAAGATCTTTGATGTATTTTAATAAAAGTTTTACCCAATACACTGAAATGTTTATATTAAATATAGATCCCCATGTACAATCCCTTGGCAATATTCAGACTGAGGGTCCAATATTTCAGCACTCAGGCACTGACAACAAAAATTTAATAATTAGCAATCTTGTTGCTAACAAGGTACAGTGTCAATGTAGCATGTAGCTTCCATTTCCAACACAGCAGATATTACAAGAATTTTAACAAGAACTCCTAAGATGTGTCATTAAACTAAATGCTTTAAATACATTTTAATTGTGAAATAATCAGTATACCCTAGATCTAACCTCATTTTTCAAAAACGGTTGCATAATACATTATTTTGGGGGTATGGACATTGAGCTATTTCCTATTGATAAGGGAGTAGACTAGCTCCAAATTTTTAGTATAATAATGCTATAATAAATGTCCTTATATGTAAGTATGTATGTAACATATCTACACAAATATCCTTTACATGTATTATACATCCTTACTCTGTTATATATCTGTGTGTGTGTGAATATGCTACTAAATTAATGTTCAAAATGTATTTACCAACAGTGTATGAAATGTCTTTTTCAGTGAAACCATTTCCCTTGCAGCAACACAGATGGAGCTGGAGGCCATTATCCTAAGCAAACTAATGCAGGAACAGAAAATCAAATGCCACATATTCTTACTCATTAGTGGGAACTAAACATGAGAACTCATGGACACAAAGAGGAGAATAACAGACACTGGGGCCTACTTGAGGGTGGAGAGTGGCAGGAGGGAGACGACCAAAAAACTACCATTCGAGTATTTTGCTTATTATGTGGCTGATGAAATAATCTGTACCCCAAACCTCCATGATACAGTTTACCTATATAATAAACCTGCACATGTACCCTGAAGCTAAAATAAAAGGTCACTGAAAAGAAAAGAAAATGCCTTTTCCCTCACATTTGCCAATACTGGCTATTTTTCAAATAAATTAATGACTGGAAAAAATGGTAACTCATTGTTTACTGATTTTCATTTTTCTGATTAACAGGCAAGGCTGAATATCCTAGTAAAAGTATAAAATTTGTTCATCATGAATTAGATTCACAGCATAGAGTTATCTCCTGTTCAATGTTGCCACAGACTTACCTGTGATACTGTTCATTCTCAGTGTCAGGAAATTGCTGGCTTTCAGGTGTTCTGCTTTTCCTTGGTGGAATTAATCCATCATCACCATTGTCAGCAGTGGCACCGTTAGGCAGGTTTTCTGGGAATCCCATATGAGTACTTCCGTGCTTCTTCATTTCTTCTTCAACCTTGAATGAAAGTTTGATATTAAGGATAGTTATCCCTTTACTGAATAGAAAGAATATTTTTAATTGATTTTATCACTTGACCAGTTTATCATTATTTTAGTCATTAAAAACATTTCACTCTTAAATTGGATCATATACACAGAACTATTACCATATAATTTTAAGATGTACTTATCATATCACTAATATATCACAGAAATTTTTGTAAAGTTTGCTTCATTTCTGTTTCAATGAGTAAAACAGAATTTTCCAAAATTCAAAAAGGGCCCTCCTTTATTTTGTGCTTTTATTCTCAATCACTCTTCAGAATCTTATATATGTATTTACCCCCATTTGACTGGTGGGAACACATAAATAAAAAGACAAAGATGAAAAATGTGTCTTCATCCCTCTTTACCACCTAGATTTTACATTAAACAGTCATTTTAGAGGATGAGACACCGTGGGGCTTCAGGAATAGAACGGAAGATGGCCCTTTTCTGCACTAAGATATTCTTCTCCCCCACTGCCTTTGAGCATTCTTTTTTCATTAGGTTCCTAGGATATCAAAAACACGAAGGTGCTCACTGAAACATGGGAACCAAAGTTTCCCACAACATAAGGAGCAGAGTGAAACTGCAGAGGTACAATCATGGAATTCCAGAAAATGAGTTGCTCCCCAAATTTCACATTCGATAGCCATAAAATTTTCTAGCTGGAAAATACACAGAATAAAAAATTATCTACTTTAGCCACATTTTCTATTGATAATCAGACTAAAACCAAGAAAGATAAAATTATTGATCCAAAGCTCCTAAAGTGGCATTACTTAGCATTTTACGGCACCATTTGGGACTATTCCATAATAATGAAAGAATATCTCTAGGGTTTGCATCTCTTTAAAATTCAATGTATAGAATTCTGAGTTAAGTATTAAATTTTTCACTGATGATTTATGCTACTTACATGATAGGATCACGTATGCCTACACTTACTACACTTTGTTAAACAACATAATGTAAAAATCTAATTCAACGCAAACATTTGAATATAAAAGTATACCTTTCTATCACCACCCTTATTTATTTCTGGTTCTTGAGACATTTCCTGCAGATGCAAAAACAGAAGGTTAATTTGCTTGTTGTATTTCTGTGATGTCTCCTCTTTTGGAGCACATGTTTTTAAAATAATTTTATTCTTAAGTAATCAAGTATGGACAATAAAAATTAGAAAATAATTAAAATTAAACTTAAAAAATAAATAATAATTAAAATTAAGATTAACTTTTTAATCTATGTTTAGCTACCGCCACATCACTGGCTTCTAACATGTGAAAAATAATTCACCTTAGCCAAAGGGAGAAGAAAAACATGAACCAGCAAACTTAACTTGGTCACTATTTGTTCGGACTAAACTTAATTTGTTATGTGTTAAATCTACCAAAAATGAATCAGCAGATCATTTGTAGTGTTGCAAAACCTTCCTCACTTGAAAAGAGTTTACCTCATGAAACCCTAACTAGTGAGCCCCTACAGTGCACTGAAGTGCTTTTTCAAAAGATTCCTAACTGGATTGTAGGCACACTTTAAATTATTAGGAGCCGAAATCAACACCAAACAGAAAGAGATGCAAATTCTTACATTTTAATTGAAATTATATACTGTAATATGATAGTGTTATGTATCTAGATTATCTGCTTAAGTCCAGTTCTAATATATTCTAATATGTACTAATGACAGTAGATAAAAATTTTAATCTGTCCTGATTTTCTGCAACTGAAATAAATTAGAATGTTATTGTGTTTGTGCACTAACACCAAAGGTCCCATTCTGCAAGATATGATTCCTTTAATAGGCAGTTGGGTTGCTTTTTTGACCTGGTTCCCTCCCTGAACAGAAACACTGAGGTCAATGAGAGACCACAAGGCAGAATATATCTTTAACCTTAGTATCAGTGACTGACAATATAAAACTGCAGATTTTCAATCACTGGCCATGATTACTCTTTAACCATGAATCCAGCTCAGGGACCATCAGTGTTACATTGTTCATAATTCTATTGCTTAATAATATAATCCAATAATTGATGTTACATTCTTCATCATGTTAGGGTGTTGTAAAAATAAAAGAACAAAGTTCTGAAATTTGTTTTTGCCTCTATTCCAAAAGGAAAGATTAGCTATAAGCTAATCAAGAAGGCAGATAAGAATATTTTAAAATAAGAGTATTTTAAATTTCATAGTGGGTTATGTTGAAGTTAAATATCAAATATTAAATTAGAACCTATTGATTCTTTTAATAAGGTTGCTGAATTTATTACAATAAATTTTAAGAATCTATTAAAATATTTTTTTTTTTTTTTTTTTTTTTTTTGACACAGAGTCTTGCTCTGTCACCCAGGCTGGAGCGTAGTGGCAGATCTCGGCTCACTGCAAGCTCCACCCCCCAGGTTCATGGCATTCTCCTGCCTCAGCCTCCTGAGTAGCTGAGACTACAGGTGCCCACCACCACACCCGGCTAAGTTTTTGTATTTTTAGTAGAGACGGGGTTTCATCATCTTAGCCAGGATGGTCTCGATCTCCTGACCTCATGATCCGCCCACCTCAGCCTCTCAAAGTGCTGAGATTACAGGCATGAGCCACCCCCCCAGCCAAAAGATTCTTAAAAAAAGAATCTATTGATTCTCAAAGCCTAGTCTCAAAGGTAATTTCATTTGGACTATCTAATATTATTAAAGCAAAAAAAAAAAAAAAAAAAACGTTAAACCAAAAGTTTAAATTTAAGAGTTTCCATGCCTCTGGCTGGCTATTTTCACTTCCTTTAAGCCTTTGTGACTCTTCCTCTGATGTCAGCTTTAAGTCTTGTTCTGTTGAAAAATCCATATATTCAGTTAAAATCAACCACTTACAACAGTTAAAAACTATTGCCTTTTAAAAACAGATTTAAGACATTTCATTTTATTTCATAAATTGAGTGTTTAATCTTTCATGAAATTGTCATTTACGAAATAATTCTCAAAAACTTCAAAAAACCACTTGGGGAGACATCAGATGTCACCAGATTGAAGACATACACACATGTTAAAAATTCCCTCATAAATTCATCCACCCAACATAAATGAACAAAACCACCATAAACACAGCTTTAAAATACAGTAGAAACAATAAAGTGACACAGTATATTGTTCTCCACTTCCTAATAGTACCTTATAAATGATTTCCAAAATCACTGCTGACACCTTTATTACTGTACAACATTTTCCTAATATCTAAAATGTTTCCCTCCATAATTCTGACAAATTTATTTTAATTTTTTTTTTTTTTTTTAATGAGCCAGGGTCTTGCTCTGTCACCAGGCTGGAATGAAGTGGTGCGATCAGCTCACTGCAACCTCTGACTCCCTGGTTCAAGCGATTCTCCTGCCTCAGTCTCCTGAGTAGCTGTGATTACAGGCAAGCACCACCACACCCAGCTAATTTTTGTATTTTTAGTAGAGATGGGGTTTCACCATTGGACAGGATGGTCTCAATCTCCTGACCTCATTATCCGCCCACCTCAGCCTCCAAAGTGCTGGGATTACAGGCATGAGCCACCACACCCAGCCTTATTTTCATCTTTTGAAACAATTCTATGTGAAGTCTTCCTTGATTCTGCATGTCTTTCCCCAAATAAACAGGTATCTCCTTCCTTGAGGCTGCCTTAGTATTTTACTGATTTTTCTACGGCATCTTTACCCGCTAAGCTGTACATTATTTCTCCATATGTCTGTCCCCTCTGCTCCAAAACTGCAGGGGAGAGTCTTGCACATCATCTTTGTAAAAACAGTCTTTGTTTTACTCAGAAAATTTGTATTGAGTCCTGCTACATACATGCTAGGCATTAGGGTCTAAAAAGAATGAAAATAAAGCATCTCAGGGATGGCTTTTCTAGAACACATGCCCAAGCAGAGACTTAAATATTGAGGCTGGCCAGATTAAAAGGGGTAGAGGGCAGGAAAGGGTGACAGCATGGCCGGCAGCAGCAAGAGCGGGAGCGAGGCCTGAAAGAATGAAAGTATTTGCCTACAACAGAAGGATGAGTGAGTAGGGCACTACCAGCAGCTCAGTAATGCCAGAGAAAGGGCACACAGGGAAAAGGGCTAAAGATGGAGAGTGGGGCAGAAGTCAGATTATGAAAGCCTCATGTGTAATTTTAAGATGCTTGGACATTAATGTTCAAGAGTGGTCCCTGGTCCTATCTGCATTTAGATATAGATCACTTTAAATGCCAAAACCAATATTTGTAGTGAACCATTATTCATTAAGACAAGGTGACTGATAATTCATGTGGACACAACTGAAATGATACTATGTAGCGAATTCTCAATAATTCTCATGAACACTTGGAAAGTCAATTCTATAATAAAGTCATACAAATTATAATAAATCAGTAAAGATTTGGTTTGGGAAGATGCTTTGTAAAGTTATAGTGCATATGAATACAACTAAGAGTCGTGAATTCAGAGCTGTGACAATAAAGCAAAGAAATTACATTGTGTTTGAGTCAGCAATCTTTAGATTTCTATCCAGTCTTCCCATCCAGTCCATAAATTCTAAGTATAATCCTGGTACTCACTCTCAAGTTTACGTTAAATACTATCCCATACAAAAACCACTCTTTCTCTTGTTTTCATTATTTATATGTTGCCTTGTTTAAAGGAAGAACACAAAAATGCCCTGCTAAAGGGATTCTGTTTGGCTGCAGGCAGCAAGAGGGAAAAACACAGAGCATATTTTGCAGAAAATGATTTATTAGAAGTCAGAACTATGACACGAAGCCAAGCAGGGCACTCTAGGACTGAATTTGCTGTGCTGCCTTCATACGCTCCTTGCTCTTTCTTTTCTGGCAGCCGTGACTCACACAGCTCATGGAGAGTATCATTCCCTAAGAGGAACAACTCCGATATTCATCTTTATCTATTAAGTTCATCTGTCCCAATTCTGTGTTCTGTGGATGCTGACTTTCGGTCATGGATGGTGATACACATGGACATTTATCATCCACTTTCAGATTCTTGGATCTTTGACAAGTCTTATTAGTGAGAGTCAGACTACTAGGATGCAAGTTACAAATGCTGATTATCCAATTACCTACTCAAAATATCCTACACGAATATTCCATTAAACATGCATAGAAAAACATTAGTCATTCCTGCTGACCTGCTGTTCTTTGCTCTTCTGTATTCACCAGAAAATTTCCTACTCCTTCCTCACGTCTAGGTTAAATACTAGTGTACAACCTGGAAACCTGTACATCATCTGAGATTTCTCTCTGTCCCCCAAGCCTTTCTCATTCAATTATCACTAAATCATATTGACGATACCTCTCTTCTGCCTCCATTTTGTATTCCCACTGCCACTGGGAACATGAACATTTACAAAATGGCTTTTATTAAAAAAAAAACTGCCAACAATTAATGTTATTTCTTACGGGAAAAAAATTAAGCTAAACAAATGAAAAAAGCATAACACCAAAAAAAAAAAAAAACAAAAACAAAGGCCAACATATTAAAACGAGTAATTGAGATTCCTAACTTTATTTATTTCACTATGGACAGGTGAAAACCTTGTAATACATTGATGCTACTCCAAGGATGTATGACAAGGAAACCATAGCTGACTACTGCAAAAGCTTCCTTTGTCTCCTGGTTTCTTTACATAGTAAAGAACCTTCCATCAATCCCAGCAAACTATAGGCTACAGACTAAATCCAATCTGCATTATGGCATTGTGAGTAAAGTTTTATAGGAGCTCAGTCATGCCTGTTTGCTTACATATAATTCTGGTGGCTTTCACACTACAACAGCAGACAACAGCAGGGTTAAGAAGACATGACAGAGACCACATAGTCTAAAATATTTCCCACCTAGTCCTTTACAGAAAAAGCTTTCTAACCCGTTTTACACCATAACCAGAAGCCTTAATACTCAAATTTAATCTTGTGACTCCCCTGCTCAAATTTCTCCAATGAGCCCCTGCAGCACACATTGTTGGCTCCCTATCAATAGCCATTCCTTATTCTTTCTTGCAGAAGAAACACAAGTCTATTGGGATATTTATTATCCCAATCCCCCTCCTCAGCCTCAGAAAGAGAAATGTTTATTCTAAGCTAATCATGTATTTTCCTTCCCAGTGCCTGGTTTGGGAATGAGCAGGTACTCTGACCTAGCCAATGAAATATTACAGGAAGCCCTTGCATGCTTCTAAGTTTTCTCCCAGTTACGTGAATAAAACACTGCCAACAGCACAGCTGAAAGAGGGACAAGTGGGATCCTAGGATATCAATGAACAAACAAAACAACTCTGGTTCCTACTGTTTTAGCCACCGCTCATCTAGTATTTGCAGTCCAAAGCATTCTACCTGGTAAACTTCCCATGGCCCATGGGGTAAAACCTACTCATTTCTGTAGTATTAAAAAGTCTATCATGAACTTGCCTTAGCTAAGTATTCACCTCATTCCCAACCTCTCGTATCTCACACTTTTGGTATTAGCAAAAGTGAATTGCTCAGAATCCCTGCAAAGTTCACTCAAGCATCTTGTCTTTTGCACTTGCTGCTCTTTCTGCCAAACAGGCAATCTCATTAGATGTTCCTTCTGGCAAACACACAACCTCGTTGCATGTTCCTTCTGCCAAACATTATTCTTCTGCTTCTTTACCTAGAAAAATTCTTCTCTCTCTGCATGCTTACCTTAAATCATACCTACTTTTTTCCAAAATTTTCATTCCTCATCACATATGTCTGGCACATAATCAATATATAATAAATCATAATTATAAGCTTCCAGTGGGCATCTAGCACACAGTAAGCACTGAATAAAGTAGTAAAATAATGAAAATGACAATGATAATAACAAGCTCCTGTCTCTACTTTTAATTGTTTGTGCTCTGTAGCATTAGAAAAAATGGCTAGTATCTAAAAGACATTTGATAGTTATCTGTTAAGTGGACAAGTGAAAATAGAAATGTTTTCTTTGTAAATTCTGTTGAAAAAGCACAGAAATGAAATGGAGACAGCTCTATTATGAGCACCTTAAAGATGAAAACTACATCTATTCCATTTTTGTCTCCTGCAACTTATAAAACCTAACTTACAGAAGCTCTTTGATAAATAGATGGCTAAATTAAAGGTGTCCTCATACAGTTTGGACTATACAATGTATTAGGTGTCTACAATCAGGTAGCATACTAGCATTTTTGTTAGTGTGAAACATTTTTCTACTTTTATGATAATCTGCTGAGCCTAGAGTTGGGCAATTTGCATATTTATTATGACACTCTTTTGGCAAATGGTAGCAGAGCATCTTGTTCTAACAAAATTACTGTTATCATGACAATTAACCAGCAGGTAGAAGAACACATCTTGTTCCAAAAAAGTCAATATATCTCTTTCCAACTTCAAATGAGGAGGAATGAAGTCAGTAATAGTGAGACCTTATTGGGACAAGCATGTGTAACATGACCTGTGCTTCAGTGTTCTTTTGTGATCAAAAATTCCTTACTTTTAGTTTTTTATCTATGGTAGAACCACCCAGAGCAGGGGTCCTCAACTCCCAGGCCACAGACTCATACCAGTCCACGGACTATTATGAACCACACCACACAGGAGGAGGTGAGCACTAGGCAAGCCAAGGAAGCTTCACCTGTACTTACAGCCACACGCCATGGCTCATATTACAGCCTGAACTCTGCCTCCACTCAGATCAGTGATAACATTAGAAACTCATTGGAGCACGAACCCTGTTGTGAACTGCCTATCCGAAGGATCTAGGTTGTGTGCTTCGTATGAGAATCTAATGCCAGATGATCTATCATTGTCTCACTTTGCCCCCAGATAAGACCATCTAGTTGCAGAAAAATAAGCTCAGAGCTTCCACTGATTCTACATTATGGTAAGTTGTATAATTATTTCATTATATATTACAATGTAATAATAATATAAAATAGCACAATAAATGTAACATGATTGAATAATTCTGAAACCATCCCCACCTTTCCCCAGCCCATGGAAAGATTGTCTTCCACAAAACCGGTCCCTGGTGCCAAAAAGGTTGGGGAAAACTAACCTAAAGTAATTCACTGTTATAAGTCTTACCTGGATTGCTGTTTTCAGAAGAGACTTTTAGTATCTGTTTTTCTTTGTAGTCAGAAAGTAACTGGCAAATTCTATGTATAAAATTGTAATAAACCAAATTACTATTTTAATACTGATATAAAAAATACTTACCAAATGTGAAATTCTTAACAGTATTTCAAACAATATCAGAATATCAGAACTTAACAGTATTATCCCATCCACTTATGAGTACATTCTGCAAACTTCTCTTTAAGCTTCTAATTAAAGAAGAAAAAAATGTAGGGTGAAATACTCATAAATCGAGGGCATGTGACCCAGTAAATTAGGTTGCATTAACCTGACATAATAGAAAGTGTCCCAACTCTGCATAAGTCCTAGCTCCATAATGAACAGCTATTTGTTCTTGGACAACTTGCTTCTCTTAGGCTCAATGTCTTCTTCAACAAAGTGAGGACTTTGCTGCCTTATTTCCCTAGGTTCCGATAAAAATTTAATGAGATCACATTTTTTAAATGCTGAGAGAAATAGTAAAGCAATGGAATAATCTCTTCCTAAACTTTATGACTAAAATTATCTTGGAATCACAAATAAAACCCAATGCGTATTTTGTTCATAGGTTCTAATATGCAAATGTTGTAGTTTTCAGAAAATGTTATTAAGTCCTAATTTTGCCTCTTAGTTGTCCTACTCTTTATGGCTTATATTTCAGGGCATCTCAACTATGTCATAGTTTGTAACTAAATGTATTCCTAAATATCTCATTAAAGTAGATAATGTGATTGTCCACTATTACGGAGTTGATCAATCACACCAAGGGCAGAAAAACCAATGGATGTTAAGACCTGGTTTGGACCAATGAGCCTTCTCTACAGACTCAAACTCTGAGCCCGCAGATGTTGGTTACAATGATGCTTTATATTGATGTTCAATTCCGGCTGACATGGGAGACCAAAAGTCTACTTTTATTTTTTTTAGTTTCCATGAAGAAGTAGCAAGCTGACATTCTGTCATTTTCGACATACATACTAACAATATATTTTGCACCAAACATGTTATTCAGCTCTAAGTCATCTCATAGACCATCTTACATGACTATTTTTGCAGCGCAAATCACAATTTCAATATTTGGGTGGCACCCATTTCGCTTTGATTCACACTGTTTCCTTAGAGCTAGTCAGCAAATAGTCAAATGACCTTCCAGTGACTGCACAAAATATGGAATGCTTCAAAGATCTGTGCTGCCTCCTTATGCAGAAGCCACGCTAACTTTCTCCGTATTGTTCTAATTTTAGGATATGTGCCGCCGAAGCAAGCACAAAGCCCTACTTTTACACATGCCTAGTGATGCTTCATGGACAAGGCTTGGCTCTGTTGAGTCCAACTAACCTACCTGAGATTCTGAGATTTCTCTTCAATGGCTTCCTGTGAGCTAGAGTTTGAAAATATCTTAAAATCTTGAGCTAGAGATGGAAGTAGCTTGGACGATTTTCATTATCATGTAAATCGGGTCACTCAAGGGGCCAACCACAGCTGGGAGCCACTGCTCAGGGGAAGGTTCATATGGGACTTTCTACTGCCCAAGGTTCTATACAGGATATAAAGGTGCCTCACAGTATAGATCTGGTAGCAAAGAAGAAGAAACAAACACTGATCTCTTTCTGCCACCCCTCTGACCCTTTGGAACTCCTCTGACCCTTTAGAACAAGCCTACCTAATATCTGCTAGAGAAAAGACCAACAACGGCCTCAAAGGATCTCTTACCATGAAGGTCTCAGCTAATTCTTGGCTAAGATGTGGGTTCCACATTAGGTTCTGAATATGGGGGGAAGGGTCAATTTGCTCATTTTGTGTGTGGATAAAGTCAGGATGCCCAGGGGCCAGAGCAGGGGGCTGCTGCTTTGGGAACAATGGCTGAGCATATAACCATAGGTATGGGAACAAAAAACATCAAAGTCACTGTATCAATTGCCATGAAGACTCGAGGGACCTGAATCTACCGATTCATCTTAAGGCAGCAGGACCAGTTTGAGTGGCAACAATGCAGCAGCAGAATCAATGGAAACAACAGAATGATTGCAATGTCCTTTTTTTTCTCCTCCTTCTGACTTGATAAAAGGGACCGTCTTCCTTGGATTTAGTGAACCCCTTTGGTTCCTGAAAAATTCAAGGAGTATCTAGGACATAGTCCCCAGAAGACAGTACAAGACTTTCTGATAAACTGGACATTTCAAGACCCAAATAACTAATCAGAAAAATCAAAGATGTGATACTATTTTTTATCCCATGCATAGGTGCTACACTTGGATCAAATGAACAATGTTGGGATCTCTATGGATAAAGGTCTTAAAAGTCCTGAGATAAAGAATCCTGCACCCACTGGTACTTCTAACTTGTCTTGTTTTTTGTCTGATTTCTGGCTGATGCAGGGGACTAACTCACTGCCACGCGAAAACTACCTGAACTGAACTATGACATCTCACCTGATATGTAAGATGTAACTGTTATAATTATTTTAAACCTCAATTTAGCATTAACTAGCCTTTTAATGTAAACACTTACACATTATGACGACTAGAAACAGCATACTCTCTGGCCGTCTGTCCAGATAGATCTTGAGAAGATACATCAATGTTTTGCTCAAGTAGAAGGCTGACTATACTTGCCGATCCACAACATACAGCAAGTATGAGAACAGTTCTAAAATGACAGAGATAGGAACAGTAATAAAGTTATTTTAAAAGCTAATTTGATATACTTTACCAATTTAACATCTTGCCTGTCCGTGCAGAATCAAACATTTACATGCACTAAAAGACATAAGCATCTTCAGTGCTCAAGTGTTCATCTTTGTAAAATACCACCAAGGTTGAAAGGAAGGGACAAAAAAAAAAAAAACCCTCTTATCTCAGTGGGGTATTGCATAGCAGAAGCTACTAATTTAAAGTCCTTTGATGGACAAGAAACAATATTAGGGCCACTTATCTGAAATGAACAAAGATTTAAGTGAAGATTTCATCACAGCTTCCCTAGACTGATATGCTGTAATAGAAAATCAGCTAGGGGGTAAAATAAATAAGAGCTCTCTGCATGCTGAAAGCAAGTAAGATTAATAATAATGGTAAGAATAGTAGTCACAGGAGTTTCAGTTAATGATGCCAATAAGCATGTGCTAGGCACTGAATTAAATGCCACATATATCTTTCTTATGCACAGCAAACTTTGAAGGATATATTCTCCTACTTTTCATATATGACAACATATTTGGTGGTAAATAACGTTCCCAAGGTCACACACCTAGCAAGTAAGAAAGTTAGGAATTAAAACCAGTATTGTGTGAATCTAAAGCCTAACTTTTTTCTCTTTATCACACCACTACGGCTTGTCTTCATTAAAGGAAAAGTGTATCCACTTAAAACTATCTTCACTCCCTCTCTCCATACCAATTAAAAATAAAAACATCAAAATACACTGGAAATAAAAAAGGAAAAAAGCTGTTGAACCCACAGTACGTGGGAACAGCAATTAATTGTCATGCAGGGATAAGCTAACATTAATATTCTTCAAAGAAAGCAACTTAAGGCAGAATCATTGAAAAGACAAAAGGATTTTCAACCCCTATTTATGGTTAATACAGCGTATTTAGTGGAAAAGCATGTAAGACACAGGTTAAAAACTATTAGAAAGGGTTAAGAAGTTCAATACTGAGTCATAAAGTAAACTAAAATTAAAGTTCAAACTTCATAAAATATGAAATCCCTTTAGCTAACATAAGATCATATAACCAAAAACATTACATAGCAAATAACATCAGTCAATATAATAAAAGATGAATCCTACTAAAACTTTTATGTTGCCCAGTCCAAATAATTGTTTTTCTACCGAACTGATTTGTGTTCATACTGATCACTATATCCCAATAAGTATACATTAATCTTATTAATTTAATATTTATGACTTGAGTGACTGCTATCCATCTAGAACACACAGATTAAAAGAAAGAACTATACCTTCCATATCTATCCAGTGCATTTAAATTTGCTTTTTTCTTGATTAAGAATTTCACCACTTGCTGTTTTTGCTCATGTACACCAAGTAACAGTGGTGTGAGGCCATGCTGTAAAACAATATAAAGCAAAAACGTATGTAATTCAAAAAAGTACATATTCCTCAACCGAAGTGGAAACTTTATATAAGATCTTATGGACTTACATGCATAGAAAGTAAATAAAATGTAGTCGCTTCCTTCTCACTCTTCTGTGCTTTCCCACACGCTGCTCCTTCCCTTGGAAACACCCCTTCTCTGCCTCACCACAGTAACTCTACTCATCTCAAAAACTCACTTTAAACATTTACTGCTTCCAAGGCTCTTTGCTTCTAACCCAGCATTTGATATGGTATTATTGGATGGTAATATTTTTCCCATCTAAACAAAGAGCTCCTTGAGGGCAGGGGTTGTATCTTTTGTTTCTATATCCTCAACCCTAAGATAAATTGCGTATAAAGCAAGAATTTGCATGTAAAATATTTCTTTAGTTTCATGTTTTACTGAAAGTTCAACCTCCAACATGCAACAAAAATTGCTATTAAAACTCACACTGCCCATCTGAAAAAATTTTCCAACATTTATTTATTTAAAATCTATTTATATTTAATTTTCCCAGATTGTTACTAAATAATCAGTTCATAGGACTACTGAAACTAAATTAACAGAATTCCTATCTGCATTCTTAATAACTCCATGGTTTTAAGTGTGTAAAACTGCCATGCTGATTATGCCAAAGCTCTACATACTTAAAGAGACACACTGGACAGTCCACAATACAGCTTCAATTGATAAAAAACAGTTTAGAATTTGCTTAATTCCAATTGATAAAACTCTGCTCTTAATGACTTACTGACCTAAGCACTTGAATGACTGAACAAAGAGACAAAAAATCCTGAGAGGGCCATCCTCTACTTATTGAAAGACTGCTCACAGCAAACTACTAAAGACCTTCTGAATGGCAGTGAATAACTGATGGTAGAAAGGAAAATATATTATTCTGTAACCTGATATGTAACCTGATAGATACTACCAATAATATTCATTTTAATGTCTCAACCACAGAGATAAAAGTCAGACTAGGCCAGGAATGGTGGCTCACACCTGTAATCCTAGCACTTTGGGAGGCTGAGGGGGATGAATTGCTTGAGCCCAGGAGTTCAAGACCAGCCTGAGAAACATGGCAAAAACCTCATCTCTACTAAAAAAAAATAAAAATAAAAATAAAAATAAAAAGAAAGAAAGAAAAAAAAAACTGAGGTTGAGGTTGGAGGACCATCTGAGCTTCGGGAGGTCGAGGTTGCAGTGAGCTGTGATCACACCACTGCACTCCAGCCTGGGAAACAGAGTGAGACTCAATCTAAAAAAAAAAAAAAAAGTCAGATTAATGTTATTGGAAAGGAAAGATTTAAAGAAATCAGCACATATCCAACTCCAACTCTTCTAGAGATACCTTAAGTTTCTGAGATATAAGAATTTATATATTACATTTATGTATTCAGTGGTTCTTAAGCAGGAGTGTATCCAGATTTTGAGAAAATTGTTGCTGTTGTTATTGTTGCTGTCGTTGTTAGAGACAGGGGCTCATTATGTTGACAAGGCTAGACTCGAACACCTGAGCTCAAGCAATCCTCCCACCTCAGCCTCCCTAACAGTTGGGACTACAGCCATGCACCAACATGCCTGGCTTCAAGGAAACATTTTTAAATATACATATCCAAGCTTTATTAGACTTACTGTATCAAAATCTTCAGGAATAAGCCTAGACTTGTTGATTATTTAAAAATTTTCCTCAGGTTACTGGGATGCACAATTCTAGCTGAAAGCTAGTACAATAGACAATTACTTCAGTCTCATTTCTCACCACCCACATAACCAATTCCCTTTCTTATTTGAAGATTTGGCCAAAAAGAGTAAAGAGTAGGAGAGAGACCCATTTGCTGAAAACACCACATAATTTTTCCCGGTAACACAACAGGATCTAGTCAACTCAAAATCCAGCTTGATCTTGTTACTCATTTATCTTCCACCTTCCCATCCAGACACTCTAGATTTGAAAGCAGAGCTGAGGCTCTAATTGGCCACTTCTACCAGAAGAGGATACTAAGTCAGTTAATTACTTGATATTCCCCCTGCTCAAGGGTTTCCCCTTACATTACCCACCTATTCACTGCCAATCTGGTTCCTCAGAGGCCTCCTAAAATTCATCTCTAGGCAGTTTACAACCCACTAACTCCCTCTCCCAAACTGAAAACTGTCATTCTCTAAAATCAAAGAGAACTTTGTCTCACCATACAAAGGAAATAAATAAATGAACAACAACAACAACACCACACACACACAACCTCTTCATGGTCTTTTCCCTCTATTGCCTAATTTCCAAATTGGCCCTGATATTTCTGACTGCTCTCTTTTTCCCTTTCCACTTCTGCCTCATGAGCAATCAGAAATATCTTAAGCCTTGCCACTGAGAGGTGCATCACCTCGTATCTATTACTGTTTTTTAGGAACTTGCCAAAGAAGCAGGATCTCTATTCACTGAGACATGTTTAAGTTTTCTTGGAGTTTTCATGTAAAACCTATTTCAGGGCAAATTTTGCCATTTTACATTCATTAGGGGAAAAGAATCCTAGGAGGGAAAAACTGAAAAATAGTAAGTATTACCTTTTACAAATTCAGTGTTTTCAAAAAAAAGTATTTACCGCAAGTGCATTAAAAAAAAAAACTGTACCCTCTAATGCTTCTTTGAAAGTAACAATATTTAAAATAAAATCTTAGATAATTAGGTCATTTCAAAATATTTTCATTCAGGTTATGCTTGAGCTTCCAAATATGGAAAACTGGCCCTTACACAGGTCAATGTTAACACGAATGCATTTCAGTATTTTGAAGATAAAATTGGTAGATCTATACCTTGTTTTTTGATTCGATATCAGCACCGTATAAGAGCAGTGCTTTGGCCATTAATTTATCTTCATTGTAGATAGCATAGTGTAGAGCGGTATTTCCATACTCATCTGGAATATTCGGATCAGTGCCATGTTCCAGCAACATTAACGCACATTCATCTTCCTGGCATTGTACGGCCTGTCAGTATTACACCATAAACAAATTACAAATCCTAGGATTTCAAAATAACATTCCACAGCTTTCACCAACTAGTTATATTTAAAGGAGAAAACTCATTTTTATGCTATGTATTGAAATCAAACCCACTTCACGCTGACATAGTTGGCTACTGCATACCTTTGTCAGAGCTGTCCTCTTTTTGTTGTCAAGGATATTAAGTTGACATCGTCTGTCCAGCAGGAGTTTTACTACTTCTGAATTTCCATTGGCAGAGGCCAGATGTAGAGCAGTCCTATGAGGGTGAGAAGACTTTTTAGGAAATTGTAGTGCACTAGCTACAGCCATATCAATGATACACATAATCGCAAACACTGAATAGCCTGCTATTACTGTGCCTTCAAAACAAACATTTAACTTTCCCATGAAAAAAGCACACGATTTATTATCTCTCATTACTCGCTGTATTAATGAAAGAGCAGCCTATATGAATACAAAGAGCATAGCCCTTGGATGACATTCAACTTGGGCTGGAATCCTACTTGAAGCTCTGTCACTTTCTGGCTGTTGCTTAGCCTTTTGGGGTCTCAGTTTCCTCATCAATAAAATAGGAATGAAAATAGTAGCTTTCTCACAGGAAACCACTGTAATGCTTAAATGAGACTCGGCACAAAAGATACAGAATAGTTCCTAACACAAATAACAGCTCAATAATTGTTAGATATTATGATTTTTACTAATACCACTAAAGACAACATTTGAATTAAGTGAGATGATACAATTATACCTACACTTTCAGGTGTGTTTTAAATATTACAGCTAACATTGTATTTTAGTGATTCTGAGATGATCATTGTCTCCATGTTGTCTCCACTGAAATACCACTTACAATTCATGATTTACTATAATTGGCGGCATTTAAATAATTCTCTTATTGAGACATAAAATAATGGGGCATCGTACAATCTCTGGTGCCTTACATTAAGTAGAATATGTTATAATGTAACAGGTCTGGGGCGGTTCCAGTCAGATGACCAGCATTTAAATTTTAGTTCTTAAAAGTACTATGGAATAAGAGAGCTGAAGTGAAAACAAAAACAAATTTCTAAAATAAACCAATTCTTACTTTGGTTTTCAATAAACTTTAAGCCAAACAAAACTTGGAATTGAAATGAATAGCATGGGCTCATTTTTTTCAATACTTAGATTTATACAATGTATGTACATCAGATATTTCCAATCATTCATATTAGGATTTAAGACTGTTATAAATTTTCTCTTTTTAAAATGGATTTATGAAACTATTTGTGGAGCTTTTTTCAACTTTTACATTCAGGGGTACATGTGCGGGATGTGCAGGTTTGTTACATAGGTAAACGTGCACCAACGGGGTTGGTTGTACAGATTATTTCATTACCCAGGTGTTAAGCCCAGTACCCGTTCATTCTATTTCCTGCTTCTTTCCCTCCTCCCACCCTCCACCCTCTGATAGGCCCCAGTGTGTGTTGCTTCCCTCTAGGTATCTGTGTGTTGACATCATTTAGCTCCCACCTATAAGTGAGAACATACAGTATTTGGTTTTCTCTTCCTATGTTAGTTTGCTAAGGATAATGGCTTTCAACACCATCCATGTTCCTGCAAAGGACAGGCTCTCGTTCCTTCTTTTATGGCTGCATAGTATTCCATGCTGTTTATGTACCACATTTTAGTTCTTAAAACAACTAAAACAGTCTTTATCCAAGACTTATACATTTTCAAAAGGGCAGTTAAGGGTTGTCTTTTACTATTTTCTACCTTCAGAAATGCTTCTGTTTGAAAGGAGGGAGGAGAAGCTTCAATTGAGATTAAGTCCTAATGCCCCAATTTTAAATCTCTCAGCTTGCTCAAGCCCAGCAGGCAAACATAAATGTTTTCAAAGATGGAAGGATCCTGAGAGATAGTAGAATATGCCTGCCCCATAATAGGTGTCTGGCTTATGTCTGATGACTAAACGGATTGAAAACAATGGATGAACACAGCTTGGGAGTTCAATATTTTTAAAGAAAACTCCTGTAGAGTAGGGCAATACATTTGCAATAGTAATATCATTTATATTTGCTATTTTAATTTTCATAAATATATAACTCAACTAAAATGATTAATTCATACTTTTTACATGTTAATCTATATATAATGAAAAGGTAATTATGTAATAAAATCTATATACAATAAAATCTACAAGAACAGGTAAACACAATCCCTCTACTTCTGAAGAGGGTAAAAGTTCACAGTAGATAGCCAACCACAGAAATAAAAATAAATAATAGAATGTGAGAAATTATTTGCATCTATGCAAGAAGCATATTCCTTCTCTTCCCAAGGATTATGTCATTACTAATGAACCTAAACTAAAAGTTCAGATGTTCATTGCAGAAATCACAGATAAAAGGAAAAACTTCATTTACAAATCCCCAGAAACAAGTTTGATTATATTTTCTACATATTTTCAGCTAACACAAGAGCAGATTCTGTTCGTGTATATGTGTAACAAACTGATTTTTCTTCTCACTTGCTATAGCAAAGTACATCTTTGCATGTCGACATATCTCTATGTACTGACACCCTCAATAGTTACATATTATTCCGTCCTATGGATGCACTGAAATTTGTTCATGAAATCTTTATATGGGCTTTTCTAAATACACTGCTATTTTAAGCAATACTAAGAAAAACAGACATCTATTTGGTGAAGATATTTCAGTATAATGGAACTGATGAGGAAAAAGCATAACATTTTTAAAATGTGGTTCTTACCACTAAAGTGCCTGTTTGAAAAGCTGCAGCAACTTAAACTTTAAACAACTATATAAGTACCACTGTTATTCATCCTCACAAACTTTGTGGATAGAAAACAGTATTTCATTCCTTTTGTTTGTTTGTTTTTTAGATGGGGTCTCACTCTGTCACCCATGCCGGAATGTAGTGGCACGATCTCGGCTCACTGCAACCTCCACCTCCCTGGTTCAAGCAATTCTCTTGCTTCAGCCTCCTGAGTAGCTGGGATTACAGGTGCATGCTACCATGCCCAGCTAATTCTTTGTATTTTCAGTAGAGATAGGATTTCACCACACTGGCCAGGCTGGTCTCAAACTCCTGACTTCATGATCCACCTGCCTCAGCCTCCTAAAGTGCTGGGGTAACAGGCGTAAGCCACTGCACCTGGCCTTTCATTCCTCCTCTAACTTAAATAGAAAACAGTATTTCATTCCTCTTCTAATTTAAATTCCTTCTTCTACCAGGAATGCTATCTTTTCCTATGCACATAGGTCACTGGTAGATATGCAAAAAAGTACTTTGCCCAATTTTAAAATGTGCTTATTTTATTGCATATATAGGCCAGGCATGGTGGCTCACGCCTGTAACCACAGCACTTTGGGAGGCCAAGGTGGGTGGATCACGAGGACAGGAGTTCAAGACCAGCCTGGCCAAGATGGTGAAACCCCATCTCTACTAAAAATACAAAACAATTAGCCAGGCGTGGTGGCAGGCGCCTGTAATCCCAGCTACTCAGTAGGCTGAAGCAGAGAATTGCTTGAACCTATGAGGCAGAGGTTGCAGTGAGCCGAGATCGCACCACTGCACTCCAGCCTGGGCAACAGAGTGAGACTCCATCAAAAAAAAAAAAGAAATTTTGTGTATATATATATATATATATATACACATGTATATATATGTATATACGTATATATATATATATACATATATATACGTATATACATATATATACATGTGTATATATATCTGCATATGTAAATAGGCACTTGTGTTTTCTTCTGGTATGTTTCTCTTTTTGTATATTTAAAATTTTTAATCTATACTCTGATTTTTGTGATATAAACATCTAGCTAGTTTTCTCCAAAAATGAATTATGAACAATCCATCTTTTTTAAATAATACAAAACGTCACCATTATCAAGCGCTAAATTCCTACATATATTTCGGTATTTCTAAATTTCCTGTTCTGTTTTATTCATTGATGTCTTTTCAGCTGTTAGTAAACAATTTGTGGAAATAAATAACATGCACATTTTGACATCTGGAAAAGCAAGCCTTTGTCCATTCTGCTACAAAAAAATTAACTTAGCACAATAATAAAAGACAGCATGTGTAATTTAAAAACTCTAAAACTGCTATTTTTATTTGGCTTAAGTAAAAGTGATAAATAGAAAAAGCTCACTTTTTTTTTTTTTTTTGAGACGGAGTCTTGCTCTGTCTCCCAGGCTGGAGTACAGTGGCGTGATCTCGGCTCACTGCAAGCTCCGCCTCCCGGGTTCACGCCATTCTCCTGCCTCAGCCTCCTGAGTAGCTGGGACTACAGGTGCCTGCCACCGCGTCCAGCTAATTTTTTTTATATTTTTTAGTAGAGACGGGGTTTCACCGTGTTAGCCAGGATGGTCTCGATCTCCTGATCCCATGATCTGCCCTCCTCAGCCTCCCAAAGTGCTGGGATTACAGGTGTGAGCCACCACGCCCAGCCAAAAAGCTCACATCTTCAGAAAATTCAATCTTCCTATTCAAGCACAAGAACCATCTTCCCATTTCAGTTTCCTTCTAAGATTACTCAGTAAAGAACATATTTACATAGTGTACATTGATATAAAATCCATACTGGATTTTATTTGAAGAATATTTAGCCCTGAAGTTGATGTGTTATGGGGCTTCATTCTTAGTTCTCAATATACACTTTTTTAACGTATAGAACATTGTTTTAAAATCTGTACATTAAAAATAATCTGCTGCATCGACAATGTTGCGAGTTAAATCACTTCAAAACAGTCTATTAGTGTTCTAGGAGGGAAATTATAATTTGATTGGAAATCAGCTAAAGTTTTGTTTTTGTGTTGCTGCTCATAAAGGGGCCTGTGCCCTGAACTCTCTGAGGTTTCCACATCCAGGGTGGTGTGAGGCCTGCGGAGGCGAGAAAACCAGGCTCCCCTCCTCCCCCGCCAGGAGGGTATGTCCCCATCATCCTCCCACATCCCACCTCCTCCCAGCCCAGGCCTGGTTACCTCTTTTGCTTGTCCTTCTTGTTCATGTCAGTGTCCTTGAGCATGACGATGAGATCCTTTCTGGGGACTTTACCCCACCAGGCAGCTCTGTGGAGCTTGTCCAGATCTTCTCGACGGACGTGGTACCTCGGCTCCATGAAAGCGCTGTCGTCGTAGTCTCCCCAGGGGCCCACTTTGCTCTTGCCGCTCCCCCTGCAGCAGGGGAAGCAGTGGCAGCACCACTTGCCCATCTTGCTCCTGAGTGTCTTCATAGCAGAGTCGTCGTGGTCTCCAGAAGTGCCCACGTTGCTCTTGCCGCTCCCCCTGCACCAGGGGAAGCAGTGGCGGCACCACTTGCCCATCTTGCTCCTGAGTGTCTTCATAGCAGAATCATCGTGGTCTCCAGAAGTGCCCACGTTGCTCTTGCCGCTCCCCCTGCACCAGGGGAAGCAGTGGCGGCACCACTTGCCCATCTTGCTTCTGAGACCAAATGGCTTCTTCACAGAGGAGGCAGCCGGCATTGAACCAGCCTCAGCCACCATCTGCTTTTAACAGCCAGGGGAGGCCGGTAGTAGCCAGCAGATCGCGTCTACCAACCAGTTTCACCAACTAGCAGATAACTCCGGGTTTCTAATCTGTTTGAAGAGAAAAGTCCCGACCAAAACCTGCCAACCCCAGCAGGGGAGCCCAGCCCACCCCACCCAGGGAAAACCCACACCCACCTGGGGAAAGCCCACACCCACGCTGGGCGACCCCACGCCCACCCCAGGAAGGGCCAACCCCACCCCCCAAGAAAACACCCGGCCCACCCAAGGGAATGCCAAACCCAGAAGAGAAAAGGTCAAGTCCAGCGGAGTAACGTGACAGAAAAAACGTCAGTCCAAGGAAGGAATGTCTATCCCAGCAGTCACGCTGCCAAGCCAAGCAAAGGTCGCAGAGCCAAGTCTAGCTGCTACAGGCCAGCCAAGCCGTTACGCACGTGCAGTGTGCGCATGCCGAGTGTTACAGGCCAGCCAAGCCGTTAACGCGCGTGCAGCATGCGCGTGCAAGCCATTACAGGCCAGCCAAGCCATTACGCACGTGCGGCATGCGCGTGCAAGCAGTTACAGGCCAGCCAAACCGTTATACGCGTGCGGCGTGCGCGCGCGGCATGCACGTGCAAGCCGTTACAAGCCAGCCAAGCCACTGCCGCGCGTGCGGCGTGCGCGTGCGGCGTGCGCGTGCGGCGTGCGCGTGCGGCGTGCGCGTGCGGCGTGCGCGTGCGGCGTGCGCGTGCGGCGTGCGGCGTGCGGCGTGCGCGTGCGGCGTGCGGCGTGCGCATCTCTGGTGGTGTCAGTACACGTGGCACAGACAGTGGCCGATGCGTGCAACCTGCATAAGCCTTGGAACCACGAATGTCACTGACAGCCTGGTGTTTCCCGGCAAACTTCCTGGGAGTCAGCCTAGCTTTCAGGCCATTGAGAAGCCTCTGGTGAAAGAAAAAGCTTCTTGAAGCAGGACTGGGGCTAAGTGGCTGGAACTTGAGGATGCTGACAGCCTCCTCTGAAGAAAGCCCCCAGGACACTCCTGGTGGTGCTGTTGTGCATGGCCGCTGCTGCAGCTCAGAGCACCGGCTGGCGGAGCTGGCTGCAAATGGCCTCAAAATCACGGAGCATGTTCTCACTCACAGGTGGGAATGGAACGAGAACACACGGACACAGGAAGGGGAACATCACACACCGGGGACTGTTGTGTGGGGGGAGGGGGGAGGGATAGCATTAGGAGATATACCTAATGCTAAATGACGAGTTAATGGGTGCAGCACACCAACATGGCACATGTATACATATGTAACAAACCTGCACGTTATGCACATGTACCCTAAAACTTAAAGTATAATAATAATAAAATTTGAAAAAAAATCATGGAGCACAAGACGCCCACTGAGCCCAGCACCTGCCTGAGGTGCCTTCGATACCTGCTCCTCTTTGCTCCACACCCAGAACACGAGGCCATCAGCGAGGGGGCATTTGGGGCCACAGGATCGCAGCCAGCTCCTGCCCCGGTGCCCCCTGCCTGTCCAAGCCAGGGCCAACATCTGTGGGGCTTCTGGCCTGGGGGGCTCTGCTCCACTGGCATGCAATAGGGTCAAGGTGCAGGCCGCTGTGTCCAGGCCAGCAAGAGGGGGCTTGGAGGAGCACCTACCACTGATGGGGAGATGCAGAAAGGCAACCCCACGTGCAGATCCTGAGAACAAGACACTGAGCCTCCCTGGTGCTGGCCTCTGAGCTGGACCAGGGCAGTGGCACCTCAATGCTCCTGCCAGGACTCTCCTGCTGCAAAGCTTTATGCAGCCAGGCTCCAGTCTGCTTCACCCACACCACAGGTGCTTTGGTGTGGGAGGAAAAATGGATTCTGAGCCTGGACACCAACCTGCTCTTACCAAAAGAAGTAGAGGAAAAGCCAATCACAAGTGCAAAAAAAAAAAAAAGGTACTATTTTGTAACTGAAATCTTGCCTGATATGCAGGGTTAAGCTAAAGCTCCTCTTGCTTGATACTAAATTAAATTTTGAATGAAACAAAAAGAAGACACACACACTAAATTTCCTTGTTCCTCTGTGACCCCCTGAGCCAGGAAGCAAGAGAAAGCCTGGCCTCCTGGACTCTCTCCCCAGCTGGGGGGCTGAGCAATTTCCTCCAGGCTCACAGGGAGCAGCTGGGCTCAGTGGGGCCACGTTGCCCTTCCTTCCTACATGGGCATCCTCAAACCTTCCATTGCCCCATACAGAGTACCATGATCCGGGTTCAAATCCCAGCTCCGGCACTCGCCACCTGTGTCACCTGGCAAATGCCTTACCCCCAGACGCTTGCTGTCTGTGTCCTTCCTGACAGGAGGGATGGGAGCTGGTGGCCCTGGCATGAGGTGCTGTAACAGTCAAACACAAGCAGGAGCAGGTAGACACCTGGGTGGGGGACTGCCCTGCTGGGGGTGCTCACCAAAGAGTACCTACCCATCTGCCCACGTGGCCTTGCACATCTCAACACTTATCAGGCACCTGACTATGGGAAATCCCTAAACAAAGCCCTGAGCTGCCCTGGGGAATGTGACCAGGGCAATGCACCAGGAAGGACAGTCTGGGGTGCTTGGCATGAGTAAGGATAGGCTGGGGAAATGCCAACCTCTTCCCACCAGCTTTGTGTCCCAGGGCACCCTCAGTGGACAGAGAACCCAGAGATGCCACAAGGCTTGAGCTGCATCCTAACCATCCTGAGTTCCGGCCCAGCCATGGTCCAGGCCCGAAGGTACCTTGGGTGCTAAGTTGGGATGATGAGGGGCCAGGTGAGACACTCCTGTGTTCCAGGATCTGGTCAAGAAGGTGGTAGCCTGTCACTGCCTGGCTCCATCTGGTCCCAGTGGAACAAGAAGGGCAGGAAGCCTCTAGCACCCACCCTCTGGGCCACCAACACCCAGGTCCACAGTGTGGCCACCTGACTCAGCATCACCTGCCTTGGGGACCAGAACATGAAGGCCCAGATATGACGAGCATAGTGCAGCAATGGATGCAGGTGGGCAAGATGTGATGTGTGGATCCAAGGAGCCCCTCTCTGGAGGCTTGGGCATAACCTCTCCATCTTACTGACACATAATATTTTACCTCTTTGTAGGGTACATACAAATACTTGTTACATGCATAAAATGTGTATTCTGGTTACTTTGAATATTTACACATAATAATATTACTTAGCCACCACAGCCTGCTGTCAAACATTACAGCCTATTTCTTCTAAATGTAGGTTTGTACCCAATAGCCAACTTCTCTTCATTCTCCCTTCCACATACCCAGTCTTCCCAGCCTCTGGTACTGCCATTGTATTCTCTTTGTCCATGGGATCAAGTTTCTTTAGCTCCCACGTGAGTGAGAACCTACACAACTCCAGAATCGTTATTAAAATCAGGAATTATTGTTATTATTTTTTGAGACGGGCTGTCACCCAGGCTGGAATGCAGTGGTGCAATCTTGTCTAACTGCAGCCTCAACCTCCCAGGTTCAAGCAATCCTCCCACCTCAGCCTTCTGAGTGGCTGGGACTACAGGGGCGTGCTACCATGACTGGCCAAGTTCTGTATTTTTGGTAGAGATAAGGGGTCTCACCATGTTGCCCAGGCTGGTCTCCCACTCCCAGTCTCAAGTGATCCTCCTGCCTCAGGCTCCCAAAGTGCTAGGATTACAGGCCTGAGCCACCATACCTGGCCTGATCCCAGTTTTAGAAAAACTCTGTAACTAAATTTAGATGAAAATATATGAATCTGTCCAGTGATTGCTTTCCCATTTTCTAAACTGTGCTTTTTTTATATCATCGAGAATCTTCCATAAATGTACTTTGGTTTGAAATATTTTCTTGAAGTCAGACATATTTAGCTGTGACGTGGAACAGTTCTTCTCACAGCATCCCCTCCCTGCAAACTGCAGGTCCTGAGGTCAGTGGCCCTTGACTCTATGGACTCTATGTTCTTCCCTGGATCCAGACCCTAACTCAGGGGACAGCGGCACCGCCTCCTGCCCGGCTCTCGGCTGCCTGCACTGCTCGTCATGGTGACAGGATGGCCTGCCCCAGATGAGTGTCAGTGTGTGTGTGTGTGTGTGTGTGTGTGTGTGTGCTTTTGCTGCATTTCTTCTGTCTTGCTTTTGTCATGTCTCTTTCTCCCTTTCCTCCCTGAGGCCTGCACAGGGCAGCTGTGCTATCCACTTCTGAATGTGGGGTAAGCTGTGGCCCAGGCCTGGGTGCCTGCTGGGACCTCCCAGGAGATGTGTGGGAGCAGACAGCAGGTGGGCTCAGACACTCTAATGGGCACTTGTGCCTTGTTCTGTCCCTGTCATTTGAGGCCATTTTGGCCAATGGGAAAGCAGACCCCTCTGGCAGAAAAAGGTCCACTTTGACTCAGGCTGGGGTGGTAACTCTGCCTGCAGGTTGGACCTGTGGGTCTCATCGTGAACCCCCACGGGTGACTGGCACTGGGAGAAGTAGAGGACGTGTGGGTTCTGCCTGCTGTCTTCACGTGTGGAGACAGGGTCCTGCCAACCGGTCTCCTGGAGGGGGCGTTGCCTCCTGTGGGTGCCATGTGTGCCAGAATCCAAGCATGGGTGTACACAGGGGCTGAGCCCACTCACAACCCAGGACAAAGTTGCTTGGCTGTTTTGGGGCTGGGAGATCTCGAAAAGCCTACCAAACCCAGCATCATCAGTGGCTCTCCCACACTCAATGCCTTGGTCTTTCTGCTTTTTTGGCCGTCACATTGGCACATTTCTTGGTGCCACCAAAACAACTCAAAATAATCTTTTCAGTCATGCCTGAATAACATAACCGGCTTCAGGTTTCCTGAAAACAGAGAAAGTGAAAATCCAGAAAAAATGGCTGTTTTCTTCCTCTGACGGTCCAGCCTGTCTTCAACCACAGGACTCCACGCTGGCCTGGGGTCTGAGTCTCCTGCATTAGTCACTGTCTAGCTTTGACCAAAACCATGAGCAACTGAAGCAGAATATGAACGTGGAAAATGTTCTGGGTTGTCCCCATGTTGGGAAATTATTGTCCAACAAATGAGTAGCTGTCCAAAGCACTGCAAGACAACTAGTGTGCCTCGGAGCTTGTCAGAGGAAGCGTTCAAGAGTGCTTTCTCTGTCTCATTCAGCAAGTCTCACTTCCTTTTTATGTTCTAAATCAGAATGTTCTAAATCAGAACATAGAATCACGGGCCAGGCTTGCAAGAAGCAAACATTAACTTCTATCGACATGTACTTAGCCAGGGCTCATTTGAATGGCCATATGCAGCAGCAAAGAGGCTGGAAAGGAGTGTAATGGTGTGACTAGTGGAAAGAGGAGACACGTTTGTTGTTCTTCACCCCATGTATACTAAGGATGTTTTTAGAAAAAAAAATTTTTTTTTTGCTCAAGCACAGTTTATGCAACAAAATGTGATTCAGAATCTAATTTCACAAAATAAATCCAGAGGAGAGACTTGAGGGAAAAGGGCAAAGATGTAACTCAATAAAGTCCATAGCATCACAGAATAGGATGATGGTGATGGTTTCTAACCTTGAGAATGTCTAAGTGGGTTCTTCAGTTTCTAAAATTTATTTATCTGTTCTTGAACCCAAGAAATCAGAATAGATCGTAACAGAAAAAAAATGACCTAGCTTTCACCTAGACAAGTTAGAAAATGCAGAAGTAGCCTGGCAGAAGTACAACCATCTGACCTTTGACAAAACCACAGAAATAAGAAAGAAAAGGCTCACTATGCGATGAATGGCACTGGGATACATGACTAGCCATGTGCAGGACAATTAACACTGCAGCCCTGCTTGTCATCATATGGAAAATTAACTCAAGATGAACCAAAGACTGAAATAGAAGACTTCAAATATAAAAGTCCTAACAGACAACCTATTAAACACCTTTCTCAACACAGGCTTTTGCAAACCACTTAAGACAATTTAGTACCCAAAAGAAATGCAAGAAAAAACAAAAAGTACAAGTCTGGCCTAAGAAACTACGGACCTGCTGCACAGCAAAGCAATTGCCAACACAGTAAACACATAGCCTACATGATGGGAGAAAATGTTCCCAAACCAAGCATCTGACCAAGTTCTAACAGCCAGAATCTAGAGGACCTTACCTAAATCAAGAAGCAGAAAAATAACACAAGTAAAAAATGGGCAAATGATACAAACACACTAGTCAAAACAAGACCTAAAAAAGACCAACAGACACGAGAAAATGCTCAACATCACTAATCATCAGAGATGAGGTACCAGTGCCATCACACACCAGTCAGAATGGCCATTTGTCCAAACACAAAACATATTTGTGTAGCAGTACATAAAAGCGAAAACAGCTACACTCTTGGGGTAATGCAAACTAGGTCTCACACTGCGGAGAGCAGTTTCAAGATTCCTCAACAACAACAACAAAGAGGGAAAGGAAGCAGAGCTACCCTTCTACCCAGCAATCCAACCCTGTGTATCTACCCCAGGGAAAAATACATGTGTCTATCAAAAAGACACACACATTTGCATGTTCATGGGAGTGCTACTCACAGGAATAAAGACGTGGACCTGACCTAGATGCCCACCAACAGAAAATCAGGTGTTTTTAAATGTGATACCTATACACCACAGAATACTAACAAGCCACCAAGGAAAATCAAACACAGAAACAAAATCATGCCCTCAGCAGCAACATAGATAGAACTGCAGGCCACTCTGCTAAGCGAACTCAGGCAAGAACAAAAGACCAAACACCACAGATTTTCACTTACAGGCAGAAACTCAACACTGAACACACACGAACATAAAGATGAAATCAACAGACGTTGGGTACTACCAGACAGAAAAAGGAGGGAGACAGGAAGCCTTGGAGGAAGAATGATCCAACTGGCGCTGTGTTCACTGCCTGGGTGACGGGTAAGTTGGGACCTCAAGCATCAAAAGTCTGCTGTATAGCCATGTAGTGAAATGAACCTGCAGGCATACACCCCTCCATCACAATAAAAGTAGCTATCATTTTAGAAAACCCAGCTTTGGAAATGGAAATGGAAAAAAAGGAAAAAAATACAAGAAAACACACAAAACAAAAGAAAAAGCCTACAGTGGCCCAATCCATCCATTAGTGGCATGAACACAGAAAGATAACCGAATGGACACAACAAAGGAGCCAAATAATCAACCCACAATTATAAACACTGAACCCATGGGATTCTTGCTTTTCCCCCAAAAGCACACCAAAGGCACAATGGTTGAACAAACTGGGGGGTTCATGTGCAAAGGACTGAAATAAACCCTTCTCTTACACAAGACACAAAAAATGACACAAAATCCACTGAACACCAAAGAGCAATTGTGAAACCAAAACCTCCAAGGAAAACGCATAGGGTGTGTGTCTACTGTGGGGAAACTTGAACCTGTGAACCTAAGCTACAAACAGAAAACACATAGGAATCAACTACCCGTAGACCATACAATGGCTTTGCCATCTCGCTTTACTTCTCAAAGGGACACAGAAATCACCGCTAACAAAAGCTCATGTGACCACGTGAGACTAAGGACAACTTCAGAGCTTCACACAGCTTCAACACTGGAGAGAAAACAGTGAACCCAACAGAAGACATCCCACAGACTGGGAGAAAATTATGGAAAACTGTGGATCTGGAAGGGCTTCTTATCTAACATATTCAAGAAACTAATGGTCCTAAGTGGAAAAAATCATAAAAAACAATACATACACTAAAAATGCCCAAAGGACTGGCATAGGCATTTCTGAAAAGACCTGAAACAGACTTGCAGGTAACAGAAGTTTCTCCACATCAGTAATCATCCCCTAAATGTAAATCCCAACCACACTCAGATACTGCCAAACTCCCCAGAGAACGAGTATGACCAGGAACAGCAATAAAACTTTTTGAAGATAAGGGCAGTGTAGATTTGCAGACAGAGAAACTCTCACACACTATTGGTAGGAATGCAAATTTGTATATCCACTGGGAGAGACAGCAGGAGGTTTCTGAAATGACAATACAACTACCAGTTCCTCTAGCCATCCCAACATTGGGTATACCGGCAAAGCCAAGGAAACTTGAAACTTAAGGAGATATTTGCCTTCCCATGTTTGATGAAGTACTCTGGACAATAACCAGGGTATAGAGGTAATCTACCTGTCCATCCATGGAGGAAGAAATGCAGGAAATGAAGGACGCAAGCACAATGGTATACTCCTCAGCCATCAAACTTCTGGATATCAGGTCACTTCCAGCAAGGTGGAGAAACCTGAAGGACATTAAGTTAAAGGAAATGAGCCAGGCACAGGAGGACAAACACAAACACAGCACAATCTCACGCACGTGGAATCTAACGAAGTGAATCTCATAGAGGAGCAACGTCAGCAGTGCGTACCAGAGGCTGAGGGGAGGCTTGGAAACAGCTACAAAGTGACACTCAGATGAATGGCAAGAATTCTGGTGTTCTACGGCTTAGCAGGGTGACTAGGCTTAACAATACCCTAGCATGATATTCGATATAGCGTGAAGGGGTGATCGGGGTACGCTCTCCACCAAGAAATCCTCACTGTAGCCTGAAACAGAGACGCGAGTTCCTGTAATCTGATCACAACAGCACTGATCCATATGTCAAACGGTCCCTTGCACCCTTAAAGTAAAAGCATAGACCATGTGAAATTTTTGTTTTCAAATAGGATCACATCACATTTCTGAAAGTCCTGTGGGACAATGAAGTGCCCCGCACTCCCAAAGCAGCTCCTACACACATAAAGTCGGTGGAGCGCCATTACACTCTTCCACTTTAAACTACTTCCCAAAGCTTTAGTTACCCAGATTCCTACACACACAAAGTCAGTGGACCATCACACTCTTCCACTTTAAACTACTTCCCAAAGCTTTAGTTACCCAGATTCCTACACACACAAAGTCGGTGGAGCCATCACACTCTTCCACTTTAAACTACTTCCCAAAACTTTAGTTACCCAGATGATTTGTGATAGGCATTAGCAGAGAAACACAGGCCAACGGACACAATGAGGATGCCCAGGAGTAAATTCAAATTGATATAGCGTAAGCACATGTTTAGAAAGAACCGCAAAAGTCACCACAGGAATGGACAGTCTGTCCAATACAGCGTTCTGAGAACTGGATATCCCTAGGCAAAATAACAACATAGGGTCCTTATTGTGTGAAATTCACAACCATCTATTCAACATGAATGAAAGACCTATACCCAAAACTTGAAACTATCACTCTCTGAGAAGAAAGTATATGGTGTGCAGATACCTGGGTCAACCTGGATCTATGCTTACAGTTTGCAAAAACGAAAACGAAAAAATATGGGGGAAAGAAAAGAATACAAACAACAAACAAGCAAAACTCACAACAGATTCGTATGCTAGTGAATTTCCTTTATTTCATCAGTAACCAACGTGGTGGAAAACCACAACACTGCACACCCCTGAATACGCATCAGACTCATCAGACTATATGGCTTGGGGGCAAGAAAGAACGAAAACAATGAATGAAAAGAAACAAACATCCAAAGGATGATAAGAAAGATATCAGGGAAAACACAGCTAAGGAGACTTTTGGAAAAGGTGTAAGTAACTAACACTACTAACTAGCAGAAAACAGCAGAAAAGAGAAGGTAATTAGCAAACCAAAATTGGGCAAAGAAACCAAAGAGTCTTTTCTGCAAAGAACACACAACACTGAAAACAAATGTACTTGTTAACACCTAGTTAGTATCACTAATCATAAGAAAAATGAAAATCAGAACAAGACTCAGATATCGTGTCCCTCTCAAAGGAAAGAGTATTACAAAGAACTTCATATATATTAAAAGAAGGGAAACCACAAATGCTGCTGTGAATTTCCAGAGAGGGGAGCTCTCTTATCCACAACTGTTGGCAAGGTAAATTAGTACGCACACTACAGAGGCCACCTGGAGGCTCCTCTGAAAACTAAAAATACAACGACCATTTCACCGAGCCACGCTACCGCAGGGTGTGCACTGGAATCATATGTCACCAGTACACAGAAGACACATCTGCCTTCCCATGCTGACTCTGGAACCAGTCGCAATAGCCAAGATAAGGAATCAACCTACCTGTCCACCTGCAGAGGATGAGATCCAGAAACCGCAATATCCATTCACAAACAAACACTTTTTAGCCATACACAGGTACTGAAATCACGTCATCTGTGGCAACACTGTGGAACCTGGAGGACATTATGTTAAATGTCTGTCACTAGGCAGAGAAAGACAAACCTCACATTACCTCAGTCATGGGGAATCTAAGACCCTTTAATCTCACATAGACCTACAAAGCACCATAGTGCTTGCCAGGGTTGGAACAGAAGGCTGGGCATGGGTGGGGACAGGAAACAGGTACAAAGTGACACATTGCATAAGAGAAATGGAAACCTGCTGTTCTATTCCTCAGCAGGGTGACTAGAGAAAACTTTACCAGAGGATAGTTTTCAAGACAGCCAGAAAGAAGGGTTCTGGCTCTCCTCAACTCAAAGACAGGAACACTCTACAAGGCCAAAAACGACACTATATACCCTGATTTCATCACTATGTGATGCATGCATGGATCCAAATATTCCACTCTACCCCCTACCTGTACACCTTTAGGATGGGGTCGATTTTGTTTTTTGAAAGCAATGTGAAGAAACAATGAATGCTAAAATTCCCATGGGACCACAAAATGCTCTGAAACTCCAAAGCCAGGCTGGGAGATTCAGACGATGTCAGATGGACCACACTCTCCAATTTCAAATTTCACAGAAAAGCTACAGACCCACCTCCACCTAGACAGAATAGGAAACCCAGAAGCAACCCCACATACCCACAACCATCTGACCTTTGAAACACCAAAATTCAGATGTGGAAAGGGCTCACTGTGCAATGAATGGCACTGGGATAGTGTCTAGCCACTTGCAGATGAACAGCACTACAGCCTTACCTCTCACAAGATGCAAAAACTAACTCAAGGTGAATGAAAGATTTCAGCAGAAGACTACAAACTATACAAGTCCTACAAGAAAAACTAGGAAATACCTTTCTCAACACGGGCTTTGGTAAAGAATTTAAATAACTTAGTCCCTAAGAGCAACGGCAAGAAAAACCAAAATGGACAAGTTGGGCCTAAGAAACTAAAACACTGCCAGACAGCAAAATAAATCACCAGCACAGTAAAAACATAGCCTACAGGATGGGAGAAAATGTTCCCAAACTATGCTTCTGACCAAGACCTAATAGCCAGACTCTAACGTGACCTTAAAAAAATCAAGAGGCAGAAAGACAAATAACCCAATCAAACAATGGGTAAAAGACATGAAGACGTTCTTGTAAAAATAAGATGTACAAGTGACCAATAGACAAAAAAAACCCTCAACATCACTCATCATCAGAGAAATGCAACTCACACACACACTGAGATACCATCTCCCGTCGGTCAGAATGGCCATTTGTCCAAAGTCCAACATTTACATGCTGACAAGGCAGCGGAGGAAAGCAAACACTGCTACACTCTTGGAGGGAATAAAAACTAGTGCTCACACTATGAGAAGCGGTTTGGAGGTTCCTCAAAAAACTTAACAACTACCATCCAAATGGGCAATCGCATAACTGGGTATCTAGACAGAGGAAACTAAATCATAAACCCTTCTTTCAAAATGACACAGACATGGGTATGTTCTTGGTAGTGCTATTCACAAGAAAAAATAAAATAAAATTGACCTATGTTCCCTTTAACAGTTGATTCGATGTTTTAAAGTGTTGTATATAGATACTGCAAAATCCTACACAGCTTAAACAAATTCATGCTCTCGGCAGCAAGAAGGATGAACCTGCAGGCCACTATGCTAAGCAAACTAAGGAAAGAACAGAAAACCAAATACCACATGTTCTCACTTAGGGGGAAAATACCCATAGAAAATACAATGACTTTGCCATCTCTTTCTCTCTCACTTTCTCTCTCTCTCTCTCTCTCTCTCATGAGACACAGAAATCCATGCTGACAAAAGCAAATATAAACCTGTGAGACCAACACTTTAGAGCTTCCGCATGTGGGAGAAAACAATGACCCCAAAGAGAAAGCATCCTACCTTGGCGGAAAGGATGATTGGGGGAAAACTGTGGAAAATCATAATTTTGGAAGGGGTTGTTATCTAACATATTCAAGCACTAAAGCTACTAAGTGGGGAAAAGATTAAAAAAAAATACACGAGCTAAAAATATGCAAAGGATATACACAACCACCTCTGCAAAGGACATGAAACTGATTCACAGGTGAAACAGAAGTTTCTCCACATCACTAATCACTCCAAACATGTAAGTCAGAATCACACTCCGATATCAGATACCATCAAACTCCACTGAGAATGAATATTACCCAAACAGCAATAAAAATTTTGGACGGCAGCAACCAGTGTAGACTTACAGAAAGGGAAACTCATATATGCTATTGATGTCGATGTAAATTGGTGAACATACTGTGAAAAAAACTTGGGAGCTTCTCATACTGGGTATGCATTTAAAGCAAAGGCAACTGGTACCATAAAAAATTATCTGCCTTCCCATGTTTTATGAAGCGCTATTCACAATATAGAAGATATGGAATGAACCTACCTATCCAACCACACATCAAGAGATGAAGACACTGCAGTGTATCTGCACAATGCAATAATACTCTTCATCCTTAACAAAATAATGTAATTTTCATTTGGAGCCATATGGATGAACCTGGAAAATATATTGTTAAATAAAATAAGCCTGGCATAGAAAAACAAGCAAATTCATCTCACTTATATGGAATCCAAAAAACTTTGCCTTCAATAAGTACAAGGTACAGTAGTGGTTTTCCGAAGACAGGGGAAGGAGGAGATGGAAGGATTGGTTATGGAAACAAAGTTGCAGTTAGTTGGGACAAACACATTCTTGCATTCTATACCACAGCTGGGTGACTCTGGTTAACAAAATAGTACATTTTTCAATAAAGCCAGAAGGGAGCAATTTGAGTGTTATCACAACAGAGAAATAATACCTGTATGAGAACAGATACAGCAAGTACCCTGATTTGATCATTACTAAAAATATACATGTACCAAAATGTCCCAGAGGAAAAACAGTCCCAGCATACTCTCTAATTATATACTTTATTACGCACAGAAATTTAAGAAATGTGAATACGCAATGCTAATGATCACATGGAAATGGCCCTGAATGTCTAAGGAATCCTGAGAAATAGAAACTAAGTTGGAGGACTCACAATCCCTGATATGCCGCAGTGCTCCAGCCTGGGTAAGAGAATGAGACAGTCTCAAAAAAAAAATTGTTAGAAAATTTGAGGGAATCATAGAAGTGATAAATTGTTGTTACCAAACATGTACACAGAAAAAAGCAATACTAAGTAGCATAAAAATACATATCTGAACTCATATTGAGCAAAAAACTTGAATAGAGTTATCTGCAAAGATGACATAAAACTAACAGGTAAGAGAAAAGGTCCTCAACATCACTGTTCATCAAAAAAAAGTACTTCAAAACCACACTCAGATGTCATTTCACTCTTATTGAAATGAATGTTACTAAAAAGATCAAAAAAATTTTTTTGAGACAGGGACTCTGTCACTCAGGCTGGAGTGCAGTGGCATGATCATGGCTCATTGCAGCCTTGACCTCTCCGGCACAAGTGATCCTCCCACCTCTGCCTCCTGAATAGCTGGAACTACAGGCACACACCACCACGCCTGGCTAATTTTTTTGTATTTTTTTGTAGAAATGAAGTTTTGCCACGTTGCCTAGGCTGGTCTCAAATTGTTTGGCTCAAGTGATCTGCCCACCTTGGCCTCCCAAAGTGCTTGGATTACAGGCATGAACCATCACGCCTGGCCATAAAAAAAACATGCATGGCTACATCAAAGTGAAAACTTTTTGCAAGGAAAAGGAAACAATGAGCCCAAAGAGGAAGGCTGGGAGAACAAATCACATATCGGCTAATGGGGGTTGTTATGGAAAATATGCAACACATTAATAGTACTAAGTAGCAACAACAAACAAATGATCCATCCAAAACTGAGCAGGGAACCTGAATAGACATTTCTGCAAAGAAGACATTAAACCACATGGAAGGGCGCTTCCTCCACAGTCAGGTGGCCGTGACTAGATGGACAGAGTTAGGCAGACGCTGTGGGGGGCGGGGGGTGTTGAGAAAAGTGACCCCTATGTCCCGACGGCTGGGAAACAAATGTAAAAATTCAGTAGACCACCTGCAGTAGTTCATGCCTGTAATCCCGGCACTTTGGGAAGCTGAGGCGAGAGGATTGCTTTGAGCTCAGAAGTTTGAGACCAGCCTGGGCAACATGGCGAAACCTTGCCTCTACCAAAAATACAAGAAAAACAAAATTCAGCAGACCAGGCACAGTAGTTCACACCTGTAATCCCAGCACTTAGGGAAGCCGAAGTGGAAGGATTGCTTTGAGTTCAGAAGTTCAAGATAAGCCTGGGTAACATGGCGAAACCCCGTGGCCAGCAAAAATATGAAAAAAAAAAAAAAATAGCTGGGCATGGTGGCACAAGCCCAGCTAATGGGGAGACTGAGGCTGGAGAATCCCTTGAGCCCAGAAAGTGGAGGCTGCAGTGAGCGGAGATCTGCCACTGCACTCCAGGATGCACAACAGGGCCAGACCCTATCTCCAAAAAAATAAAACCAATTAAAAAATCAGCAAACCCTGGAGGTGGCTGGGATCCTTTCCTTCCACCTGAGGCTTGGATGCAAGGCAGCCAAACTGGGGCCTGGTCCCAAAACCCCACCTAGGCCGCGCTTCCTCTTCCTCCCACAGCCAGAGCTTTCCTCTCTCTCCATCTACATGGGGAGTCTCCCTCAGAAACAGCCCTAAAGCCTCCTACTCTTTCCAACCTCAAAAGCCCTCAGGGACTGAGTACTACTATAAAATTCATACTAAGATGGAAAGAAAGAAAAAAGGAAGACCCATCAGGAATACATAGAACATTCCAGAAAACGAAAGCTTCTGTACTCACCATGATGGAAGAACTCCCCGAAGAAGCCAGCCGCAGAGAAGCCACACCAAAGCTCTGTCCTCAGCCGTCAGCGCCACGGACAGGAGGTGTTTCTTCCCCAGGATGCAGCCTCAAGTTATCCCGAAGCTGCCGTGGCACACGGTGGCTCCTGAGAACACCTTGGCTCTTCCGGTTTAACACAGGCAAGTCAATAAGTGTGATAATCACATAAACAGAATTAAAAGCAAAGTCACATAATCATCTCAATAAACACAGAAAAGGCATTTGACAAAATCCAGCATCCATTTATAATTAAAACCCTCAGCAAAAAATGCACAGAAGGGACATAGCTTCAGGTAATAAAAACCATCTGTGACAAACCCACAGCCAACATAATACTAAATGGGGAAAGGTTAGAAGCATTTCCTCTGAGAACTGGAACAATAAATACAAGGATGCCCACTCTCACCACTTCTATTCAACATAGCACTGACAGGCCCAGCCAGAGCAATCAAATGAGAGAAAGAAATAAAGGGCATCCAGATCGGTAAATAGGAAGTCAAATTGTCACTGTTTGCTGATGACATGATTGTATACCTAGAGACTCCTCCAAAAAGCTCCTAAACTGATAAATAATTTCAGCAAAAATTCAGGATACAAAATTAATGTACCCAAATCAATAGATCTGCTATACACCAACGATGTGCAAGCTGAGAATCAGATCAAGAATTCAATCCCTTTTACAATACCTGCAAAAAAATAAAATAAAACACTTAGGAATATACCTAACAAGGAAGTATAAAAGACCTCTACAAAGAAAACTACAAAACACTGCTGAAAGAAATCACAGATGACACAAACAAATGGAAACACCTCTCATGCTCATAGATGGGTAAAATCAATATTGTAAAAATGACCATAACGCCAAAAGCAGTTTACAATTTGAAAGCAATTTCCATCAAAATATCACCATCATTCTTCACAGAACTAGAAAAGATAATTCGAAAATTCATATGGAACCAAAAAAGAGCCTGCATAGCCAAAGCAAGCCTAAGCAGAAAGAACAGATCTGGAGGCATTACATTACCTGGCTTCAATCTATACTACAAGGCCATAGTTAGCAAAACAGTATAATACTGGTATAAAAATAAGGACATAGACCAATGAAACAGAATAGAGAACCCAGAAATAAACCCAAATACTTACAGCCAACTGGTCTTTGACAAAGCAAACAAAAACAAAGTGGGGAAAGGACACCCTATTCAACATATGGTGCTTGGAAAACTGGCAAACCACATGCCAAAAAATGAAACTGGATCCCCATCTCTTACCTTATACAAAAGTCAACTTAAATCTGAGACCTGAAACCATAAAAATTCTATAAGATAACATTGGAAAAACCCTTCTACACATTGGCTTGGGCAAAGACTTCATGACCAAGAACCCAAAAGCAAGCACGACAACAAAATGAAGATAAACAGGTGAGACTTAATTAATCCACAAAGTTTCTGCACAGCAAAAGAAACAATTGGCAGAGTAAACAGACAACCCACAGAATGGGAGAAAATCTTCACAATCTATACATCTAAGAAAGGACTAATATCCAGAATCCACAAAGAACTCAGCAGGAAAAAAAACAATCCCTTTGAATAATGGGCTAAGGACTTGAATATACCATTCTCAAAAGAAAATATAAAAATGGGCAACAAACATGAAAAAATGCTCATCATCACTAATGATCAGGGAAATGCAAATCAAAACCACAATGCCATGCCACCTTACTCCTGGCAAGAATGGCCATAATGAAAACATCAAAAAATAATAAATGTGGGTGGGGATATGGTGAAAAAAGAACACTTTTACACCGCTGGTGGGAATGTAAACTAGTACAACCACTACAGTAAACTGCGTGGAAATTTCTTAAAGAACTAAAAGTAGAACTACCGTTTAATCCAGCAATTCCATTACTGGGTTATCTACCAGAGGAAAAGAAGTCATTATGTGAAAAAGATACTTGTACACGCATGTTTATAGCAGCACAATTCACAACTGCAGAAATATGTAACCAGCCCAGATGCCCATCAATCAATGAGTAGATTAAGAAATTATTATATATATATATTATCGATATAATATATACACACACACACACAGCCATAAAAAGGAAAAAAATAATGGCATTCACAGCAACCTGGATGAGATCAGAGATTACTATTCTAAGTCAAGTAACTTAAGAATGGAAAACCAAACACAGTTTGCTCTCACTCGCAAGTGGGAGCGAAGCTATGAGGATGCAAAGGCATTAGAATACTACAGTGGACTTTGGGGACTTGGGGGAAACGGTGGGAGGCGGGTGAGGAATAAAAGACTACAAATTGGATACAGCGTATTCCGCTCAGGTGTTGGGTGCACCACAATCTCACTAATCACCTCTAAAGGAGTTACTCATATAATCAAACACCACCTGTTCCCCAAAAACCTATGGAAATAAAAAAATACAATAAGTTTTTGTGTATCTGTGTATGCATCACATATTTTTTAACTTTCTTCACAAGTTCATTGAGATGTAATTTATACGTTATTTAATTCACTCATTTAAAGTGTACATTTCAATTTGTTAGTGTATTAACTGGGTGGATAAACAATCACAATATAATTTTAGAACATTTTTATGCTCCTTAAAAGAAACCTTGCACTCATTAGCAATCTTTTCCCATTTTCTCCACTTCCTTGAAACCCCTCCCAGCCCTAGGCAACCATCCACCCACTTCCTAACTAAGGATTTGCCTACTCTGGAAGGATTTGCCTGTTCTGGACATTTCATGTAAACGGAATCATAATAATACATAGTTATGTGTGACCCACTGCTTTCACTTATGTTTTTAACATTCATCCTTTTTGAAGCATGTATATTAATACCTTTTTCTTTTTTATTGCCAAATACTATTGTATTTCATGGACAGACCACATTTTATTAATCCACTCTGCAATTCATGGACATTTCTGTTGCTTCCCACTTTTTGTTGCTGTAAGTACTTGTATGCTACCTTTTGAGTAGACATTTGTTTTCATTTCTTTTTGGTGTATACATAGGAGTTAATTTACTGAGTCATATGGTAATTCTATACTTATCCTTTTGAAGAACTGCCAGACTGTTTTAAACTCTCATCAGCAGTGTATAAGGGTTTCAAATTTTCACATATTTTTAATCCATTCTTCAGTTGATAAACACTTAGGTTGTTTCTAAATCACAGCTATTATGAATAACTCTGCAATGAACATGAAATTGCAGATGTCTCTTTGACATACTGATTTTAAGTTCTTTAGACGTATATCCAGAAGAGGCATTGATGAATCATAATGTAAATATATTTATAATTTCTTGAGAAAGCTTCATACTATTTTCCAAGATGGTGGTAATAATTTCAATTCCGACCAACAGTGTACAACCGTTTTCTCCACATTCTAATCAATAGTTATCTTCCATCATTTTTTAATTATTTATTTATTTATTTACTGAGATGAAGTCTTGCTCTGTCACCCAGGCTGGAGTGCAGTGGCGCAATCTTGGCTCACTGCAACCTCTACCTCCCAGGTTCAAGCAATTCTTCTGCCTCACCCTCCCAAGTAGCTGGAATTACAGGTGCATGCCACCACGCCCAACTAATTTTTTGTATTTTTAGTAGAGACGGGGATTCACCATGTTGGCCAGGCTGGTCTAAAACTCCTGACCTCAGGCAATCCACCTGCCTTGGACTCCCAAAGTGCTGAGATTTTAGGTGTGAGCCACCGTGCCCGGCCACATCTTTTTTATAATAACCTCAGTAACATCTGTGAGATAATATCTTCATGGTTTTGACATCTATTTCTCTGATAATTAGGAATGTTGATGTTTTTTATCAACATTTTTGATAAAAATCTGGCCTTTTGTATGTCTGTTTTTAGAAAATGTCTATTCAACTCCTTTACTTATTTTTTAGTAAGCTTGTTTTCTCATTTCTGGGTTGAGTTCCTTACATATTATTGGTATGAACCCCTTACCTGAGATATGGTTTAAAAACATTCTCTTCCCATTTGTGGGTTGTCTCTTCAATCTATTACTGTTTCTTTTGCTGTGCAGAGAAGCTTCTTAGTTTTACGGCATCTCGTTCGTGTATTTTTGCTTTTGTTGCCTGTACTTTTTGGGGTCATCTGTAGAAAATCATAGCTGAGGCCACTGTCATATGGTTTTCTCCTGTCTTTGCTTGTAGCGGTTTTATGGTTTCAGGTTTATATTTAAGTCTTTCATGCATTGCTACTTGATGTTGGTATAAAGAGTGAAATAACAATCCAATTTTATTCTTCTGTATGTGAATAGTCAGTTTTTCTCTACATTATTTATTGAAGAGAATTTTCTTTCCACATTGTGTATTCTTTGTCCTTTTATCAAAAATCAACGGACCACAGACACATGGATTCATTTACAGGTTCTACATTCCTTCACACTGGTCTAGGTGTCTGTTTTTATGCTAGTGCTATGCTGTTTTAAGTACTATAACTTTTTAATATTGTTTAAAATCAAGTAGCCTGATGCCTCTGGCTTTGTTCTTTTTGCTCAAGATTGCTTTGGTTTTTCAGAGTCTTTTGTGGTTCCACTCAGATTTTAGGACTAATTTTTCTATTTCTGTGAAGAATGGCATGGGATTTTGACAGTGATTGCATTAATCTGTAGATTGCTTTCCGTAGCATTGAAATTTTGACGATATTAGTTTTTCAAATCCATAAATATGGGATGTTTTTCTACTTATGTCACTTTCAATTTCTTTCAACAATGCTATAAATTTTCAGTATACAAATATTTCACATCCTTCATTAAAATTACTCCTTAGTCTTTTATTTACTTATATATGTTATGATGCTATTATCCAATGAATTACTTTATTCATTTGTTTTTCAGTTAACAGTTTGTCATTGGTGTATAGAAACAAGAATACTATTTGTATGTTAATTTTGTAACTCTCAACTTTCAATGCGTTTATCAGCTTTAACACTTTTTTTCTTTTTTATGGAGTCTTTAAGATTATCTCTATATTGGCTGGGCACGGTGGCTCATGCCTGTAATCCCGGCACTTTGGGAGGCCGAAGTGTGTGGATCACGAGATCAGGAGTTCGAGACTAGCCTGGCCAATATGGTGAAACCCTGTCTCTACTAAAAAAATACAAAAATTAGTCGGGCGTGGTGGCACGCACCTGTAGTCCCAGCTACTTGGGAGACTGAGGCAGGAGCAGCACTTGAACCCAGAGGCGGAGGTTGCAGTGAGCTGAGATGGTGCCACTGCATTCCAGCCTCTTTCCTATTTGGATGCCTTTCCGTTCTTTGCCTTGTATGATTACTCTGGCTACATGATTACATATAACGTTTTCAGCATTTGTAATTTGACATCACATCCATCTGTTGTAATACACTGATTGTTACTTTTCAACTTGAAAACCTGGACATTTATCACTAATCTCCCTTTCTCTTCGTCTAGTTCTTATCCAAGAAAACAACCTGTCAATATAAACCAAGTTAGATAATTATTTTTCTATAAAACCACTTCAAATGCATTTAAAATTTTTTAACCTAACAATTTTTAAACTTTGTATGTCAATGATTTTCAACTGTGGTCTCTCAAAACAAATCCAATACTTTTAGTAGGAAAAATTACGTTAATTCCTACACTACCGTTGGGGCTACCCAAGAGTTGACCAAAGGTGATATTAATACATATGCTTATTTATTACCCTGTTCTCACAGTTCTAGTGTAAGTCTTGAAAATCAAGTAAATTTGGAAACATAGTTGCACAAATCTTCTCATGAGTCACACAGTTAATCCAGAATATTATTTCTAAGTTATCATAAAGCCAACAAGCAAATATGATGTACTGTTTAAAAAGAATAATCATAATTTTATATTATACAAATGAAACATGTATTCAATACTGTTTACTGAATATCTCAAGTATACTTATTTACGTAGAAACAAAGGAATCAACGGATATCTGTTATATAACGTTTAAATTACTAAAAATACTTTATATAGCATCGCTCCATAAATGCTAGTGTAAATGCTGACGAAAGTAAAAATGTCATTCCCTACATTTGCTAAATATATTGTGACACATTATAAGTGTTTTTAAAACATATCACTAAGGGGCAAAAGAAGTAGGCAAAAATAATTGTAAGTATTTAATTATGGAAAAATTTAGAACACAGCATAGTATTCATGTGATGGAAGGATTTTAAATGGAACCCAGAGATTAGCAGCAGCAGGAAGTTTCTATCATACTTAGGATTGGGAAAACAACAGAAGTTACTGGAACACAAAAGCAGGGTCATGTTATTAAAAACTGGGGCCATGGTGAGTGTCTGTGACCATTACCTAATATGTCACACTGAATAAAGACAGACAGCACATGATCTGAGGCTTTTTTCTTCCACAGATGCCTTCCATTGGCCAGAATTAGCCAGTATTTAGAGTGCACTGAAGACTGGGAGGGTCTGTTCTCTGTAACAGAGTGAACAGAAGGAGAAGGTGAGATGCTCATTACCTTAGTGATGGCTTCAATCGTACCCCAAAACTCAGTATCACACAATAAACCTGCACATTTTTATTCAGTCTAAAATAAAAGTTGAATTTAAAAAAAAATACAGAAAGCAGTTTAGACTTTACTAATCAGTAGTAAAGTCTTTAGAGCTGCTCTTCCAAAAGTAAGCCATTGCACTGAGAAAACTGACCATTTTATTCATCAGAAGAAAAATTCAATGAACCTTTACTGACTGACAATAGTGAGAATCAGAATGAATGAATCAGAATGTCTGTCCTAACTACTCCCTCTGGTTCTACTTCAATTCCTGCTGCCTCCATATGGTTCATCAGTGTGTGGAAGATGAATGTGGTAAAACTGAAGTGGCTGCTTGTACTTGGAGAACAACAACAATGCACTGAAAATTCACTGCTTAGAAGCTGTTGAAAGAGTTTGGCAATAAATACAACCTAATATTCACAATAAAGAGCAATGATCTATAAGCCCATTTTCACATCTATTGTAAAGGCCAACCATGTGTTTCAGCCAAAACAAACTGATTTTATTAATACAATGACCAGACATATATAAATAATAATATGAGTTTATTTTACCAGAGGAATTGGCTCTCACACTTGCATTCTATTGTAGGTTTTTACACTTATCCAATTCTAACAAGAGTTGGATAAACTCAGGGTTTTCCTAAAGTAACAATGACTATTCCTCACAAAAGAGTCACAAGCAAAGTCTACACCTGAAAATGTGTAGATTGCCTTCCATGTCCTGTGTGCATTAAGAAACGTTTTATTTTTACACCTGGTATACGGACAACATGGATGAATATGTTGGCTAATTAGAACAAGTTTATCAAGTTCTTTGAAACCCTTGGTAGACAAAGTAATTCAAGGATTCAGCCCAGATTAGTAGTGTGAAAGCCTGCAACAAACCAAACTGTAGAAAAGTAATAATGTAAATACAAATGTGATTTCAATCTCCGCTTGGCGACTGACCTCCCTCAGACCACTAAACTCTGTGCATCAGATGCATTAACAATGAGACATTGGTCACTCACTGGGGAGGTGGGCATGGTGAAAACCTTTTTTTACCCATAGATCTGGGGGAACTGCTGAAAAGCCTGAAATGCATTCAGTTGATGCACCAGACATCAGTTACTGAAGAAGCAGAGGCGATGAACTTCCCTTAACGTTGACCTAAGTGGATAAACGCATGGCAACATGCTGAGTGACTTCAACAATGCAGACACACTCAATGTCAAAATGCCACAGGGCTACCCGGTGCTGCAAGGCTGGGACTCGGTTTCCGTAAGACTGTCTTAAGGCAGTGGGATTTCTGATGGAACTGTGGACATAAGCATATGCCCCCATACGCCACTCCCACTACTCACTGTAGGAACAGCAGTGTAACATTTGTCCCGGCTAATGATGACAAACAATCCCCAAGTCCCTATGCAAACCAAGTGCTGGGGCCACACAGTGGCCTGAGCAACATACCTATGGGTAGTAACTATTGAGAAGACATTTCCAAGGGATTGCCATTCCAACAGGCGTGGGGAATGCTCAACATCACCAATCATCAGAGATGAGGTACCGGTGCCATCACACGCTGGTCAGAGTGGCCATTTGTCCTAAGTCAAAACATAACATGCTGGTGTGGCAGCAGAGAAAAGCAAACATGGCTATTCTCTTGGAGGTAATGCAAACTAGATCTCAAACTGTGGAAATCAGTCTGAAGATTTCTGGAAAAAAAAAAGGACAGAAAGCAGAGCTACGCTTTGACGCAGCAATCCCACCCGGTGCGTCTACCCCAAGGAAAAACACATGCATCTATCAAAAGGACACAGACACTCACATGTCCACGGGAGTGTTACTGACAGGAATAAAGATGTGGAACTGACCTAGATGCCCACCAACAGAAAATTGGATTTTTTAAAATGTGGTACCTATACATCACAGAATGCTGAAAAAACCACTAAGGAAAATCAAACACAGAAACAAAATCATGCCCTCAGTAGGAACATGGGTGGAACTGGAGGCCACTCTGCTAAGCAACTGAGGCAAGAACAGAAGACCAAACACTGCAGGTTCTCATTTATAAGTGGAAGCTCAACACCCAATGCACATCAACATCAATATGAAATCAACAGACGTTGGGTACTACCAGACAGAAAAAGAAGGGAGACAGGGAGCCTTGGAGGAAGAAAGACCCAACTGGTGCTGTGTTCACTGCCTGGACGACAGGTACGTTAGGACCTCAAGCATCAAAATTCTACTGTATAGCCATGTAGTGAAGTGAACCTGCAGGCGTACCCCTTGATCACAATAAAAGTAGCTATCATTTTAGAAAACCCAGCTTTGGAAATAAAAATAGAAAAAAGGAAGAAAACACACAAAACAAAACAAAAAGCCTACAGTGACCCAATCCATCCTCTTAGTGGCATGAACACAGAAAGATAACAGAATGGACACAACGAAGGAGCCAAATAATCAACCCACAGTTATAAACACTGAACCCATGGGATTCTTGCTTTTACCCCAAAAGCACAACAATGGTTGAGGAAACTGTTGGGGGGGGGTGGGGGTCACGTGTAAAGGACCGAACCCTTCCTTTACCCAAGACACAAAAAGTGACACAAAATCTACTGAACACCTAAATTCAATCCTGAAACCAAAATCTCCAAGGGAAACGCATAGAGTGTATGTCTACTGTGGGGAAACTTGAACCTGTGAACCTAAGCTACAAGCAGAAAACGAAGACATAGGAACCAAATACCCATAGACCATACATAATGGCTTCACCATCTTGCTTTTCTCCTCAAAGGGACACAGAAATCACCACTAAGAAAAGCTAATGTGACCATGTGAAACTAAGGACAACTTCAGAGCTTCACACAGCTTCAACACTGGAGAGAAAACAGTGAACCCAACAGAAAACATCCTACAGACTGGGAGAAAATTATGGAAAACTGTGGATCTGGAAGGGCTTCTTATCTAACATATTCAAGAAACTAATGGTCCTAAGTGGACAAAAACCAATATACAATGCTTGTCACACCTAAGTGGACAAAAACCAATACTAAAAATGCCCAAAAGACTGGCATAGGCATTTCTGAAAAAACCTGAAACAGCCTCTCAGGTAACAGAAGTTTCTCCACATCAGAAGAGTTTCTCCCCAGAGAACGAGTATGACCAGAAACAGCAATAAAACTTTGGAAGATAAGGGCAGTGTAGATTTGCAGACAGAGGAACTATTACATACTACTGGTTTGAATGCAAATTTGTATACCCACTGGGAAACAGCTGGAGGTTTCTGAAACAATTAACAACACAACCACCAGTTCCTCTAGCCATCCCAACACTGGGTATACCTGCAAAGCCAAGGAAACCTACCTTAAGGAGGTATCTCCCTTCCCATGTTTCATGAAGTACTCTGGACAATAACCAAGGTGGGGAATCAACCTACTTGTCTTTCTACAGATGATAAAATCAGGAATTGAAGGATATATGCACAACGGTATACTCTTCGGCCATCAAACTTCCGGACATCAGTTCACTACCAGCAAGATGGAGAAACCTGGAGGGCATTAAGTTAAAAAACATGAGCCAGGCAGAGGAAGACAAACACAAATACTGTGCAATCTCATGCACGTGGAATCTAACAAAGTGAATCTCATACAGTAGCAATGTCAACAGTGGGTACCAGAGGCTCGGAGGAGGATTGGAAATGGCTACAAAGGGATGCTCAGATGAGGCACAGGTACTCTGGTGTTCTACAGCACAGCAGGGTGACTAGGCTTAACAATATCCTAGCATAATATTCAATATTGCTGGAAAGGATTTGGAATGCTCTCTCCATCAAGAAATCCTCACTGTAGCATGAAACAGATGCTAGGTCCTGTAGTTTCATTGATTCATGTAAAAAGGTCCATTGCACCCTTTAAATAAAAACATAGACCATGTCCTATTTTTGTTTTCCAAATAGGATCACAACACACTACTAAAAATCCCGTGGGACAATGAAATGCCCTGCATTCCCAAAGCAGTTTCTGCACATACAAAGTCAGTGGAGTGCCATCACACTCTTCCACTTTCAACTACTTCCCAAAGCTTTAGTTACCCAAGCGATTCGTGATAGGCATTAACAGAGAAACACAGGCCAACGAACACAATGAGGGTGTCCAGCAGCACACTCAAATGAAGGTCTCAGTTAATTTAGAAAGTTTATTTTGCCAAGGTTGAGAACACACTCGTGACACAGCCTCAGGGTCATGATGACATGTGCCCAAGGTGGTCAGGGCACAGCTTGGTTTTATACATTTCAGAGAAACATGAGACATCAATCAATATATCTAAGAAGTATATTGCTTTGGTCTAGAAAGGTGTGACAAGTTGAAGCTAACTCAGAAGACTGGAAGGAGGGAGGGAGCTTCCAGGTCACAGATCACTGATACACAAATGGTTACATTCTTTTGAGTTTCTGATTAGTCTCCAAAGGAGGCAATCAGGTATGCATCTATCTCAGGGAGCAGAGGGGTGACTTTGAATAGAATGGGAGGCAGGTTGGCCCTAAGCAGATTCCAGCCTGAGTTTTCCTTAGTGATTTTAGGGGCCCAAGATATTTTCCTTTCACATTTCCCCCCTTTTCTTTTTAAAAAATCTTTTGGAAAAAGCATTTTACAAGAAAATGAGTCTCTGGTCTCGGGTTTCATCTGATCTCTCATGGCTAGGAGGGTTTATTCCTAGAGAGGTAGGTCCCAAAAGCTCATTTTTAGCAGGTTGTGATGTCTCACATCCTTTGAAGTTAAAATAGGGGGGAGGAAGTGAGAAAAAACAACAACAAACAAAAGAACAATCCTGGAAAAATCAATGTAAGCCACATTACTCTGCAGTCCATGCCTCAGTAGGCAGGTATGAAAGTGGCTTAGGTATGTCAACAGGTTGCTGTTATTTTCTTCTGAAGTTTAATTTGTCTGGCTTCAGTTCACAGGGTTTTAAGAAAGCACAGCTTAGTTTTCAGTGACTCCAAGTTAGGAATAATTGAAAAAAAAATTGAAAACATTAAAGACTTGTAGCCAAGAAAAATTAGAATTTGGTCCCAACTGTAGAAAATAATAAAAATTGAAAAAAATATTAGGCAAGACTAGAATCTAAAAACAGGTCTACTGTGGTTTTGAAACATAATTTTTTCTCTCTCCAGTTTTCCATTTTTACTAAAGATAAATCATGTTAGAACTGATTTGCTTTAGTATTCTTGGTCTAATTATTTGCATACAGTGCAACAACAATAATTATTTTTTACACAGGCTTTTAAATTGGCTTTGATGGAACTTTGTTCCATAGGAGGAATCTTAGATAAGACTTTCTTAAGCCAGGCCCAGCCATGGATTTGTGCCATCAAATACCTATGATTTCAGTGAATTTCCTCTCCTCTTGAGGTTCCAAGATAAACCTGGGGCTTCTGCACCTGTCAGAAAGTGACATTCTTTATTTACCACAGGTCAAAACCCTGTACAGGGACTGTGTACACAAAATATGAGGCCAGTTTTTCCACGGGCTTTATTGGCTTCTATAAGTCAAGTTTGATTCCTTAAAGGAAAGCACACCATTTCAGTCAAACCCTTGATAAAATAACCAACTTCTCCAACTGTGTCCTATTGCAAAATAAAACAGATTCTTATTGCACTTATGCAAATAACTATATTGCCATAAATTAAGAATACCCCCAGTTTCCAAATTCTGGAGAAATTAGGTAGAGAAAAACAAATATGCTCCAAATTTTGTTCACAGGAATATACTTTATTGTTAAAAGCTGCAACTAACAAAGTTTTCTTAACTCTGAAAAACTAAACAAAGTATCAGCAATGTTTTAAGCAAGAAGTCAAAAAGATTACTTCAATTTTCTGTTGGTTCAGTTATTTCAATTAACTCCTGTTCCGTTTCATAGTCAGGAACATTTCAGCTCTCCATGAGAGAGTTCCGAAATTTTTTGCTTTATTCCAATGTAACAATTTCCAAAATTATCAGAAAACCTGAATTTAAGTGCACCTGTTAAGAGTCCTACAGCTGATTATAAACCCACCTTATAAAGAGGGTTTAAAACAAGACAAAACAAGACAAAACAAGATAACCGTCTGTGGATGAAAAAAAAGTAAAGGCAGCCATAGTTAAAAGATACAATTGACAAGTGAATGTGTTACCTCCGTGGCACACGATAATTTTAACATAGCAATTATGATTATTACGAATAATGTACACTAAGTTATATCAGAATTACAGGAGTTTCCCATCATTTTGGAACACATACCAATAACATATTTATACAAATGGATATGAAAGAAAGCCAAACACCATTTCTTATCTGACAGTACTTTCCTGTATAAATTTTATACCAGATAAGCCAAATTATGTCATTTTTAGACTTTAGAGAAACTAATGTTCTATTTAGGATGGAAAAAGACATAATATATAATTTGATTTTGGAAAGTTTGTCAAATATAAAATGTTTAAAACACTTGATATTAAAAAATAGGATTACAGGTCATTGTAAAGTCATTTATTTAACCAAAGTGATAATTCAAGGATTTTTTAAAAGTGAAAACCTTCATCCTTTGAGACAGGAGACTTAATTTTTTAAACAAGAAGCCCTAATAAAAACAGCATGAAGCCAATTACATTTGTTTTTTAAAATTTTCTAAATCTATAAAATGTAATCTTGATTATAAAATATAACTTCCATAAGCCTTTTATAACCTGTACTAAGGAGTTGGTAAATGCTTCAAGAAAACCTTGTTAATCTGACACAGGGGTCCATATACTGGTTTTGCATCATTGTGATTTTGACATTAATAATTAATGTATAGAGAAACTGAACCAACTTTATCTTTCAAAATCGGCCCTTACAATCTTATGCTCCCACCTCTTTCACAATAGTCTCTTGGTCTTGAGGAGTTCAATAGCTTTCATTTCCTGCCCTGTGTCTCAGGAATGCAGCAGTTTATTTAAATTGGCATCTTCTACTGGTCCTGAAGATGAGGCTTTAATTGCTGTGGGTATTTAAGATTTAGCAGGAATTGGTTTTCGTTTTTAGACATAGGAGTTAAAAAGCCCTGTAACTCAATGTTGCAAGGATTTTGAAAGCATATACAGGAAGATACATGGATGTAATAACTTCAATTTTAAAAAATCTCAGTTTTTTTCCTAAGTAAACCAAAACTTAATGTGACAACTTTATTATATAAAAGTTTTTGGATTTTTTAAATATATAAATCCTTATTGTAACTTACATTGTTCATGACATGGTCAGACTTTCTGATTTGTTCTGAACATCCTTTCTTTTTAAACAACCAGTTATTTTATTTTAGGACTAAACTTACTACACAGGATTCTTTCTTATATAATAGTATTTCTCTTTAAACTCTTTTTTACCTCAAAAACTACCTCTTTACAACTTTCTTTACATTTTTTTATTTCCTGGTTCCTTTTACTTTGTTTTATATATAACTTTAAATAAGCTTTGAATTAGACAAAACATGTTCTTTTTTTTTTTTTTTTAGAAAAAAAGACACTTTTTTGGCAAGAATGTTTTCCTACAATATATGTGTATTGGAAAATACCCAAATAATGAAATATCTATTATTTAACTTAACTTTATATTCTAAATTATGACCAGTTTGTCTACAAGTATTTATCCCATTACAATTACCTAATTATTTTAATTGTTTATCTAGATTATTTATGAAATCTGTGATAGTCATGATTTAAAGTTATGAAGCCGCCATTGCAAAATTATAACTGAGACAGTGAAAAAAAGATTTGACCTAACTGGCTCCATCTTGCTCATAACCTCCAAGCTGTCCTTGTTCATTCCTGGGCATAGGCTGAACTAACACTGAGAGGAACCTGGTTTATAGTTTAGATTTGAAACAAAGGCAGTAACAGTCCTTACCTTATTGTCTGTGGACTAGACTGCCAAATGCCGCAGGATTAGAAGTGCTAGTAATCTTACTAAATTCAACATGCAGCTGTTTTTATTAAACCCCATATCAATGTCTTACTTATTAAAAATTACACAAGTAAAGATCATTCCGTTTTGGGCTGGGTTTATACTTTTGAAACCCCAATGCCAAATTTTGACACCTTATAGTATTTGGCAGGAATATGTATGAAATTGGTTGATACTAAATGTAAACAAAAATGTATGCTGCCAATTTTTAAGACATTTCTAATATTTTTTTACCAATAATTTTAAAGATAGCTTATTTATTAAAGATTTTGCTTAAGTTACATAAAGTTGAAAAAGCATTTCACAAGTCTTTCTTAGTATTTAACTTAAGTGGTTTTATTTTTCTTTAAGCCGATTAGAGCTTTTATATATTTTTAGTAGTCCAACATTCTGTACACAATACATAAATACATCTAAAAATCTATCAGGCATATCTATGGAAGTACTGAAACCACTTTTGCAAAACTGCAACTAAGGAAATTATGACAGTGAAAGAAATCAGACCTAACCGACTCTATCTTGCTTCTAACCCTTAAGCTGTCCTTGTTCATTCCTTGGTGTAAGCTCAACTAACTTTGGGAAGGAATTTAGTTCACGGTTTGACTCTGAAAGCAAATTGATAACAACCCTTTCCTGAAAAGAACCCCTTCTTGCCTGGGGAGCAGTCTGCCTTTGCAGGACTAACATATTAGCTACGAGATTAGAATGTACAGTTTAGGGGTCATGCAGTCTCTGGCTTCGAAAGTCTGAACCTCCCCAAACTGCTCCTGCAGGTAACATCACATCACTACTGTAAAACCTAAGATCAGGGCTTGATACGTGTTGCAGACCCTGCCCAGGCCAGTAATCTGGCCCAACCGGTTGTGCCGTCATACCCATGAATAGAAGACAGAAAGATAACCTAACTTCAACCCCCTATGATTCTATCTCCAACCTGACTAATCAGCACTCCCCACTTCCCAAGCCCCTACCCACCAAATATCTTTAAAAACTCTGATCCCCGAATGCTCGGGGAGACCGATTTGAGTAAAAACTTTGGTCTGCCATGCAGCCGGCTCTGCGTGAATTACTCCTTCTCCACTGCACTTCCTCTACCTTGATAAATCGGTTCTGTCTAGGCAGCGGGCAAGGTGAACGCATTGGGCTGTCACGGTACATTTTATAGATTGAAGATCTCCCCCTTTTTTTCTCTCTCAGACTTTCAGATTCTTGGTAACTTGTTTCACAACCCTAGGCAGCTGTCAACTAAACAGCCTTAAATTTGAACGTTAAGGGAAACAATTCAGGTGAAAATCAAATAGCAAAATTTACTACATAAAGCACACAAGGAAAGAGTCTGGTGGTGCTAGAGGGAGACACTAATATTTTCTTCGAGCCAAATTAAACATTAAATTAAACTACAGTCTTCCTTAAAAACCCAAGAGTAGCCTCTGTTGCAATAACTACTTTAGTCAAGAAAAATCAAGTGAAAACAGAATTCAGTCAACTGAGAAAAAAAAGACAAAAAAAACATAAACACATTTGCTCAACAACAACAAAAAGACAAGGTCTTAGGAGAGTAAAACAAACAAAAAAACAAAAAACATGAAGGCCTTTCAAATACAAACATGCGCACACATGCACACACATCTGGATGTTACCCTTTTAATTAAGCTGACTTTTACACAATTGTGCTCCTTTAAACAAAACTCTTTTAATCTTATTACCATATTTCAGCGAGGACAAAATGCTGCTAAACTAACAATGGTCACACAAATTATATGATTTCTGAGCACTCTGACGTGTAAGCAGAAATTAACACCGGCTGGTTGTTAAATGTTAACTTTATTCTTTAAAAGGAATTTGCAAGACAGAATCCAAAACTAGTTTCTTACCTAGTGATGGATCTCAGGCTGCAAACTACTCTCTACTATCCTAGAAGCAGGAAAAACACACAAACAAACAAACACACAAAACAAATTTGCCTAATAGAAGAAGTGAGCTCAAACTCTATAAAGTAGTTACCTGCCTTCCAACATCATGGAGGTGTGAAAACTTGTCTTGTTGGACGCAAGTAAAACTCCAAAAAAAAAAAAAAAAGAGGAGTTGTACAGCAAAATAAACTTTAGATCTTGACCAAAGTTTTGGAGATGAAGGATTCTTTGGAGGGAGTGCTCTCAGATCTCAGCAAATTGTCCTATTGGTTTGGGTCATAAAGTGAGCTCACACTGGTCCCAAGCACTGACAGGAGATTTGCCAAAGGTCAGGGGCATCTCCACTCAGAATCCCTCGTGGTTACCAAAGGGGAACTCTGAAAATCTGAAACAGGTCTCAGTTAATTTAGAAAGTTTATTTTGCCAAGGTTGAGGACACACTCCTGACAAAGCCTCAGAAAGTCATGAAAACATGTGCCCAAGGTGGTCAGGGCACAGCTTGGTTTTATACATTTTAGCGAGACATGAGACAACAATCAATGTATGTTAAGAAGTACATAGGTTTGCTCTGGAAAGGTGGAACAACTTTAAGCAAAGGCAGGAAGACTGGAAGCAGGGAGGGAGCTTCAAGGTCATGGATAAGAGATACACAAATAATTACATTATTTAGAGGTTTTGGTTAGCTTCTCCAAAGGAGGCAATCAGATATGCATCTATCTCAGTGAGCAGAGGGGTGGCTTTTAACAGAATGGGAGACAGGTTGGCCCTAAGCAGTTTCCAGCCTGAGTTTTCCTTAGTGATTTTGGGGGACCAAGATACTTTCCTTTAACAACATACGAGTAAGCACATGTTTGAAAACAACCACAAAAGTCACCCTGGGAAGGGAGAGTCTGTCCAATACAGTGTTCAGGGAACTGGATATCCCTAAGCAAAATAACATAGGGTCCTTATTGTGCGAAATTCACAATTCATTCAACTGAAAGAAAGACCTATCCAAAACTGATAAAGTCACTCTCTAAGAAGAAAGCATATAGTGTGCAGATACCAGGGTCAACTTGGATCTATGCTCATGGTTTGCAAAAAGGAAAACAGAAAAAATAAAGAAGACAAAAAAGAATACAAACAAGCAACAACCAAAACTCACTGGCAACAGATTGATAAGCTGGTGAATTTCTTTAACTTCATCAGTCACCAAAGTAAGGGAAAACCAGAACACTGCACACACCTGAAACTGCATCAGACTACATGGCTTGTGGGCAAGAAAGAATGAAAAACATGAATGAAAAGAAAGAAACATACAAAGGATGATAAGAAGCATTTGGAGAAAAACACAGCTGATGAGGCATTTTTTTGGAAAAGGTGTAAGTAACTAACATTACTAACTAGCAAACAACACCAGAAAACAGAAATTAATTACCAAACCAAAACTGGATAAAAAAACCAAAGAGGCTTTTCTGCAAAAGACACATAAAACTGAAAATAAGTATGCTTGTTAACACCCGGTTAACACCACTAATCATGGCAAAAATGAAAATCAGAACAAGACTCAGATACTGTGCCTCTCTTGGTGGAACGATTATTACAAAGACCTTTGTGTATCTTAAAAGAAGCTGCTGTGAATTTCCAGAGAGGTTAGCTTTCTTATCCACAACTGTTAACAGGTAATTAGTATGCACACTACAGAAGCCACCTGGAGGTTCCTCAGAAAACTAAACTTACAACCACTGAGCTGTGCTGCTACTGGAATCATATGAAATCAGTACACAGAAGACGTATCTGCCTTCCCACGCTGACTGTGGAAACAGTCGCAATAGCCAAGATAAGCAATCAACCTACCTGTCCACCCACAGAGGATGAGATCCAGAAACTGCAGTATCCAGTCACAACCAGATACTCTTCAGCCAGACATGGGTACTGAAATCAGGTCATCCGTGGCAACACTGTGGAACCTGGAGAACATTATGGTAAACAAAACACACTAGGCAGAGAAAGACAAACCTCGCATCACTTCACTCATGAGGAATCTAGGAAACTTTATCTCACACAGACCTACAAAGCACCATCGTGCTTGCCAGGGTTGGAAAAGAAGGCTGGGCAAGGGTGGGCATAGGAAACAGGTACAAAGTGACACGTTGCATGAGAGGAATGAAACCTGCTGTTCTATTCCTCAGCAGGATGACTAGGGAAAATTTTACCAAAGGGTGGTCTTCAAGACAGCCAGAAAGGAGGGTTCTCGCTCTCCTCACTCAAAGACATGAAAACTCTACCAGGCATAAAAGGATGCTAAATACCCTGATTTCACCCCTATACGATGCATGCATGGACCCAAATGTCCCACTCGACCCTCTAGTTGTACATATTTAGGACAGGGCCAATTTTGTTTCCTAAAAACAACATAAACAAACAATGCTAAAATTCCCATGGGACCACAAAATGCCCTGAAACTCCAAAGCCATGCTGAAACACCAAACGTCAGATGGACAAAAGGCTCACTATGCAGTGAAGGGCACTGGGCTAGGTGGCTAGACACATGCAGATGGACAACACTGGAGCCTTAACTCTCGTCAGATACAAAAACTAACCCAAGGTGAATGAAAGATTTCAGCAGAATACCTCAAACTATAAAAGTCCTACAAGGAAACCTAGGACATATCTTTCTCAGTACGGGCTTTGGAAAAGCATTTAAACAAAAAGCAACAGTAAGAAAAACCAAAAGGACAAGCTGGGCCTAAGAAACTATAACACTGCCAGATAGCAAAATAAATCACTGGCACAGTAAACACACAGGCTACAGGATGGGAGAAAATGTTCCCAAACTATGCTTCTCACCAAGGTCTGATAGCCAGACTCTAATATGACCTTAAAAAAATCAAGAGGCAGAAAAACAAACCATTCAAACAATGGGTAGAGAACATGAACAAACACCTCAACATCCCTCATCATCAGAGAAATGCAACTCTCATGAACACTGAGATACCATCTCACATCGGTCAGAATGGCCATTTGTCCTAAGTCCAAGCATTAACATGGTGGCAAGGCAATGGAGGAAAGCAAACACTGCTACACTCTTGGTGGGAATAAAAACTAGCTCTCACACTATGAGAAGTGGTTTGGAGGTTCCTCAAAGAACTTAACAACTACCATCCAAATGAGCAATCACATAACTGGGTATCTACACAAAGGAAAATAAATCATAAATCTTCCTTTCAAAATGACACAGGCATGGGTATGTTCTTGGAAGTGCTATTCACATGGAAATATAAAATAACATCGACCTATGTCCCCCCTTAACAGTTGATTACATGCTTTAAAAGTGCTATACATAGATACCACAACATCCTACACAGCTTAAAAAAAATTCATGCTCTTGACAGCAACAAGGATGGACCTGCAGGTCACTATGCTAAGCAAACTAACACAATCTAACAGAAAACAAAATACCACATGCTCTCACTTACAGGGAAAATACCTGTAGACAATACAATGACTTTGTGATCTCTTTTTTCTCTCTCTGATTGGACACAGAAATCCCTGCTGACAAAAGCAAATAAAAAACTGTGAGACCAACACTTTAGAGCTTCTGCATGGGGGAGAAAACAATGAACCCAAAGAGAAAGCATCTTACCTTGGCGGAAAGGATGATTGGGTTAAAATTGTGGAGAATCGTGATTTTGGAAGGGGTTGTTATCTAACATATGCAAGCACTAAAGCTACTAAGTGGGGAAAAGATTAAAAAAATACACAAGCTAAAAATATGCAAAGGACCTGCACAATCACTTCTGCAAAGGACATGAAACTGATTCACAGGTGAAAAAAAAAGATGCTCCACATCACTAATCACTCCAAACATGTAAGTCAGAATCACACTCCAATATCAGATACCATCAAACTCCACTGAGAATATTACCAAAAACAGGAATAACATTTTTGGAAGGTAGCAGCCAGTGTAGACTTACAGAAAGGGAAACTCTTATACGCTATTGATGCCAATGTGAATTAGTGAATACACTGTGAAAAAGTTGGGATGTTCCTCACACTGCGTATGCATTTAAAGCAAAGGAAACCGGTACCTTAAGGAGTTACCTGCCTTCCCATGTTTCATGACAGTATTCGCAATATAGAAGATATGGAATCAACCTACCTGTCCATCCATAGATGAAGGGATGAAGAAACTGCAGTATATCTGCACAACACAATACTCTTCATCCATAATTAATGTAATTTTCATTTGGAGCCATATGGATGAACCTGGAAAATATGTTAAATAAAATAAGCCAAGCATAGAAAAATAACCACAGATTCATCTCACTTATATGGAATCCAGAAAACTTTGCCTTGGATAAGTAGTGGTTTTCTGAGGAGAGGGGAAGGAGGGAATGGGAGGATTGGTTGTGGAAACAAAGTTGCAGTTAGTTGGGACAGATACATTCTTGTGCTCTATACCACAGCTCCGTGATTCTGGTTAATACTATATTTTTCAAAAAAGCCACAGGGAGCAATTCCAATGTTTTCACAAAAGAATAATACCTGTATGAGAGAACAGATATGCCAAGTACCCTGATTTGATCATTACTAAAAATATACATGAATCAAAATGTGCCAGAGGAAAAACAGTCCCAGCAGACTCTCTAATTATATACTTTACTATGCACAGAAATTTAAGAAACGTGAACACACAATGCTGATGATCACATGGAACCACAAATGGCCCTGAATGTCTAAGGAATCCTGAGAAATAGAAACTAAGTTGGAGGACTCACAATCCCTGATATGCCGCTGTGCTCCAGCCTGGGTGAGAGAATGAAACTCTGTCTCAAAAAAATTGTTAGAAAATTTGAAGGAAACATAGAAGTGATAACTACAAGGACTCTGTCACTCAGGCTGGAATGCAGTGGCATGATCATGGCTCACTGCAGCCTTGACCTCTCTGGCACAACTGATCCTCCCACTTCTGCCTCCTGAATAGCTGGAACTACAGGCACACACCACCACGCCTGGCTAATTTCTTTGTATTTTTTGTAGAGATGAACTTTTGCCATGTTGCCTAGGCTGGTCTCAAATTCTTTGGCTCAAGTGATCTGCCCACCTTGGCCTTGCAAAGTGCTTGGATTACAGGCACCAGCCATTATGCCTGGCCATAAGAAAACATGCATGGCTACATCAAAGTGAAAAGTTTTTGCAAGGAAAAGGAAACAATGAACCCAAAAAGAAAGGCTGGGAGAATGTTTTGAGGAATCACGAATCAGCTAAGGGGTTGTTATGGAAAATATACAACACATTAACAGTACTAAGTAGCAACAAAAAAACCAATGATCCATCCAAAAATGAGCAGGGACCCTGAATAGACATTTCTGCAAAGAGGACAGTAAACCACACTCAAGGTCCCTTCCCCCAGTCAGGTGGCCATGACTAGAGGGACAGAGTTAGGCAGGCACTGCAGGGAGTGGAGAAATGTGACACCTACGTCCTGATAGCAGGGATACAGATTTAAAAATTCACCAGACCGGGTGCAGTAGTTAATGCCTGTAATCCCAGCACTTTGGGAAGTTGAGGCGCGAGGACTGCTTTGAGCTCAGAAGTTTGAGACAAGCCCAAGCAACATGGCGAAACCCTGTTGCTACCAAAAATACAAAAAAAAAAAATAGCTGGGCATGGTGGCATAGGCCAAAATACTGTTGAGGCTGAGGCTGGAGAATCCCTTGGGCCCAGAAAATGGAGGTTGCAGTGAGCTGAGATCCACCACTGCACTCCAGCCCGGGCAACAGAGCAAGACTGTATCTCCAAAAAAAAAATAAAAATAAAAACAATTAAAAAATCAGCAAACCCTGGAGGTTAAGTTGGATCCTTTCCTTCCATCTGAGGCTTGAAAGCAAGGCAGCCAAACTGGGGCCTGGCCCCAAAACCCCACCTGGGCCAGGCTTCCCCTTCCTCCCACAGCCAGAGCTTTCCTCTCCACCTACATGGGGAGTCTCCCTCAGAAACAGCCCTAAAGCCTCCCACACATTCCAAACTCAAAAGCCCTCAGGGAATGAGTACTACTGTAAAATTAATGGCAAGATATCAAGAGAGAAAAAAGGAGTGAGAATCTAGCAGAAATACACAGAACATTCCACAAAACGAAAGCTTCTGTACTCACCATGAAAGAAAAACGCCCCAAAGAAGCTGGGCCACGGAGAAGCCACGCCGAAGCACTGTCCTCAGCAGTTAGCACCATGGACAGGAGGTGTTTCTTCCCCAGGATGCGCCCTCAAGTTATCCCAAAGCTGCTGCAGCACCTGGTGGCTCCTGATAATTCTAAAATTCATATGGGAAAAAAAAAACGAGCCCACATAGCCAAAGCAAGACTAAGCAGAAAGAACAAATCTGGAGGCATTACATTACCTGACTTCAATCTATACTACAAACCCATAGTCAGCAAAACAGCATAATACTGGTATAAAAATAAGCACATAGACCAATGAAACATAATAGAGAACCCAGAAGTAAACTCAAATACTTACAGCCAACTGGTCTTTGACAAAGCAAACAATATAAAGTGGGGAAAGAACACCCTACTCAACATATGGTGCTTGGATAATTGGCAAGCTATATCCCAAGAAATGAAACTGAATTCCCATCTCTTACCTTATACAAAAGTCAACTTAAATCTGAGACCTGCAACCATAAAAATTCTAGAAGGTAACATTGGAAAACCCCTTCTACACATTGGCTTAGGCAGAGACTTCATGACCAAGAACCCAAAAGCAAGTGCAACAACAACAAAATGAAGATTAAAAGGTGAGACTTAATCAAGCCAAAACGTTTTGGCACAGCAAAAGAAACAATAAGCAGAGTAAACAGACAACCCATGGAATGGGAGAAAATCTTCACAATCTATACGTCTGAGAAAGGACTAATAACCAGAATCTACAAGGTACTCAAATTAACAGGAAAAAAACCAATCCCTTCAAATAATGGGCTAAGGACTTGAATAGACAATTCTCAAAAGGAGATATAAAAAATGGCCAACAAACATGAAAAAATGCTCATCATCACTAAAGATCAGGGAAATGCAAATCAAAACCACAATGTCAGGCTGGGAGCGGTGGCTCACACCTGAAATCCCAGCACTTTGGGAGGCTGAGGCGGGTAGATCACTAGGTCAAGAGATCAAGACCACCCTGGCCAACATGGTGAAACTCCATCTGTCCTAAAAATACAAAAATTAGCCGGGAGTGGTGGTGGGCACCTGTAGTCCCAGCTACTCGGGAGGCTGAGGCAGGAGAATCCCTTGAACCCAGAAGGTGGAAGTTGCAGTGAGCCAAGGTTACACCACTGCACTCCAGCCTGGTGACAGAGCGGACTCCATCTCAAAAAAAAAAAACCAAAAACTCACAATGCTATGCCAGCTTACTCTGGCAAGAATGACCATAATCAAAACAGCAAAAAATAAAAAATATTGGGGGGCATTTGGTGAAAAGGGAACACTTTTATACTGCTAGTGGTAATGTAAACTAGTACAACCACTATAGTAAACAGTGTGGAGATTTCTTAAAGAACTAAAAGTAGAACTACCATTTAATCCAGCAATTCCATTACTGGGTATCTACCCAGAGGGGAAAAGAAGTCACTATATAAAAAAGATGCTTGCACACACAAGTTTATAACAGCACAATTCACAATAGCAGAAATATGTAACCAGCCCAAATGCCCATCAATGAGTAGATTAAGAAATTGTGATATACATCATGGAATACTATTCAGCCATAAAAAGGAAAAAATATAATGGCATTCACAGCAACCTGGATGGGATCAGAGACTTTCTTTTCGTTTTTCTTTTTTTTTTTTTTTTTTAGACAGAGTCTCTCTGTCACCCACGCTGGAGTGCAGTGGCACGATCTCAGCTCACTGCAACCTCTGCCTCTCGGGTTCATGCCATTCTCCTGCCTTAGCCTCCCAAGTAGGTGGGACTACAGATGCCCGCCACCACGCCCAGCTAATTTTTTGTATTTTTAGTAGAGACGGGGTTTCACCATGTTAGCCAGGATGGTCTCGATCTCCTGACCTCGTGATCCACCTGCCTCAGCCTCCCAAAGTGCTGTGATTACACGCGTGAGCCACCGCGCCCAGCCGATCAGAGACTATCATTCTAAGTGAAGTAACATTAAGAATGGAAAAGCACACATCGGATGCTCTCGCTAATAAGAGGTAGCTAAGCTGTGAGGATGCAAAGGCATTAGAATACAACGGACTTTGGGACTTGGGAGAAAAGGTGGGAGGGGGTGAGGAATTAAAGACTACAAATTGTATACAGTGTATACTGCACAGGTGTTGGGTCCACCAAAATCTCATGAATCACCTCTAAAGAACTTACTCACATAATCAAACACCACCTGTTCCCCAAAACCCTATGGAAATACAAGAACTTTTTGTTTATGCATACCACATATTTTTAAACATTTTTCACAGGTTCATTGAGATATAATTTATGTATTATTTAATTCACTCAATTAAAGTATAAAATTCAGGTTTTTTTAGTGTATTAACTGGGTGCATAAACAATCACAATATAATTTTAGAACACTTTTATGCTCCTTATAAGAAACCTTGCACCCATTAGCAATCTTTTCCCATTTTCCCCACTCTTCCTTTAAAACCCTCCCAGCCCTAGGCAATCATCCATCTACTTCCTAAGGATTTGCCAATTCTGGAAGGATTTGCCTATTCTGGACATTTCATGTAAGTGGAATCATAATAATATATAGTTATGTGTGACTCACTACTTTCACTTATCATTTTTTCAATGTTCATCCTTTTTGGAGCATCTATTAATACCGTTTTCTTTTTCATTGCCAAATAATATTTTATTTTATGGACAGATCACATTTTATTAATCCACTCCTCAACTGATGGACATTTCTGTTGTTTCCTACTTTTTGTTGCCATAAACAGTTGTATGCTACTTTTTGTGTAAGGCATTTGTTTTAATTCCTTTTTGCTGTATACATAGGAGTTAATTTACTGAGTCGTGATAATTCTATACTTAACCTTTTGAAGAACAGTTTCATTTTTCTGCACGTGGCTTGCCAATTATGCCAGCACCAAATAGGGCATCTTTTCCCACTTTATGTTTTGTTTGCTTTGTCAAAGATTAGGTATAGTCTGATGCCTCCAGGTTTGTTCTTTTTGCTCAAGATTGCTTTGGTTTTTCAGGGTCTTTTGTGGTTCCATTCAGATTTTAGGACTAATTTTTCTATTTCTGTGAAAAATGACATTGGAGTTTGATAGTGGTTGCATTTAATCTGTAGACTGCTTTCGGTAGCATTGCAATTTTGACAATATTAATTTTTTCAATTTATAAATATAGGATGTTTATGTCACTTTCAATTTCTTTCATCAATGTGCTATAATTTTCAGTATACACATCATTCACATCCTTCATTAAAATTACTCCTTGGTCTTTTATTTATTTATATATTTGTTTTGATGCTATTATAAACGGAATTACTTTATTAATTTATTTTTCAGATAATAGTTTATCATCGGTGTATAAAAACAAGAATACTATTTGTATGTTAATTTTGTAACTCTCAACTTTGTTGAATATAGTGTTTATCAGCTTTAATGGGTTTTTTTGGTGGAGTCTAAGATTTTCCCTATGTTAAAAGATTACATTTTCAGAAAACAGAGACAATCTCACCCCTTCCTTTCCTATTTAGATGCTTTTCCTTTCTTTGCCTTGTATAATTACTCTGGCTAGTCAATTACATATAACGTTTTCAGCATTTGCAATTTGACATCAAATCTATCTGTTGTAATACACTGATTGTTACTTTTCAACTCGAAAACCTGGACATTTATCACTACTCTCCCTTTCTCTTGATCTAGTTCTTATAAAAAAAACTATCAATGTAAACCAGGATAGATATTTTTCTGTAAAACAACTTCAACAGCACTAAAAAATTTTAGTCTAACAATTTTTAAACTTTCTATGTCAATGATATTAAACTGTGGTCTCTCAAAACAAATCCAATACCTTTAGTAGGAAAAATTATGTTAATTCCTACACTATCATTGGGTCCAGCCAAGAGTTGACCAAAGATGATATTAATAGATATGCTTATTTATTACCTTGTTCTCACAGTTCCAGTGTAAGTCTTGAAAATCTAATAAAAATTTGTAAAGACTATAATTGCACAAACTCCCTCTCTCATGAGTCACACAGTTAATCCAGAATATTATTTCTAAGTTATTATAAAACCAACAAGGAAATATGATGTAGTGTATAAAAAGAATAATCCCAATTTGATAAGTATATTCTATAAGTGAGACATGTAATTGATACTATTTACTAAATATCTCAATTACATTTATTTACATAGAAATGAAAGAATCAAAAGCATTATCTATTATTCAATATTTAAATGACTAAAAATACTTGAAATAGCATTGCTACATAAATGCTATGTAAATGCTGACAAAAGGAAAAATGTCATTCCCTGCATTTGCTGAATAAATTGTGACACATTAGAAGTAGTTTTAAAATATATCACTAATGGTTGGGTCAAGTCAGCAAAAACTATTCTAAGTACTTAATTGTGGAAAAATTTAGTACAGGGGATAGTATTCATGTGACGGAAGGATTTTAAATGGAACCCAGAGATTAGCAGCAGCAGGAAGTTTTAATTACATACCAGGTGCAGAGTTTAGGATTCAAGACGGAACCGTAGATAAAGTCTGACTCTTTCCAGCATAGCTAGGAGACATGGCTAACTCCACCTGTCTGGAGGCCTTACCTAGAAATCTAACGGCTCCAAACCAGATAAACAGAACTATTTTCCAAAGTCAATCAATTCATGACATTAAAGCACTTCTGAACTTTGACTTAAATTACACCAAATGGATAAATTTTGAAGATATTTTTATTTTACCAATGATTTTAACACTGTCTTTACTTCCCCAAGATTACTGAACTCACATGAAATAAAAGGCATTAGAGCTTCTGTTTTTCTGACAAAATATTTAAGAGCTTTCATTTTCTTTTAAGCCGAGCCACTAGAGCTCCTTTATATATACATCACATACACAACACTTCTAGACAGAAAAAGATCTAGCAGCTGTTAAGATTTTCTTTCCCATTTCATGAACCATAACACAACTTCCACAGAGCATCTATGACATGATTAAACTTTCTGACCTGTCCTGTATTTTCCTCTTTCGTAATTAGTCATTCTACTTTAGGACAACAATTTGCCATATAAGATCCTCTCTCATACAACATTTCTTTCCTTCATAACTTTTCTTACCATCAATACATCTTCACATCTACAACTTTCTTTAGATCTCTCTCCCCTACTAATTTCTGATGTCCACCTAAACCAAAAAGGTCAGATAACGCAAGGCAAAACAGAGGAGAGCCTTAGGTTTTGAGAAGGACCTGTCTGCTTAAAGTTCTTGGGGTTCCATGAGGAAAACAGAGTTTCTCCTAAAATGGGGTTTGTCGAACCTTCTATTTTTCCTTAAGGAGTCCCAGGCTGTCAGAAATTACCTTAGATCCTCTCACGTGAGCATCAAGAGTGGCAACAAGACAGACAAGGGAAATAATTCGGACAACTGAGCAGAAAAAGAAAAACTTACTACTGTCCCCACCATAAAGATGGATAAACTGAGGCACCATGCAGTTTAAAAATTCATGTTCACATAGAGTTAGGCTCCACAGCTCACTCTCTTACCATCCTGCAATTTTTCCAACTCTATGCCCAGTCACTGATGCCCCTGTATGGTAGCTCATGGTCCCCTAGGAACTTAGAACCTGAGTTTCATTCCTGCTCTACAGCTATATAATTTTACAATTTTCTTCTGAATTTGTTGGATTCTAACCCTGTGTATCTCAAATTTTATTAATATTACTGAACCTTAAAGGGGGCTGTGATGACTTTTGTCTTCAGAAATATTAAACCTACAAACAAGGACTATATGAGGTTAAACAGTATTCAAATTCCTATATGCTTTAAAACATGGATGCAATTTATTGAGAAACACACCTATGAAACTGCACCCAATCAACTCTGGACAAACATTTAGATATTATCTCTTCAATATAAGCTATCTAGTGGTAATTAGACATATTCTTCCATATATCAACAGTATCTTACATGCTCATAACCTTAAACATAACTGAAAAGTGTCCAAATTACAGGCCTTACACATTACTGTGGGCTTGAAAAATAATATAGATTGTCTTTAAAGCAGGCAAGAAAACGTATAAACTTCCAGAAGAATGAGTAAAAATAAAAATAAAAAAACGGTTCACACCAAAGGTAGTAATACTAGGAATAAAAGAGGGCTCAACACTGCAGGTTCTTAGAGGCAAAAGTTAATAAAGCCTTGTTTTTGGTTGTGACTCTTTGCCTTAAAACATTATACACGGCCAGGCATGGTTGCTCACGCCTGTAATTCCAGCACTTTGGGAGGCCAAGGCAGGTGGATCACCTGAGGTCAGGTGTTCTAGACCAGCCTGACCAACATGGTGAAACCCCGTCTCTACTAAACATACAACAATTAGCCGGGCATGGTGGCAGGTACCTGTAATCCCAGCTACTCGGGGGTCCAAGGCAGGAGAACTGCTTGAGCCCAGGAGGTGCGGGTTGCAGTGAGCCAAGATCGCACCATTGTACTCCAGCCTGGGGGCAAGAGCTAGACTTCATCTCAAAAAAAAAAAAAGAAAAAAGTTACACACAACTCTCCCCACTTCCTTTTTTCTTACAAAGAGGTGGTGATGAACCAGGTTTGCTCATGCAGGTGACAATACTCTTGAAAATGGTGGCAGAGAGCCAGCGTGGTGGCTCACACCTGTAATCCCAGCACTTTGGGAGGCTGAGGCAGGTGGATCACCAGAGGTCAGGAGTTCAAGACCAGCCTGACCAACATGGAGAAACCCCATCTCTACCAAAAATACAAAATTAGCTGGGCATGGTGGCACATGCCTGTAATCCCAGCTACTAGGGAGGCTGAGGCGGGAGAATCACTTGAACCCAGGAGGCAGAGGTTGCGGTGAGCCGAGATCGCCCCATCACACTCCAGCCTGGGCAACAAGAGTGAAACTCTGTCTCAAAAAAAAAAAAAGAATGAATGAATGAAAAAAAGAAAATGGTGGCAGACAAATAAAATGAAGAGAATACAGTTCACTTAATAATCTCATAAACTGGAACTTATTACCCCGGTGACTCTTGCATAGCTCCAGATAAATATGTGACAGAAATGAAATGACTGTTTGCTACCGATATTTTATGTGATGCTTCATTTTTGATTCCTTGAGTAACTACTTACAACGCATTAGCCCACTTATGCAAGAGGCTGCAATTTTTTGAATTTTTGCATGAGTGAAAAATCAGACCTTGTCAATGACCTTGGGCAGTAGGATGTAAGTTAATTCCTCATGCTCAGTATTCCAATAATGGAACACTAGGCATAAGTGGGTTAACACGATCATGAAAGCATACCTATTCAAGTGACTAATACAACTGATTTTTTTTCTCATCTCTAAAACACAGTAAGGGACCATTTATTTTAAAAATACAACACAGGGACCAGTAGTTTCTTTTTAACTCACTTTCGGTTTGTTGTTTGTTAAGGCCATTGCTTGGCATAAAGAAAATTTAAAAAGGAGGATAAACCACAATAGAAACATGAAATAGAAGCAGCAGCAAAAGAAAATAAAGAGAAACAAGAAGATGAGAAGAAGACAATACAGACTAGAAGAAAGAAAAAAGAACAGGTGTGGGAAGTAGAAGGCCTATTATGATACCTTTTATCCCCTCCCCAATTCATGAAATTTGAAAAAGTCAGAGACTATCACAACAAAAAAGAAACAAGATACACAAATAGTCACCCCCTAAGTTTTGTTAAGAATAAGACAATCCTGCCCCTCATGCCTGGCTCAGTCACCAGCAGGAGGAGGGCACCCTCCACAGATTGCAGGAGAAGGGGAAGGACTCCTCCTTTCCCTAGGTGCACCTCCACTGCTGCCACCAAGGCCTGGTACAGTACCCGCAGGTTCCTCCCCATCCCCAGGTCGGGCTGGGCCCTGCAGCGCTCCTACTCCCCCTTCCCAGCCCCCAGACTTAATGCTGATACCACCACTAGCACCGATGCCAATACAACCGTGTCGCCCTCAATGCAGCAGCCCACCCTACAAGGCTCCTACCACCTTGCCCCCGCGGGCACCCTCCTACCACTCCAGTCGAGCTGCAGTCTCCGTCGCTGCCACCAATCTCGTGAGACCAGCTGCAGAGCCATATGCAGGCTCCAGTTTACCACAGGTGACTCTTCCTTGTCCTCCTCCTCCATCCTGGCTTGGAGCAGCTGGGAGGGCAAAGCCAGAAAAGCCTAGAATGGGATGCAGAGAGTGGTAGCCTTAGAGCCTCACCTTGTCACGCTGGCCACTGGGTGGCAAGGACCAGTTTCAGGAAAGGCACTCACACCCACCCTCCAAAGTCCAGCTTCTCCTTCTGGCAAAGCTGGCCAAGAACTGGGGCCTGAGGTGGGTGTGAGTGCCTTCGCTGAAAGTGCCCCTGTTCAGGTGCAGCTGGCCAGAAATTGCTGGGCCCACCAGGGCTGCACTCCTCCAGGAGCAGGACTAGGAAAAACTCAGACCTAGGCAGCCCTCCCCACCCAAGTGCTGGTTCCTGTTCCTGACGCCTCCACCTACAGTGCCCTGGCCCCACAGTCCCCCATGATTCCCACTAATCCCTGCCCGGTAGTCCCAGGTGGTCTCCCCAACAGGCAGCATGAGGCACAGGCTGGGGAACCACGGGGGGTGTGGGGGCCCTGCTGTGCTCACAATTGCATGAGCAGGAGAAGATTACCCTCTAGAGTCTGGAATCTGGGAAAAGAAGAATGGTCACTGGAAGGAGAAAGGAGGCCACCACTGTTGCTGTTGCTGCCACCTCTGCAGCCCAACAATGCCACGCAGTGTAGCCCCTGACAGCACCCCTAACCTGCCTGCCCCTTGCCATCAGCAGTGTAGCCCCGGGATAGCACACCCAACACATCCCGTGCCAGTTGCAGGCATATAACCCCAGTACCCCCCCAAGCCACCACCCCCAACAGGCAGTGTAGCACATTACAGGGCCCACAACCCGACCCAGCCAAGGGGGTTGCTGCACTAGTCAGTGCCCCAAACCCGCCCCCCCCAACCCCACCACGGGCAGTGCAACTCCTGATAGTGCACCCCAAGTAAGTGAAGTGCAGCACTCCATAACACCCCTAAACCACCGCCCACTGCCAGCATTATAGCTCCAGATAACCACCCAACCCACCCCCTGCCGCAGGCAGTGGAGCAGAATATAGTGCCCCTAACCCATCACCCACAACCAGCAGTACACATTAGTGCACACAATCTGCCTCCCTCCACCACCCCCGCCACCGCAGGCAGTGTAGCCAGTGATAGCCAGCCAACCCCCCCCCCAACCGCCAGCAATACCCCAGAGAGTGCCCCGAACCAGCTGCCTGCCACAGGGAGTGCAGCCTTGGGCAGTGAGCCCCAAAAGGACACCCAACCCCTGCCCCCAGAGGTGGGCAGTGCAGCCCCAGAAAACTCACCTACCCAACGGCACGTCTACCACTCTGGAAGACCTGCAGTGTCCGACATCACCACCAACCGCAGCGAGGCGAGCTGCGGTGGCGCAAGCTCCAGCCTCCAGCATGCGTCCGTGCCTCTCCCTTCTACTCTTCCTCCTGCCCGGCAGGAAAAGCTCCCACTGCAGGCCACCCTTCGACCGCTCCATCCCCACCACCAACCGGAGACAGCCAGTGCCCTGGCTCCAGCTGGCAGCAGATGGCGGTCCCCTCTCCTAGTTCTCTAAGCGAAGAGCAGCACACCACCACTGAAGAACCTGAAATGACCTGAGGTTGCCCTCACCGTGCTTTATATACTGAGGTTACGCACATGCGTTCTTGGACTACATGTTCTGATTGGATGAGAGAAAAACCTCTAGGCCTACTCTGATTGGGCTTTATTTTCATGCTGTGATTTGTTGTCTTAAGACTTGCTCTCATCCAATCAGAACATGATAATAAAGTCCAATCCCAGTAACCCTGGAGGGTTTTTCTCATCCAATCAGAACATGCAGTCTAGGAACCTTCATCTATATATAACCTCAGTATATGAATGATCCTGAAGGGAAGGCTGCCCCTTTAAGGTTCCGGTATCTTCCTGTAGAGCTGCTCAGGGCCCAGCTTAGAGGACCGGGAATGGGTAATCACAGGCCGTACGCTGGAGGCTGGATCCGCGGTAGGACAGCTCGCCTCGCTGCGGTTTGTGGTGACGGCAACGGAGAAAGCAGTGTGGTGCAAGAGGTAGGAGGAGGAAAATAGTTTTGGGATAGATGGAGGGAGGTAAAGAGGGTGGTTAGTGACAAAGGGAAAAGAGAATAGCGAGCAGGAGAAGGTGTTGCAAAAAGACAGTGGGGAAAAGATGGTGGGAAAAAAGTTTTTGGGTAAATGGAGGGGGAGAAACAGGGTGGGGAGCGGGAGGGAGGGAAGGTTTTGCAGAAAGACAGTGGGTAAAAAGTTTATGGGTAGATGGAGGAGAAGAGGGTGGCAAGGGGGAGGAGGAAAGAGGGTGGGAGGGAAATGGGGGCAAGCAGTAGGGAGAGAAGGTTTTGTGAAAAGACAGTGGGGAGAAAAGTTTTTGGGTAGATAGAGGGGGAAAAGAGGGTAACAAGTGGGGGAAGGGAAAAGGGTGGCCAGCGGGAGGAAGACAGGGTTTTGCAAAAACACAGCAGGCAGAAAAGAAAGACGGGGCGGGGAAGAAAAGATGATGGGTAAAATGTGTTTGGGTAGATGCACGGGGGAAAGAGGGTGACCAGGAGGAGGAGAAAAGAGGGTGGCGAGAGGGAGCAGGGAAAGAGGGTTGGGGAAAAAATGGAAAAATAGTTTGGGGTAGATGGAGGGCAAAACAGAGTGGAAAGCAGGATAGGGCAAAGAGGATGAGTGGGAAGGGGGAAATACTGAAAAGACGGTGGGGAGAACTTTGAGGGATAGATGGAGGGGGAAAAGAAGGAGGTGAGCAGGAGTGGGGAGAAGGCTTTCCGAAAAGGCTATGGGGAAATGTTTTTGGGTAGATGGAGAAGGGAGAGGGTGGCAAGGAGGAGCAGGGGAAAGACGATGAGGAAAACAGTTTTTGGGTAGATGAAGGGGGAAAAGAGGTTGGTGAGCGGCAGGAGTGAGGAGAAGGTTTTGGGAAAAGAGGGGGGAAAATATTTTTGCTTAGATGAAGGAGCAAAAGATGGTGATGAGAGTGGGACGGGGAAAAAGAAGGTGGCCAGGGAGAAGGGGAAAAGACGGTGGGAGAAAACAGTGGGGAAAGTGTTTGGGTAGATAGATGGGGAAAAGGGTGGTGAGCGGGAGAGTAGAGAAGGCTTTGCGAAATGACGGTGGGGGAAAAATGGTGGGGAAAAAGTTTTGGGGTAGATGGAGGAAGAAAATGGGTGGCGAGGGGGAGGAGGCCAAAGGCGGTCGGGAAAAGAAGGTGGAGAAATAATGGTGAGAGACAAAGGTTTTGGGTAGATTTTTTAAAATCAGATTATTTGTATTTTTGCTTTTGAGTAGTTTGAGTTCTTTATATATTTTGTGTATTAACCCCTTGGCTGATGCATAGTTTGCAAATATTTTGTTCCATTCTCTGGGTTGTTTCTTCATTCTACTGATTGCTTCCTCTGCTTTGCAGAAGGTTTTAAGTTTAATGTAATTACATCTTTGCCTTTGTTGCTTATACTTTTGACAAGTTTAATGTAATTACATCTTTGCTTTTGTTGTTTGTGCTTTTGATGTCTATTTGTGCTCAAGATTTCTATACATTATGTTCATTGTCTGCTTTATCAGTAAAAGTATAGTAGAGACTGGGTTTCACCATGTTTGCCAGGCTGGTCTCGAACTCCTGACCTCAGGTGATCTGCCCTCCTCAGCCTAACAAAGTGCTGGGATTACAGGTGTGAGCCACCGTGCCCAGCAGTCATCTTCTTTCTTAGATGGAGTCTTGTGTGAAACACACCACAGAAGTTATGTTCACTTACAGCTGGGGGAGACTGACCACCTTGTGTGACAAGGTTGGAACCCAACTGCCACACTTCCCTGTGTGTCTCCACATGTCCTCAGGCCTGCTGGGGGCTCCCTTTTCCTGGTCTTTCATGCAGAGGAAAGACGTAGTGTGTGTTGAGAGCCAGCCTGGTGGTGGGATGTAGTGACTGCCCAGCCAGTGGAAGCTGCTGCTCTTGCCTCTTTGGACCGTCCCTCCCCTGTCCAGGACCTCACTTCATCTAAACACCTCAGGTCAAGCCCAGCAGGAAAATGAGATTCTCTTTTCCTTTCTTTTTTTCTTTTTTCTTTTTTCTTTCTTTTTTTTTTTTTCTCATGTAGAGTCTCATTCTGTTGTCCAGGCTGGAGTGCAGTGGCGAGATCTCGGCTCATCGCAACCCCTGCCTCCTGGGTTCAAGGGATTATTCTGCCTCAGCCTCCCAGGGAGCTGGGATTACAGGCACCTGCCACCATGTCTGGCTAATTTTTGTATTTTTAGTAGAGACAGGGTTTCACCATGTTGGCCAGGCTCGTCTCGAACTCTTGGCCTCAAGAGATCTGCCCACCTCGGCCTCCCAAAGTGCTGGGATTATAGACATGAGCTATCAAGCCCAGCCTAGAACTTCCCTTTTCTTTTCTTTTTTTTTTTTTTTTGTTTGACACAGAGTCTTGTTCTGTCGCCCAGGCTGCAGTGCAGTGGCGTGATCTCAGCTCACTGCAACCTCCACCTCCCAGGCTCAAACGATTCTCCTGCCTTAGCCTCCCAAGTAGCTGGGACTACAGGCACGTGCCACTATGCCCAGCTAATTTTTCTTTTGTATTTTTAGTAGAGACAGGCCAGGCTAGTCTTTAACTCTTACCTCAACTGATCCACCTGCCTCGGCCTCCCAAAGTGCTGGGATTACAAGCATGAGCCACTGTGCCGGGCCAAACTTCCCTTTTCTTTCCATTTCTTGGTATTTGGAAAGTGAGCAGCCATGGAACAGCCGGTGTTTTCAGCTGGTGCAGACCCAGCTGGTATGCTCGTAAGACTTCTAGCTGAAGGAAGTGTCCACCCTGCAGTCTCGCTGGCATCCCATCACCTTCCAGAAGCAGGATGCCAGCTGTGTGTGCTCTTGGCTCTGTGCTCGGGGTGCTGGTCTTGCCAGTTTTCCCACCCCTTGTTTCGGGTGAGGTCCCGCCCAGCTGGCATGGGAAGGAGGATGGGGATTGGTCACCACTGTGGTTTGTTGCAGAGTGAGTTTGGTGGCTGCCTTGCCTGGGCCCAGCTCCCATGTTTCTCCCGCTTGGCTGCAGCTCCAGCCCTGCTCTGTCCCCCGTAGCTTCCTGCCCAGCTCCACACTGCAGCCTTCCCAGCACCCAGAAACAGCACAAACCCCACAGAACTCCAGTGTCCCCTCCCCTAGTCCTTTACACACACCTGCTAAGCCAGGCCTGGGACCCACAGCTCCATCATGTGAGCTGTACACGGCCTGGCAGGTTGAGGTGCTAGGTCACCCCTCACCTTTAAAAGGCCTCAGGTCATACCATTCATGCGTGCTCTGGGGCCCTCAGAGCCCAAGCTCCCAGCCTGAGGGTCTAGGGCTGAGGCCTCACCCGCCCATAGTCCTGCAGTGACCCCAGCTCTGTCATGAGTCCAGCCGGCTCCAGCCGGGCCAGGAGCAGCTGTACTGGGACACGCTGAAGCAGCTGTCCAAGCACATCAAGCCCCTGCACCGCGTGGTCAACAAGATCGACAAGAGTGAAGGTGGGCTGCGGCCGGGGTGGGGGCCAGTGCCCTGGGGATGCCACCAGGCTCGTGTCTTATGGTCCCCTCTGCTGTCCCAGACAGAAAAAAGGACCTGAGCAAGATGAAGAGCCTTCTGGACATTGTGACAGACCTCTCCAAGCAGTGAGTTTTGCCCACAGCCAACGTAGGGTCCACAAGGGCGTGGGTCGTCCAGCCATGGATGGGCATTTGGTGATGATGTGGGGTTAGCAAAGGCCCCAGGCAGCTCTTTGGGCCCTGGACAGAGGCCTCCAAGTCTCCACTCTGGTGTGTGCTGGGGCTTCGAGCCCAGGCTTCATCTTGGCCGGTGCCCAGCCTTTGCCCTACTCCTGACCACTGCTGCGGCCCTCATGCTGGCCCATCACAGCCAGGTCTCATCCAGCCAGTAGTTGGGGGCCCAGCTTGCAGTGACCTGAACATCAGCTGGCCGTGATGGGCCTGAGCATGACCTGGAGTTCTGCCCCTGACTTCCCGGTGACCATGGACAGGGGACTGCATCTCAGTTACCCCATTTGCAACCCATGTGTGCTGTCATGAAAATGAAACAAGACGGTGCTGGTGAGAAGCAGGTGGAAGGCAGGGCTACCGGGCCACGGGCTGCTGTGAGCTCGGGCAGCACCTCAGAACCGCATGGTCGTTGGCCTATACTTCCCTGTCACCTAAACTCAGGGTGTCCCCCCACCCCCGTCTAGAAGTGTCTCTCTGTTTTGCTTGTCTGGATAGAATGCCAGTCACTATTGGGTGGTCCTCCAGGCCTTCTTGAGTTGATTCTTCATTAGGGTTATAGGACTGAGCAGGACAGGGACTGGCCTAGGTGCAACTGAGGCCTTTCCAGCCTGGTCAGGGTCCCGGCCACTGTCCCTTCTCTTGACCCACTGCCTCACTGCCAACAGGGATGGGCAGCTCCTAGGGGTGAGGGCCACCTGCCTAGACTCTGGGTCTGGGAACAGCTGGTCAGCTGAAGGGAGCTCCTGCAGAGGTTTCTGAGGGCCGAGGCCCAGTGGCAGTGGTTGGGATCCCAGATCCCAGCCTGAGACCTGCCATGGCTCCCAGCCCTCCAGCACAGAGCTCAGCCCAAGTCCCCTCTCTCTGCAGGTCCCCTGAAGACCTTGCCAAAGTGTGAGATCGCCCTGGAGAAACTCAAGAATGACATGGCGGTGGTGAGTGGGATGCTGGGGACCCCTGGGGGATCGGGGCTCCCTCAAGAGCTCCTGGGGGCACCACTGGAGGGGCCTTCATGGTCAGGCTGGGTGGGGGCTGGGCCTGATCTGAGACCCTGCCCACCAGGCCTCTTCCAGGCCAGGTTTGCTGTGCTGGGAGGGAACGTGGGAGAAGTCACCCTCTGTCTGTGGCCCCCGTGGGTGCCTCTGCCACCCGGTCCAGAGACAGCAGGGACTCTGGGGAGGACAAGGCTGTGGGGGTGGGGATTATACCCAGGATCGGCCAACATTGTCTGCACAAGGGTGGAGGCTGAGAGAGAGGCCTCGGGAATCTGGCTGTGAGTGAGGACTGGCCAGAGGTGGGAAGGCCCCCTAAATGGAGAACCCTCAGGTCCCGGGCTTCTGACCGTGCGCATCCTACCGCCAGCCCGCTGCCCCTGGTGCCGCTGACCAAACAGCAGTACCTATGCCAGCAGCTCCTGGGATGCTGTCCTGGCCAATATCCGCTCACCCTCTTCAGGCATTCCCTGTACCGCACATTCGCTCCAGCCATGACTGCCATCCACGGCCCACTCATCACATACATCCAGCTGGGCTGGGCTTTGCAGAGGGCGGATGGCCAGCCCTGGACCATGTGTGCCCACTGTGGTCACCATGCTGCCTCCTCACGTCCACAGTGGTGTGCACCCGGAAGCACAGGCTTGAGGACGATGAGCGGCAGAGCATCCCCAGCATGCTCCAGGGCGAGGTGGCCAGGCTGGACCCCAAGTGCATGATAAACCTGGACTCTTCTCGCTGCAGCAACAATGGCACCGTCCACCTGGTCTGCAAGCTGGGCGAGCGTCCAGGAGGGCCAGGCCGGCACAAGTTCGCAAGCCTTGTCCACAGCACCAGGTCTCTGCCATCCGAGCCGGAGGGCACCGTGCCCAGACCCCACCCTGTGTTCACACCCCAGCAGGCTGTCTGCTTTGTCTTCACATACACGGAGCCCAGGACAGACTGGCCATGCCTCTGCCCCCACGCACCCTCACCTCCCCAACACAGATACGGCTCTGCTTGCCTGGGGCCCTAGGGAGGTGACAGGCAGGACCTCTGGGCACCCATTGACGCAGGGCACTCTGGGCTTCGGTTTGGAAATTTGAGAGTCAGAGAGACATCCAGGCTTTGCCGCATGCCTCACCAGAACCTCCCGGTGTGTGAAGAGTCCTGTTCGGGAGCAGGGCTGTGAGGCGGGGCAGGCCAGGGCTCGTGCGGGTCACAGGTACAGTCTTGTGTGTTGCAAACGACAAGGACCTCCCAAGTGTGCCACCATGTGCCCACCCACTACCCTGCCCAGAGTCCACTGTGGATGGACTGGCAGTGGCTGTACAGTGGGCAGACCCAGAGGAGCTGTCTGGGGGCCCAGGGCAGGCAGGGGTCATTCTGGAAAACCAAGCTTCTAGTGCTGCAGGGACAGCCTCTGTGCCCCTCCCCGGCTCAGGCCCCTTCCTCCCCTCTTCTGGCTCCTCCTGTGTGGAATCTCTCAGGTTCCAGTGGTCATCTGAGAGATAGGAGTCTCTGCTCTTCTGTGTCCCTTTGCCCCTTCATCTTGTGTCCGGTCAGCTTTCCAGGGTGGCTGTGTTCAGTGGCTGAGGGGTGAGAAACCCTACGGCTCAAGGACAGACCCCGCTTTTCCCAGAGGCCACTAGGGAGCTCAGTGGAGCTGACAGGTCCTACCAGTAGCTTGGGCACACAAGACCCCATCTGGGTGATGTGTCTCCAAAAAAAGTCATGTTGACAGGAGTCAGTCTCCCTGAGCCCAGAGCTGGCACATAGCAGGAGCCAGGGCTGGGTCCCCAAGGTTGTCAGGGGCAAAGCCTTGAGCTCCAAATCCCGTTCAGATTCAGTTCTTCACTGATGATGAGGCTCCGGGAGGAGAGCCTGATGGCCAGGCAGGCAGCGTGCAGGGATCCTCCTGGTGCTTCAGCCAGTCCTGGGCTGCCACTTCCCAGAGCACTGCCGGGTGTGCAGGGCGTGGGTGCAGCGCCAGCTGCCTCAGGCTCATGCCCACTGTTCGGTTGCAGGCACCAACCCCTTCCTCAGGTCGATGCACCACCGCGTGACCTCCAGGCGGCTGCAGCTCCCGGACAAGCACTAGGTTACCACCTTGCTCAGCACCTGTGCCCAGAGCATCCACAAGGCCTGCCTCTCGGCTGCCTAGCCAGGACTGCAGGGATGGCCCGCAGCCTCATCGGGGCCAAGGATGCATGCCTCCTGTCAGACACTTCTAGATGTTGGCGTCCATGGAGAGCCTGGAGTTAAGTTAGCTTTCCTCCTTTTCTCTCCTGCCTTGGGGATCTGCCAAATGAAATCCCACACTTGTACAGACTGATAGGTGCGCAGTGGAGTGTGCTGCCTGCAGGGAGTTGGCTGTCTTCTTGGAGAAGGCACTCCATGTGACTTCCTCCATGAAGCCAGACACAGTCCCCAGCCACGATCCTCGGGCTGCTCTCACCACGGCCTGTCCAGGGTCCGGGTGCATCTCAGCAGCATGAGGTTGTGCTCAGGTTGTTGTTAGCGCGTCTTGTGTGTGCTCGACACACCCCTGCTGCTTTCTATAGGAGAACACAGAGGACATAGGAAACCCTTCAAACACACATGGGACTCTCTGCTCACAGTTTTGGGTTCAGGCTGCACTGCTTTGGGCAAGTGGGGCACCCCCTAGGGAAGCCCCTGAGTCCAGGGCACAGGATGCCTCTTTCAATACTTGTTTTTTTTCTCATACTCAGGATCTATACTGTAGACTTTATAACACTGTACCCTTAAGCTACACCAAATTTATTAAAAAATATTTTTTCTTTGATAATTAACTTTTCTGTAGCTTTTAAAATTTATAAACTTTTAAATTTTTTAACTTTTTGACTTGCAATAACAGCTTAAAATACATTGTACAGCTAGCTGTATAAAAATATTTTTCTTTATAGCCTGTAAGTTTTTTTATTTGAAAAACGTTCTATTTTAATTTTCTTGAAAACTCTGTTAAAAGCTGTGACGCAAACATATACATTAGCCTAGGCCTACACTGGGTCAAGATCATCAGTGTTACTGTCTTCCACCTCCACATCTGCTCCCATTGGAAGGTTTTTAGAGGAAATAACGTGTGGATCCAGCTGTCATCTCTTGTAGTAACAATGCCTTTTTCTGGAGTACCTCCTAAAGGACCTTCTGAGGCTGTGTTTCATAGTTAATTTTTTATCTTTAAGTAGGAGTATACTCTAAAATAACAATAAAAAGTATACCATAGTAGGCTGGGCCTGGTGGCTCACGCCTGTAGTCTCAGCACTTTGGGAGGCCCAGGCAATGGATCACCACCTGAGGTCAGGAGTTGAGACCAGCCTGGCCAACATGGCAAAAGGCCTTCTCTACTAAAAATACAAAAAAATAAGTCAGGTGTGGTGGCTTGCAGCTGTAGTCCCAGCTACTCTGGAGGCTGAGGCAGGAGAATTGCTTGAACCCGGGAGGTGGAGGTTGCAGTGAGCTGAGATCACACCACTGCACTCCAGCCTGGACAACAAAGTGAGACTCCATCTCAAAAAAAAAGTATATTATAGTAAATACATAAACCAGTAACAGTTATTTATTCTCATTATCAGGTATTGTATACTATACATAATTGAATGTGCTATACTCTTTTTGTATGAATAGAAGTGAAAGTTTGTTTACACCAGCATCGCTGCAAACAAAAAGTAATGCATTGTGCTTGGACATCATGATGGTTATGTCACTAGGTGATAGGAATTTTTCAGCTGTGTTACATATTGTCTGTCATTGTCTGAAATGTTGTTATGTGGCATAAGACTATTTACTTTTTTTGGAAATTATTCTTAAATAAGGAAAAATTCTGATATCTACTACTTGTTCTCTGATCTTATCTTCCTGTGCAATGGCTGCATTAGAGAAGAGTCGTTAGATAGTTACACTTAGTTACATCAAAGTAAATACATTTGTTTAATCAAAGTTTCAGCTTGATCTAAGGTGAAACACCTCAACTTAGAGTGAGGAAAAAATACAGTTGAAAGAGAGCAAACAGTAAAACCAGAATTTATTACATCATTTAATAAAACATTTGCCTAGGCGTTAAGGGGCAGTTATAAATATAAAACCAAACTATTTGTAAGTTTTGCCATCTCTCTTCTGTAGTGACATTCTTGAATATAAATGTGTGCATTTAAATAGCTATTCTTCCCTTCTGAGGACTACAGCCCTTCAGTGTTCTTGGGTATAATAACAAATGCATGTTTCACTTAATCACAGAAGATGGTTCATTTGTGTTGTAGATATGCATGTCTGCTTTTTAACTTTGAAAGACAGCCCGTTTACTTGGACATTTGTATTATGGGTCCACAGTTGGTATACAGTCTACTATTTCTATGTTATATATATGTTTACATAAAGGCATTCATGTCAAAATCAGATAGTTTTGTGTTCTTTTAAAGAAGAAAAGGAAGGAAATATGTTATAATAATAGGTGATATTAGATCTAGAATATAATTATTGGATTTTTGGTTGAAAAACATCTATGATTATTTTAATTCATCCTATGTCTCTGTAATGGAAACATATTTTCCATAAGTTTACCTTTCTCTGAATTCTTTCTGTTTTATGAATGTTCTTCAGGCAAAATGCGTGCATTCTGTACCTCAAAAGAGATGGAGTGCCATCGAAGGAAAAAGCAAATTTTACAATTAAACTAGTAAATACAGAGATTGTCTAGATAACATATTTCATTAATTCTAAGAAGCACTTATTTTTACTCTTCTCTGAAATTGGGAGTGTATCTTATTTTAGATGGTGTCTTACAATTGACAGTGTGTTTTCATTCCTTTTGGGACATCAAATAATGCTGCATCTTAAAACGGACAATACTGTAGAGTCTGTGAAATACTTGCGTATATGTGTGGGGAGTGTTTGTTAATGAGTTACCCAGTGTGGAGATTTGTGAGAACTATAGACCAAATATTTTTTCCCTTATGTTTTTACATTTTGGAAAATAGTTTTTTAAATAGGAGGCTTTTTACAACCTGATATTAAGCTTTGAGTATTGTAGTAGATTTTCATTGTTTCATTAGATTGATTAAAAAATAATATAAATGGTGCAAAAACAATTTCCATTTTGTAAGCTTAATAATACTGACCTTATGCTTACTACTGAGTGTTTCTACTTATACCACACATTTGGTAGTATAAAAATAGCTTTTTTCAAAGTTTTCTCATAATAAATTTCTTTTAAAAGGTTGGATAGCTATTATCCTGAGTCTTATGTCTGATACCATGTTTTTGTTTTGTTTTTAGAGTCTTATATTTAAAGAAAAAGTAACAAGCCTTAAATTTAAAGAAAAACCTACAGGCCTGGAGACAAGAAGCTGTAAGTATCTTCTCTTGTCCATGGTGAAACTAATTCATGCAGATCCAGAGCTCTTGCTTTGTGTAAGTGTTTTTTTATGAAATGTGTCAAAATTACCACACTAAGTTCATTTGGTTTAACTGAAACGCCAAGACCTTGAGGGTAATTTTTAGCTCAAGAGCACTTACTGATCCTTTCTGATCATAACTGAAAACTAAGACGTCTCTAAGAAACCTAATGTATAATGAATACTGATATAATTAGATCAGATTCTTAATTGCCCTTACCATTTCTTAACATTTCTCTTTCTTCTTAATTTCCGTATCATTCAACTGACATGCTTAACATAACTAAGCTTCTCCAAACTTGTATTCATTATGGGAGAATGCCATTCTTATGTCTGGTTATATCTGCATTAGGTTATTGTTGATGGTAGTAACAATAAATTTTATGTTACTGCAGCTCACAAGTGTATTTTTACATCTGCAAGAAATTAACTAGTCATTAAATGCTTAGTAGCACAGAAATTCTCAAGTGGTTGCAGGAAATTTTGATCTGCAGGAATAAATTTCTTTCTTAAAAATAAGGTAAACGAAATGACATCTTTAAAAAATGAGAGAATATTTGGAATGGTGATGGGGAGAGATTAAGAAAGTGTTTTATAGCCAAATTAGTTTCTATTTCAGCTCCTCCTTCCCCCCAAGGTTCTCAAAAGGATATATATGTGCAGAGGACAAGGGCTGGCAAATTAGCATTTTAAAATTATTCTGAAGCTTTGGCCGTAAAACCACACTGTTGATGAATTCTAGTTCTAGTTGAGTTACATAGGTCTCTATGGGACAGGCTAGGAAAAGTGGGGACTGCTATAACCAAAGTAGCTTGAGGAGCATATTCTATCTTTACTCTCAAGTTCACACATAGACATAATTCATACGTAAAATTTAACATATAGCTTCTATAATTAATCTAAGAATTCTATTATGGCATAGATTTGGGAGTACTTGATTTAATGAGTTTTTTGTCCAGTTCTAGAATCATAGCTCTGAGAAATCATAAAGGCCTAGATGTCGTGGCTAGACTAGTCCAGAGAATTATCTATCAAGAAGCAAAAGGGAAAAGGTTGAGGGTCCTCAATCTAGGTTTATTTCTATTCCTCCAATAAGGGTTTCACATCTTGAAAATTTCACGACACTTCTCGGGGTGGAGTGAAATTTTTTGATTCTGCACTATTGAAACATGGTGAGGTTGTGGCAGATAGAGAAGAGTCTTACATTTCTTCTAACATATAGTTTCTATAGTTAATCAATTTAGGAATTCTATTATGGCCTAGTTTTAGGAGTACTTGATTTAATGAATTTTTATCTGGAACTAGAAGCATAGCTGTGAAAAACCTTAAATGTATGAAACTCATATCCTTTTCAGTATTATACAGCTTGTTATTAATAAATTGTCTCTGTTTAGAAATAGACTAATGGTGAAGTGGGTTTATTCACATCTGGCTTATTTGATGTGTTAATGTAGCAGAATTTGGCATTATTCCAAAGATATGGAAAGAGATTAGACTTCAGACTTTCGTGCCCTTGCCTATGGCATAATCTCCAGAATATGAGTATGAGGAATCCAGTAATGAATTCGTAGTGCCCTGGTCAGCACAGTCACTCTTGTGATATACTTGGTGTATATACCAGTGTTAATTACTGGTCCAGAAGAACTTAATCTCAAGAGTCAATTTCTAGTTATCCCAACATGGCACGGATAAAATCTTGCAGAAAAAAAATCTTTGTCATTGAGACCAAATTATAGTTTTCATACAGTGGATATACATTGTTGATGTTTTACTTATGTTTATGTTAGACTTAATTTATATTTGTAGAATCTACTGTTTCTGATTATTTAGAGAATGGGAAACTGAAAGAAATTTTAAAGACATTAAGTGAACATTATTTGTTCTAATGGGTTTCTAGTGAATTTCCTTCAAGGTGGGGTGTAGAGATTGAGAGGAGAGGTTTTCTAGGAGAGTCTCAAACAGGAAGACAACCGATATAAGTGTTTATTCCTCTTGGTTGTCAGTGTGTCAGTAAAGCTTCTTTCCTTCTTTTTTCTAGCAGGCAGATAGAAGTTCATGTCACTTTCTCCTTTTTTATGGAGTAGGATGTGATACTCCTTCTAGTGGAAATACCAATCAAATGTCCATGGGTCATGAAGTGTCACTACGTACTCCTGAGCCTCTCTCCAGAAGGGAAAAGGGAACTCCTCTATGGTCAGCTTCTTTTGTAATTTTCCTGTATCATCTCGTGTGCTCTATTTGTTTTCTGAATGAACTTTGGTAAATTTCATCCAGGTAATATAGAGTAATAGTGAAAAACTGCTTAGACTCTAGTTCTATCACTGCTCTTTATGGAACTTTGGGCAAGTTCTTAACATCCTTGTTCCTCAATTCCTCAACTTTAAAATGGGGACAATAATAATTCCTGCTCCAGAGTTGTTGTGAGGGTTAAATAAAAAAATGTGTAAATAGCACTTGACACATACAAGCTGTATCTGATAACCTCCACCTCATGAAAAACCATTCATAGCATAGAAGTATAGAATTTGTACCAGCTAACAAAGGTACAGATGTACAGGGATAAAAACAAAATATTTTGTTTCATGTTAAAGATAAGTGTTTCTGTGATTTGCATTTGCGTGTATAATTTCCTTTAAATATAAATCATATTTCAAGTGAAAATATCGGGTCATTACAGAAGAGTTTATTTTCCAAACCAAAACTTTTTTCATCCCTAATTTTTAATATAGCCTTGTTAAAGAAAAAAACATCTAAGCAGTATGCTATTTATTATTGTCTGTTTTACTTGCAGAATTTGAATGTATTTTGTCAATTATTTTCTCCATTTCATGTTTGCGGAATAGGTCATTCAGAATCAAGTCTATCTTCTACAGCAATATTTTGTTCTTGTTTATGCCCTTGTTTCAATGAGTGCCGCAGTGTACTTATTTTATTACTTCCCTAGAGCAAGTAGATAGAATTTCCTGTTACTTCCTCTGTTTTTGTCATTTGTAATTGACTGGGAAGTACATTATATAGTTACTGCAGTAGATTTATGTTATGGTGTTTTACCTGTCCGTGTTAGAATCGGTTTCCATTTCTGGAATCTGGAATAGGATAATACCTATTTTATTTGAAATTGGACAGATAGTAGCTTTATATTGGTCCAGATAATCTCATTTCTCATTTGGACAAGATAATTTGGGGTTTGAAAAATTCATATAATGATTAAAGGAGAAAGCTCTTATGAGTTATTGTATGCTGAGATATATGTGGACACACACACACACACACACACACACACACACGCAGTTTATTGCATTGTTGGGTTTTATACATAAAATTACCCAAGTTGCAAATATATGTCTACCACCCTTGACTCTCAGGATAGTGCAGCAGGATGCAGCGGAACCCCCCTGACTTGCTGACAAGCGCAGACCAAACTAGAAGTGGCCCTGTACATGTTTCTGCGGAACCCTGACACTGAAGCTGTTCTGGTTGCCATGTCCTGTTTCCGCCACCTCTGTGAGGAAGCAGATACCCGGTGTGGGGTGGACGAAGTGTCATTGCGTAACCTCTTGCCCAACTCTAACACATTCATGGAGTTTGCCTGTCAGCAATGTGATGTCAACAGGTAAATATGAATAGTGGTTTTTTTACTCAACCTCCCTAAAGCACATGGCATCTGATTGTGAGAATGTATTTAAGATTACACTTCTGTAAGTTTACAGGAGAAATTCAAGTAGCTTACTTGAAATCCTTTTCTGAACAAAGTAAGATGAAAATAAAAAGCGTTTGAAATAAATTGTTAGTCTCCCACTGAGTTTTTAATATGCTATAGATTTTAAAATTAACTGGCAGTACGTGTTACTATCAGTTATGACTATGTAATTTACGTTTGTATGACTATGTAATTTATGTTATCCATATACATAGTCAAATTACATATGACTATGTAATTTATGTTATCCATAACTCCGTATGTTATGGATAGTGAAGTTTACACACATTGGCATATGTTTTGAGTAAATTATAGGTGGGAATAGCTATTTTATGCTGTGGACATTGTAGAGTCTAAGATAAGTACCTTTCCTGTGAGGTTAGTGAACGGAAGTTTTTGGCTTTATCATTTGAGGCATTTGCTCTGCTCCTCCTACTCTGCCTTTTGGGTGGGGCTTATCAGGTTCTCCATTGGCAGGCAGGGCTCTAAGTGCAGTAACTTGATTTGCTGTTGTAGTTGCTTAGGCACAGCAGCACTTCAGAAAGAGTGATGGCACTGCTGAGGCGCACTGAGCATCCCACTGCAGGAAACACTGAGGTGTGCTCTTAGCAAGAGAAACACCCCTCCCAGGCGCCCACCCTCAGTTTTGGAAGCCTCTTGTTACATATGTGTGATGAGGAATAGCTTTTGAAGTAAATCCAAGATATGTGCATATTACAAGTATAATATCTGAGTACTTAATATATATCAAGTTTGAAGCTTGGCTGTTGCTGATTGATGTTTAGCTCTAGACTTAAAGTTGCTTTCAAGTGATAACTGTCTTCATTTTAGACTTGGGAAGATACACATGCAAAATGGGAACAAGCAACAAAACTAATCCTTAGCTATCCAAAAGCCCAAATGGAAGATGGCCAGGTAAGTCTGTAAAGTTGACTTTTGTCTATTAACTGATCTGCTAAATATATGTCCTTCTCTTTGGTAATCTTTCACGAGTCACTCAGTAAAGTAAGCATATAGTTGTCTGAAGACTGATATTTAGTTGTGGTTTATCTAGACCTGTACTTTGTAATATGATAGCCACTAGCTACGTGTGACTATTTAACTTAAATTTTAACATAATTAAAATTAAATACAGTTTAGTTCCTCAATCATATAGTAGCCACATTGCAGGTACCCAGTAGCCACATATGACAGGTACTTACTCTGTTGGACAGCAGAGAGAAAATGTTGCCATCATCACAGAAATACTGGGCAGCACTGCTAGAGACTGTTTGTTGCAAAGACCATTTCTTTATCTTTTCTTGCTCTTTCTCCCTTCATCAGGGTGTTTCACAGAATTTTCAGAAAAGGAGCAACAGAGGTAGAGAAAAATTAACATGGAAACCATTCATTTTGCTATTTTGTTAGGTATTCTAATTAAAGAATGTCTTGGGCAGAAGATGGAACCCATAGATAAAATGAAATTTTAAAACATGGACAGTTCCTTCAACTATTACTATTGACTATATTATCCATTACTTTGGAAATTGATGAGTTGGTGTTCGTGTGTATATGATTTATAATGTTCACATTGCTCTCATTATTAGGTGGTTTATAAAAACTGGCTCTTCCCCCATGTTATTTTTCTGTCATGCTTAATTATAATAAGAAAAAAGTTATAGTTTTGTGAAGCAAAATTGTGTACCTCATACCTTTATTTGGAGGGGACATGTAGCTTTAGAATGAAAGCTTTTGGGGGTAACTGTTACTATAATATGTAATTACATACCATACAATTCACGCATTTAAAGTGTCCAATTCAGTGACTTGTTAGCATATTCACAGAGTTGTGCAACCATCACCACCATCAGTTTCAGGACAATTTCATCAATTGAGAAAACCCTGTATCCTTTAGCTATCTCTGCCTCTAACAACCCCCCAACTTTCTTGTCTCTCTTCCCCCCGCCTCTCCAACCCTGGGCAACCACGAATCTACTTTGTCTCTGTAGATTTGCCTATTCTGGATATTTTCTGTAAATGGAGTTTTAGAATATGTGGGCTTTTACGATTAGCTTCTTTCACTTAGCATAATGTTCCCAAGGTTCATCCGTGTGAAATCAAAGCTTTTTAAAAGAAATTTGATACTTGGGCAATTATATTAGTATATGACAAAAATAAATCAGTGGCTCTTTAAAAATGTATATGGTAATTTAGGGGGTTGATTTTAATGTATTTTTTTACATTTTTGTGTACGTTTGTCACGGAAGAAATGTTGGATAAAGAGTAATTTGTCAAGTCTCAACTAATTTAGGTTTAATTCATGCTTTGCACAAAAATTTTGTGTTTAGGCTGTTGAAAGCTTCACAAGACCATTGTTAAGAGGCGAATGTCCCATGTGAGTGGAGGAGGACCCATAGATTTGTCTGACACAGACTCCCTACAGGCATGGATCAACATGACTGGCTTCCTTTGTGCCCTTGGGGGAGTGTGCCTCCAGCAGAGAAGGAATTCTGGCCTGGCAACCTATAGCCCACCCGTGGGTCCGGTCAGTGAACATAAGGGTTCCATGATTTCAGTGATGTCCTCAGAGGGAAACGCAGATACACCTGTCAGGAAATATATGGATCAGCTGTTGTCGTTAATGGTGTGTAACGTTGAGAAAGTGGGACTTCAAATACGGACCAATGATAAGGACCTGGTGGGTCTAGAATTGAGTCCTGCTCTTTATCTGATGCTATTTAACAAATTGAAGAAGACCCATCAGCAAGTTTTTTGACTCCTAAGGACAGGTAAAGTGTGCTCTTTTTTATTTTTCACCTTTCCCTATGAATAGAGTGACTTGTTTGAAATAATGAAGCCTTTTTCTTTCAGATTATTTAAATTAGGTACTCACAGTTTTTAAAAATTGTCAAAAAATTGTAGAAAGAAGAATCATCTCAATGAATGGTCAGCTTGCTTCTAGGAACTCTGATGTGTATGTGTGCCTGAGGGTATACGTGCCTTGTATATGGGTATGAGTGTCTGTGTATATCTGTGTGCCTGTTTGGCTGCGTGCCTGTGGGTGCATGTCTCTATTTGTGTGTTTAGATCAGTCAGTTTCATCTCTCTAGGGATCTGTCTTCTGGGCATTGATGGCAAATCATTAATATATTTGTTCTCTCTATAGGTTTTATTGACTGATACCAATACTCACTTTGTAGATATAATGAAGAACTTGCTAGATAATCATACTGAAGGCAGCTCTGAACATCTAGAGCAAGCTAGCATTGAAACAATGATGTTAGATCTGGTCAGGTAAGCCTTCTACTGAAATGTAGCAGAAACATACTTTAAGATTTAAGAGACAAGAAAAACCTCTTACACATTGATATTGATAGTAATTGATAAAATAATTTGCCATTCTTTACTGCACACAAACTAGGCTGTGACAACAAGGTAACCAGAAATTGTGTATGCTCTCCTATAAATAAATGTCTTACTGTTTTCAAACTTACGATTAGTTCGTTTTATTTGATGGTTAAAGTATCTTGAATGCCTTATCTTGTGTCTGTATCTGATAATTTTTTTATTGTCTCTATGTCTGTATAGGTACGTTTGTGTGCTTGGGAATATGGTCCATGCAATTCAAATAAAAACGAAACTGTGTCAGTTGGTTGAAGTAACGATGGCAAGGAGAGATGACCTGTCATTTTGCCGAGAGATGAAATTTAGGTGAGTTCTCAAAAGAGCAATGTAGGGTCTTGTAAATCTTTTTTTTTTTTTTTTTTTTTTTTTTTTGAGACGGAGTCTCGCTCTGTCGCCCAGGCTGGAGTGCAGTGGCGGGATCTCGGCTCACTGCAAGCTCCGCCTCCCGGGTTCACGCCATTCTCCTGCCTCAGCCTCCCAAGTAGCTGGGACTACAGGCGCCCGCCACTACGCCCGGCTAATTTTTTTGTATTTTTAGTAGAGACGGGGTTTCACCGTTTTAGCCGGGATGGTCTCGATCTCTTGACCTCGTGATCCGCCCGCCTCGGCCTCCGAAAGTGCTGGGTAAATCTTAATTTGTTGAATGAAGTACAGAAATGGAGTAGATATCTGGTTATTGGTAGGAAGGAAGACATAAAAAGAGAGCAGTTTACATGTTTGTTTTTCTCTGTGTCTCTCCTCAAATTTCCCTAAGCTTTGTGCCTGTGGCAAGCCTCCCTTTTTCTAAAACTCTGCTGTACTTGAGCTAAGAATTTGATCCTGTTTCCAATCTGATAGCATAACTAAAGGCCATGATGGAGGATCAGTATCCACGTTGCTTGTTCCTTCTGGCTTTTACATCTATGATAGCAGTATCTCTTTTATAAAGTCGTCATGTCACCTGGGTTATCTGCCAAATTATTTGCACCATAAGTAATCTTACATGACTGAAGGTGTGTGTGTGGGGGGGTATGACTTCAGAAAAATTGTTTGCTGTTTCTCTTTTCTCCACCATTCTATAGGAATAAGATGGTAGAATACCTGACAGACTGGGTTATGGGAACATCAAACCAAGCAGCAGATGATGATGTAAAATGTCTTACAAGGTAAAAAAAATGACTTTCAAATATTAGTGGGTTTTACTGTGAGAATTATAACTACTTCATTACAGCTTTATACTTGTATTTTATGTGTATTTAAACTTTTTAGATGTAAAACTTTCGTGTTCAAAATATGTAAAGACACTAATCTTTATTACTACTTTTTCTTGACCGATAGACTTTCAGGAAAAATAAATGTGCGAGAGCGGTATGTTTGGGAAGTTATTGTTGTCAGTTTATGAAGAATAGTCTACAGTTATTGGGAAATAAGATACATAAAGCCTCAGATTGCATTTATGTTATGATGAGATAGATAAAGGTATTATTTGAGAAACTCATTGTGTTGAGTCTAAGAAACAATTGATTTCCTGATTCAAACACCAGAGATAGACCAAAAAAGGAAGTAATTAAGTCTACTTTAATGATAAATACTTATTGACACATATCAGAAAGTGATTAAACACTATGGACTGTATAATAAGCATTTACATATGTTTCTTTGACAAAGCCTAGCTTTATAATACGGTCGTCTCTCAGTATCTGTCAGGGATTGGTTCCAGGAACCACCCCCCAAACTCCTGCCCACATCTCACTCCCATGAACACTAAAATCCACAGACTCAAGTCCCTGATACAAAATGTCATAGTATTTGCATATAAACTGTGCACATCCTCCCATATATTTTAAATATTTTTAGATTACTTATAATATCTAATACAATATAAATGTTATATAAATAGTTGTTATACCATATTGTTTAAGGAATAAAAACAAAGAAAAATCTGTACATGCTGAGTATTTGAAATCCAGGAGATTAGGTTGGACTTTCAATAAATGGTATTGATAAAACTGAGTAATGATCTGGAAAAATATCTTCATACCATTTATGAGGATAAACTCCCATCAATCAAAACAGCATGGCAAAGCAAGGCCTTTTTCATCCATTCAAAATCCATAAGCTAGAAAGGAAAAGATTGATAAAATGAATTCATTCAAAAATCATAAACTTCTGTCTGGGACAAAAATGTCATGAGTAAAAACAATCCTATGGTTAATATCCTCGTCCAATAGTTCTCTTAGAATAGTCCTAAAAGTGCTTTTGTGGCTCAAAGAGCAATACCTTGAAATTTTTGGTGCATGTTGTCAGATTACCCTTTAGAATGCCTGTTGCTTTTAAAATATTTTTTTATTTTAGTATTTTATTGTTTATCCAATTATAGACTATTTTACATACTCAGTAGACAACATAAAGCCTCAGAGGTACTGTGTTCTTTTTCTTTTAGGCATCAGGTACCTGAAAAAGAAGAGATCAAGGCTTTGAAAACGTTAAGTATTTTCTACCAAGCTGGGGCTTCCAAAGCTGGGAATCCTATTTTTTATTATGCTGCACGGGGTAAGAAATACTATGTTTGGTGTCTCCTCTCAACAGAATTTTTTAAACGATAGCAATTATAGAGATGGCAAGTTTGGTTTTTCATATTTGACTTAACAAGAATTGAAGACAAGTTTACCTGGGAGCATACAGTGGGTTAAATAGCCTGCCTTTCCTAAAATGGTGGTCAGTATCTAGTAACTGCTTTTCAGACTACCCATTTCATATTGGTTTCCCTGTCCTACATCATTTTTTAAAATACTGCCTACAATGGATTAATTACCAAGAGTTAAAAAACCACAAAGCATCTTTTGTTTTCAAGTATATTCTGATTAAATAGTACAACATGATAAGCGGGAACTTTTTTTAAAAGAAGAAATAAAACTGTAAGAGCCTGTTTCTGAGAACTTTTAAGAATATGCTGTGTAAGACAGCATCAGGGTGATTTAGAAAATAATTCAAAGGGGTGGTGGGAAATCATGAAGATGGTGCAAGGGGTGGCCTGGGAAATGGTGCTTGTTCGTGCTGCCCTCAGTCGAGGCTGGTTCCTAGAAAGCCTTTCTGGAAATGTTGTGAGCTCTTCCTTAATAATAGATATGATGCTTGCATTGCCTTCCCTATCATTGTCTTTTTTTCTTGCCTCATTTTACCTTCCTTTTGAAAACTCTTCTGTGACATTATTTGGTCCCATTTACCATAACATACATTCGTGGTAATTGAGCCTTAGGGACAACATGATACGTATAGAGACCACTGATTTTGGAATCTCAAGGATCATGTTTAGACTTAGTTCTGCCAATCATTAGCTATAGACTTAATCTTTACCAGTTTCCTGGATTTAACAGTGTTTAACATCCATGACCGTTAAGTTAGTAGACGTACATTGTTAGTCAATTTGCTGGCCACAGGTGGCAGTGTGTAGGAAACAAATTGAGGTTGAGAAATAGTGGAGAGGCGGTGAAGAATCAGTGGAAGATGGGAAACTTGTCTAATTAGGTCATTCATATAGCCTTAAGACCAAGAAGTCCAAAGGACTGGAGCATTAGGGAATCAAGAAAGTAAGAAAATTTTGTCGAACCTCCCCCTGCCCCCGCCCTTTAACAATTCTAAGTAACCCCTTCTCACCTTCCCATGAAAGGCCTCTCTCCAGCTCTTATCTCAGTTGCTATTTCTAAATTGCCTAAGATAATTTTAATTTTCTTTTTTTTTTGGATTTTAGCATTCTAATTTTTTTTTATTATTATACTTTAAGTTTTAGGGTACATGTGCACAATGTGCAGGTTTGTTACATATGCATACATGTGCCATGTTGGTGTGCTGCATCCATTAACTCGTCATTTAGCATTAGGTGCATCTCCTAATGCTATCCCTCCCCGCTGCCTCCACCCCACAACAGGCCCCGGTGTGTGATGTTCCCCTTCCTGTGTCCATGTGTTCTCATTGTTCAATTCCCACCTATGAGTGAGAACATGCAGTGTTTGGTTATTTTGTCCTTGTGATAGTTTGCTGAGAATGATGGTTTCCAGATTCATCCATGTCCTTACAAAGGACATGAACTCATCATTTTTTATGGCTGCATAGTATTCCATGGTGTATATGTGCCACATTTTCTTAATCCAGTCTATCATTGTTGGACATTTGGGTTGGTTCCAAGTCTTTGCTATTGTGAATAGTGCCACAATAAATATACGTGTGCATGTGTCTTTATAGCAACATGTTTTATAATCCTTTGGGTATATACCCAGTAATGGGATGGCTGGGTCAAATGGTATTTCTAGTTCTAGATCCCTGAGGAATCGCCACACTGACTTCCACAATGGTTGAACTAGTTTACAGTCCCACTAACAGTGTAAAAGTGTTCCTATTTCTCCACATCCTCTCCAGCACCTGTTCTTTCATGACTTTTTAATGCTTGCCATTCTAACTGGTGTGAGATGCTACCTCATTGTGGTTGTGATTTGCATTTCTCTGATGGCCAGTGATGATGAGCATTTTTTCATGTGTCTTCTGGCTGCATAAATGTCTTCTTTTGAGAAGTGTCTGTTCATATCCTTCGCCCACTTGTCAATGGGGTTGTTTGTTTTTTTTCTTGTAAATTTGTTTGAGTTCATTGTAGATTCTGGATATTAGCCCTTTGTCAAATGAGTAGATTGCAAAAATTTTCTCCCATTCTGTAGGTTGCCTGTTCACTCTGATGGTAGTTTCTTTTGCTGTGCAGAAGCTCTTTAGTTTAATTAGATCCCATTTGTCAATTTTGGCTTTTGTTGCCATTGCTTTTGGTGTTTTAGACATGAAGTCCTTGCCCATGCCTATGTCCTGAATGTTATTGCCTAGGTTTTCTTCTAGGGTTTTTACAGTTATAAGTCTAACATTTAAGTCTTTAATCCATCTTGAATTAATTTTTGTATTAGGTGTAAGGAAGGGATCCAGTTTCGGCTTTCTACATATGGCTAGCCAGTTTTCCCAGCACCATTTATTAAATAGGGAATCCTTTCCCCATTGCTTGATTTTGTCAGGTTTGTCATAGATCAGATAGTTGTAGATATGTGGCATTATTTCTGAGGGCTCTGTTCTGTTCCATTGGTCTATATTTCTGTTTTGGTACCAGTACCATGCTGTTTTGGTTACTGTTGCCTTGTAGTATAGTTTGAAGTCAGGTAATGTGATGCCTCCAGCTTTGTTCTTTTGGCTCAGGATTGACTTGGCAATGTGGGCTCTTTTTTGGTTCCATATGAACTTTAAAGTAGTTTTTTCCAATTCTGGGAAGAAAGTCATTGGTAGCTTGATGGGGATGGCACTGAATCTATAAATTACCTTGGGCAGTATGGCCATTTTCACGATATTGATTCTTCCTACCCATGAGCATGGAATGTTCTTCCATTTGTATGTATCCTCTTTTATTTCATTGAGCAGTGGTTTGTAGTTCTCCTTGAAAAGGTCCTTCACGTCCCTTCTAAGTTGGATTCCTAGGTATTTTATTCTCTTTGAAGCAGCTGTGAATGGGAGTTCACTCATGATTTGGCTCTCTGTTTGTCTGTTATTGGTGTATAAGAATGCTTGTGATTTTTGCACATTGATTTTATATCCTGAGACTTTGCTGAAGTTGCCTATCAGCTTAAGGAGATTTTGGGCTGAGACGATGGGGTTTTCTAGATATACAATCATGTCATCTGTAAACAGGGACAATTTGACTTCCTCTTTTCCTAATTGAATACCCTTTATTTCCTTCTCCTGCCTGATTGCTCTGGCCAGAACTTCCAACACTATGTTGAATAGGAGTGGTGAGAGAGGACATCCCTGTCTTGTGCCAGTTTTCAAAGGGAATGCTTCCAGTTTTTGCCCATTCATTATGATATCGGCTGTGGGTTTGTCATAGATAGCTCTTATTATTTTGAGATACGTCCCATCAATACCTAATTTATTGAGAGTTTTTAGCATGAAGTGTTGTTGAATTTTGTCAAAGGCCTTTTCTGCATCTATTGAGATAATCATGTGGTTTTTGTCTTTGGTTCTGTTTATATGCTGGATTACGTTTATTGATTTGCATATGTTGAACCAGCCTTGCATCCCAGGGATGAAGCCCACTTGATCATGGTGGATAAGATTTTTGATGTGCTGCTGGATTCGGTTTGCCAGTATTTCATTGAGGATTTTTGCATCAATGTTCATCAGGGATATTGGTCTAAAATTCTCTTTTTTTGTTGTGTCTCTGCCAGGCTTTGGTATCAGGATGATGCTGGCCTCATAAAATGAGTTAGGGAGCATTTCCTCTTTTTCTGTTGATTGGAATAGTTTCAGAAGGAATGATACCAGCTCCTCCTTGTACCTCTGGTAGAATTCGGCTGTGAATCCATCTGGTCCTGGGCTTTTTTTGGTTGGTAAGCTATTGATTATTGCCTCAATTTCAGAGCCTGTTATTTGTCTATTCAGAGATTCAAATTCTTCCTGGTTTAGTCTTGGGAGGGTGTATGTGTCGAGGAATTTATCCATTTCTTCTAGATTTTCTAGTTTATCTGCATAAAGGTGTTTATAGTATTCTCTGATGGTAGTTTGTATTTTTTAATTTTCTTTTGTACTTGAGATGAACCATATTTGCATTCTAACCCCAACCTTTAATACAACCAGGATGTTTTTACTTCCCCTTTTTTGTGTAAGTAAAAAGCAAACATTGGTGAGGAAGGTAGAAGATGTGTGTCCCCTCCTCTTTAATTTTTTTTTTTTTTTGCGACAGAGTCTCGCTCTATCACCCAGGCTGGAGTGCAGTGGCTGGATCTTGGCTAACTACAAGCTCTGCCTCCCGGGTTCATGCCATTCTCCTGCCTCAGCCTCCCTAGCAGCTGGGACTACAGGCGCAGGCCACCATACCCGGCTGATTTTTTGTATTTTTAATAGAGACAGGGTTCCACTGTGTTTGCCAGGATGGTCTCTATCTCCTGACCTCGTGATCCACCTGCCTCAGCCTCCCAAAGTGCTGGGATTACAGGCATGAGCCACCATGCCCAGTCTAAAATCTGACTAGTTTACAAATAGCAAAGATTTCTGGAAAACAAAGTTGGGTTGGTTTTTTTTTCAGGATCAGAAACTGTTATATTTGTATTCCTTCTCTGTGGTGATCTAGAAAAAGCTAAAGGAAAGCAGATTGGACCTGCTGTAGATACTTCAGTGAGATTCAATCAGTTCGGTTTCCGTGAAACCTGTTGAGTGTTGTGGCTTGAGAGTGCTAAGGATTCTCAGCTCTGCTGCTTATTAGCTGCATATTCTTTTTTTTTTTTTTTTTTTTTTTTTTTGAGATGGAGTTTCACTCTTGTTGCCCAGGCTGGAGTGCAGTGGCACAATCTTGGCTCACTGCAACCTCCACCTCCTGGGTTCAAGTGATTCTCCTGCCTCAGCCTCCTGAGTAGCTGGGATTACAGGCATGCACCACCACATCCAGCTAATTTTACATTATTAGTAGAGACGGGGTTTCACCACGTTGGCCAGGCTGGTCTCGAACTCCTGACCTCAGGTGATCTGCCTGCCTCAGCTTCTCAAAGTGCTGGGATTACAGGTGTGAGCCACCACACTTGGCTTTAGCTGCATAATCTTAGATAAGTTTATTTTTCCAAATCTGTTGCTTCATATGTTAAAGCTGGGGTGTGTGCTTATGAAAACTGTCCACCTCTCCTATGAAGTGTTTTGTGACCTATAAAGTTGTGTAAGGAGTAAATTTGAGATTTTCTTTTTTTCTTTCTTTCTCTTTCTGGGGGATATGGCACTGTCAGTTTCAGATTTTCAGTCCTTTTAGCTTCTTACTTAGACCTACTGGAGCTCCTCCTGGCCTTCATTTTTGCCTGGTGGGAAGCCTAGCTGCAGGACAGATGAGTACACAGTACATCAGGGCAGAGCATCCATTTACTCCATTATGAAGGTCTTGTCTGTCTATATGCCATCAGCTTTGTCAAAGAGCACTTGGGTTTGACTTGTCTTTTGATACTCCTCTGTTTCTGTGGCTTAGACTACCATGTATTAAGTGATGCTTTTTGAATTGCGGATTTTCCAATCTCCTCATAGATAGTCCGCAGACGTTTCAGACTTGAAATGTCCAAAACTTAATTCAGTATCTCTTCCAATCAACCTCCTGTTCACACCATATTTCTCTTTCTCAGTAGCATCATCATCTCTTCTAGTTCCCCATCTAGAAACCCTAATCATTTTAAATTCTTTCCTCTTATTTCTTTTTTTTTTTTTCCTGGTGTCCCCTGGGGTTTGTAAAGCTCTCCAGACATTGAGACTGTGCGGGCATGTCTCACTCCAAATTGGGCGAAATCAGTCATTGATTTTAATAGATTTTCACCAGGTACCTTTTCTGCGTTAAGCAGTGGGTTAGAGGCTAGACTCAGAGATGAGTAAAACCAGACCCCACCCCCTGACCTAGCCCTTCTTGCTCAAGAAGCCAACACTTAGTGAGAGCATCGGAAAGCCTGGTGGGCTTCTGAGCCCTGGGACTGGAGAAGTGGGGGTCCCAAAACCCATTACAAGATCAAAGAGAATAACAACAGGAAACTGCCAGAAATACCCAGTCATGGGCAAAGGGGCCTGTCCACATACCACTTGATGCACAAGAACCCGTGTCCTTACTTGAGAGTACATGTGTGTTCACAAGCACGTGGAGCCCAAGGGCCTGTGCAGCTGTCCATGTGGGGATGGGTATCAGGCTTCTGATTGGGATGCACAAGTGGTGTGGGAGTCTCTTTTTTAATTATTATTATTATACTTTAAGTTTTAGGGTACATGTGCACAACGTGCAGATTTGTTACATATGTATACGTGTGCCATGTTGGTGTGCTGCACCCATTAACTCGTCATTTAGCATTAGGTATATCTCCTAATGCTATCCCTCCCCCTTCCCCCCTCCTCTTATTTCTTTTATCTTCCTCATTGTTAGTCACCAAATCTTGAGTTTACCTGTGAGAGCCTGGGCGATCAATTTAAGTTGTTCCAATTAGGCTTTTATTGCCAAGCAGTCATTTGTATTTTCTTAAGGATCTTAGGAAAAGCATGAATTAGAGCAGAGCCTACCCAGATATAGAGAGAACTAGATGGCTGTGGGTTCTGGAACTGGCTACGCTCTTTGACTGTCTCTTGGTTTTGTGTTCAGCTCTTCCTCATGATTTTCATCTTTCTGTATCCTTTCAGCTTTTGCCCCAGATAGTAATCCCTTCATTATCTCAGTACTTGCATGTCTAAAATTCCAGAAAGAAAATATGATTCAGCTAAAAAATATCTCTGCTTGGCAGGACCTTTAATGTTAGGTGCTGGCCAGCCAGTTGATTTCTGGTGTCCCTATGTCCAGTATGTGCCTCAGCCTGCCGAGTAGCTGGGATTACAGCCACCACCACACCCAGCTAATTTTTTGTAATTTTTAGCAGAGACAGGGTTTCACCATGTTGCTTAGACTGGTCTTGAACTCCTGACCTCAGGTGATCCGCTCACCTCAGCCTCCCAAAGTGCTCGGATTATAGGCGTGAGCCACAGGGCCCAGCCCACCTGAGGCTTCTTTTTCCTTCCCAAGCCACATCACCATCCTGGTGGAACCCTCCTGTGAGGACAGCCAAGGCCTGAACTACCTGCGGTGGGGAGCACCTCAGGGTTTGCCCAGGCAACCAGCCAGCCCTGGTCCAAGGCATCCTGGAGCGAGTTGTGGATGGCCCCGTGCCCCACCAGACAGTGCGCCTGGAGGACCTGAACGAGAGCGGTGAGCCCCAGGCTGGGGAGCCAGTGCTGCCTGGCATCCTCCGGGCATCCTACCTGGCTGAGGGTCTGGGCCTGGGCCTGCCGGTGACAGCCATCCCTGTCCTTCCTGCTGAGGGGGCAGGCTGTCAAAGCTTATGTGAAAGCAGCTGAAGAAACAGTCACAGCCCATAAGGCAATGCTCCCTGGCCTTCGTTTCCCCAGTGATAACGACACTGCCAGAATATCCCCCTCAGTGCAGTGGCCAAAGTCAGAAAGTGGGATTAGCCAGGCATGGTGGCTCCCAGCACTTTGGGAGGCCAAAGCGGGTGGATCACTTGAGGTCAGGAGTTCGAGACCAGCCTGGAACATGGCAAAACCCCATCTCTACTAAAAATACAAAATAGTAGGGCGTGGGGGCGCACGTCTATAATCTCAGCCACTCAAGAAGCTGAGGCATGGGATTACGGCTGCCAGAAAAAATGTTGTTGCCCAAGCTAGAGTGCAGTGGCGCAATCTCGGGTCACTGCAACCTCCACCTGCCAGGTTCAATAGATTCTCCTGCCTCAGCCTCCCAAGTAAGTGAGATTACAGGCATGTGCCACCACGCCTGGCTAATTTTTTGTATTTTTAGTAGAAATGGGGTTTCACCACGTTAGCCAGGTGAATCCCAAAGTTCTGGGATTACAGGCAAGAGCCACCGCACCCAGCCGATATTTTGAATTTTTAAGGTTCATCAGCTTGGTCATTTGTGTGATCCAAAGTTGTAGGCATTTTAAAAACATTAAAAATGTTTTCATTTTTTATTTCTTCTATAATTTTAGACACATATTCATTTTTATTTCTTCTGCAGTTTTAGCTATATATCCCTAAGGTCATACAGCTAGTAAAAGCTAGGATTCAAGCCCAGGTCTTCTCATTGTGTTGCTTCTCCAGTACTGCACTACCTCTCCAAGATGCTTTTGATGGTAGCTACAGGATTGCTAAGACCATATATGGGAAAGGGCTTTGTAAACTGAGGCTTTTTTATGTAAAGCAGAACATGATGTGAGATTAAGAAAAGTAAATACTAAAGGAGAAAAGGATGATAAACCCATTTATATAGTCTGTCAATTTAACTTTTTTAATTTTTTTTTTTTTTTTTTGAGACAGAGTCTCGTTCTATCACCAGGCTGGAGTGCAGTGGCACGATCTCGGCTCACTGCAACCTCTGCCTCCCAGGTTCAAGCGATTCTCATGCCTCAGCCTCCCGAGTAGCTGGGACTACAGGCACGTGCCACCACTTCCAGCTAATTCTTTGTATTTTTAGTAGAGACAGGGTTTCACCGTGTTAGCCAGGATGGTCTCGATCTCCTGACCTCGTGATCCACCCGCCTCAGCTTCCCAAAGTGCTGTGATTATAGGCATGAGCCACCCACGCCCAGCCAAGTTTAAATGTTTATTTTAATGTTTGTGCAATAACGTCCAGTTTTACCAAGCAGAATGATGTGCATAGGAGCTTTTATGCAGAACTCACTGTTCTTCAGTTAGAGCTTATTACTCTAATAGTGAAATCAAATCCATCTTCAGTTGCTACATGGCTTTGTTAAACAGTTAAACTTGAGTTGGAGATGCTCTGTCGTAGGGAGGAATTTTCGCTCCACAGATGTGTTCATATAATGTATTTTCCCCTTTCCCCTATGGAAACTTTGTGGAAAGATTATTTCAGTGTTAACCCTGATTGATATTTTAGTAATTAAACAAGTGTCTGTTACTCCTTTATCAAGCATTTAATGAGTGTCTTCGGTGTGCTAGGCACTGCACTAGACTCTGGGGAGTCAAGGATGAATCACACTTAGTTTCTACCCCCTGGGAATTCATTCTGGTTGGAGAAATTGTTAAAAAAAATTATCATCCTATGGGATACTTTTTTAAAGTATGAAATGAGATAATGTATGTGAGAAAACTTTGGAAGCTTTACACATTTAAGATTTTTTTCTCCAGTGCATAGCCTGATGCCTGACATATTTTAAATGCTCATTATACCCTTGAATGAATTGGTGAAGAGCCAAGAGTTATGAGAGCATAATACTAGAGTGTAGATGGATTAGTTCTGCCTGGATGGACAGGTGAGATGCGGAGGCTTCCAAGAATATAACTTTTGAACTGGACTTGGAAATATAAGTTGCTTAAGAATTGAGAGAGAAACGGGGCCAAAGGCAGGGGTGGCAGGTCAGTGCTGCTCGGGGGCTTCTCCATCCAGGTCCCTGGAGCTCCCGGTCCCTGGAGCTCCGCACTTGGGGGCACAACCTGCATGAGGCAGCGCCACTCTGGTGACTGGCCGGCCATGCCATCCCGGGCTGAGGACTATGAAGTGTTGTACACCATTGGCACAGGCTCCTATGGCCGCTGCCAGAAGATCCGGAGGAAGAGTGACAGCAAGATATTAGTTTGGAAAGAACTTGATTATGGCTTCATGACAGAAGCTGAGAAACAGATGCTTATTTCTGAAGTGAATTTGCTTTGTAAACTGAAAAATCCAAACATCGTTCATTACTATGATTGTATTATTGACCGGACCAACACAACACTGTACGTTGTAATGGAATATTGTGAAGAAGGAGACCTGGCTAGTGTAATTACAAAGGGAACCAAGGAAAGGCAATACTTAGATGAAGAGTTTGTTCTTCGAGTGACAACTCAGTTGACTCTGGCCCTGAAGTAATGCCACAGACGAAGTGATGGTGATCATACTGTAGTGCGTCGGGATCTGAAACCAGCCAGTGTTTTCCTGGATGGCAAGCAAAACGTCAAGCTTGGAGATTTGGGGCTAGCCAGAATATTAAACCACGACACGAGTTTTGCAAAAACATTTGTTGGCATACCTTATTACATGTCTCCTGAACAAACGAATCACATGTCCTACAATGAGAAACCAGATATCTGGTCATTGGGCTGCTTGCCGTATGAGTCGCGTGCATTAATGCCTCCATTTACAGCTTTTAGCCAGAAAGAACTCGCTGGGAAAATCAGAGAAGGCAAATTCAGGCGAATTCTATACCGTTACTCTGATGAATTGAATGAAATTATTATGAGGATGTTAAAGGATTACCATCGACCTTCTGTTGAAGAAATTCTCGAGAACCCTTTAATAGCAGATTTGGTTGCAGAAGAGCAAAGAAGAAATCTTGAGAGAAGAGGGCGACAATTAGGAGAGCCAGAAAAATTGCCGGATTCCAGCCCTGTATTGAGTGAGCTGAAACTAAAGGAAATTCAGTTAGAGGAGCAAGAGCGAGCTCTCAAAGCAGGAGAAGAAAGGTTGGAGCAGAAAGAACAGGAGCTTTGTGTTTGTGAGAGACTAGCAGAGGACAGACTGGCTATACCAGAAAATCTGTTGAAGAATTACAGCTTGCTAAAGGAACAGAAGTTCCTGTCTCTGGCAAGTAGTCCAGAACTTCTTAATCTTCCATCCTCAGTAATTAAGAAGAAAGTTCATTTCAGTGGGGAAAGTAAAGAGAATGTCATGAGGAGTGAGAATTCTGAGAGTCAGCTCACATCTAAGTCCAAGTGCAAGGACCTGAAGGTCCTTGCTTCATGCTTCATGCTGCCCAGCTGCGGGCTCAAGCCCTGTCAGATTTTGAGAAAAATTATCAACTAAAAAGCAGACAGATCCTGGGCATGCGCTAGCTGGGTAGAGAGACACAGAGCTGTGTACAGGATGTAATATCACCAACTTTTGGAGACTGATGTTCAAATGCTGTAGCGTTACATACTTGGTTCCATGAGCCGTGCCTTTTTGTATAGTCCACATGATATTTCAGAATTGGTGTTGCTGTTCTTCAGCAACTGTTGTACAAAATGTTCACATTTAATTTTTCTTTCTTCTTTTAAGAACACATTATAAAAAGAATACTTTCTTGTTTGGTTGGGCTTTTAATCCTGTGTGTGATTACTAGTAAGAACATGAGATGTGACATTCTAAATCTTGGGAGAAAAAAATAACAAGAAAAAAATATTTAATCAGGAGTAGCACTCACTGCATAGTTTTAAATGACTGAGTGGTGTGCTTACAATTGTCATGTCTAGATTTGAATTTTAAGTCTGAGATTTTAAATGTTTTTGAGCTTAGAAAACCTAGTTGGATGCCATTTGGTCATTAATACCATGACATCTTGCTTATGAATATTCCATTGCTCTGTAGTTCAAATCTGTTAGCTTTGTGAAAGTTCATCACTGTGATGTCTGTATTCTTTTTTCCTTTTTATTCTGTTTAACAGAATAAAAGAATTCTTTAGATTCCCTGTAAAAAAAAAAAAAAAAAAAAAAAAAAAGAACCGAGACAAGCGGTTCTGCCGGGGCAGCTGTCAGTCATTAAAGTGCCTGGATTTACATGAACCACATGTCTACAGGCTAATACAGTTTATAGGATGCTTTTGTTTACACTATCTCTTTTGAGTCTTACGACAGTTCCATGAGGTGAATTCATACAACCAAGAGAAGCCCTGACCAGAACCTGGGTTCTAGGGTGTAAGAGACAGCATCCGGCCAGTTTTTTCTTTATAGTTTCACGAATGTTATGATTGCTAATATTATGGTATTTCTATTATTATATTTGTGAAAGCATGGTTTTCTGAGTTACAAGTATGTGAAAGACACATGTATACATGTAATGAAATGTATAGTTTTCCTTTTATTTCTGTAAAGCAAGTTAGCTTGTATTGATACATGATGAGTTTTTTTCAGAGGTTTCAGAAACAGGTTAGAAAATGCTTCCATAGTATTTCATAGATTCTTTATAATTTGAGCAGTTTTTCAGGGTTTTCAGTCCATTTAAACCATTTATCTAATGAACAGTAAATAGAAACTCTGAGCTCTACATTCTCTTGTAAGCTTTCTTTTTCTGTTACAGTTGAGCAAATTTGTTGACATTCTTATATTTTTGCATTTTGATTTTTTGCAAAATGTTTGGTTAAAATACTTTGGGGGAAAAATGCAAGTACTTTGTTCTCATTTATAGTTGACTTCCTACTTTGTTTATGTTGTCTTCTGTATGTATTAAGACAGTGAAGTACTGGCAAAAGAATAGGTAAATAGATCAATGGCACAAAATAAGCACCCCAGAAATAGACCCATACAAATAGAGGCCACTCATCTTTGGCAGAGGAGCAAACGCAATTTAATGGAGAAAAGATTGTCTTTACAATAAATAGTGCTGGAAACAACTAGACATCCACATGTGGAATAATGAATATAAACACTGACCTTACACCTTTCCCAACAATTAACACAAAACAGACCATAGACCTAAATGTAACACAAAACTAGCAAACTTCTGTAAGTTTAATAACATAGGAGAAAATCTAGGTGACCTTGGGTTTGGCAATGAGTTTCTAGATGCAACACAAAAACACCATCTACGAAAGAAAAAATGGACAAGATGGACCTCATTAAAGTGAAACATGTCTGCTGTGCCAGAGACACTGTTAAGAATGAAAAGACAGGCTGGGCACGGTGTGGTGGCCCATGCCTGTGACTCCAGTTACTTGGGAGGCTGAGGCAGGAGGATCCCTTGAAGCTCAGGAGTTGAAAGATGCAGTGAGCTGTGATGGTGCCACTGCATTCCAGCCTGGATGACAGAGAGACGCCATCTCTACAAAGAAAAAAAAGAAATAATGCAGAGAAGTCTCATGTACGGGCCCACTAAGTTTTATAGTGTTTTTGCTTTATTGCACTTTGCAGATATTGTTTTTTACCTATTGAATGTTTGCGGCAACCCTGTGTCAAGCAAGTCTTGCGGTGCCGTGTTTCTAACAGCATATGCTCACTTTCTGTCTCTGCGTTACGTTTCGCTGATTCTCACAATATTTTAGATGTTTTCATTATCATGTTATAGTGATCAGTGATCTTTAATGTTGCTATTGTAATTGTTTACAAGTTCATTGATATAAGAGGGTGAACTTAATGTTGTCTATATGTCTTTTTGTTTTGTTTCGTTTTGTTTTGTTTTGAGACAGAGTCTTTCTCTGTCACCCAGGTTGGAGTGCCGTGGCATGATCTCAGCTCACTGCAACCTTCACCTTCCGGGCTCAAGCGATCCTCCCACCTCAGCCTCCCGAATAACTACAGCAGGCATGTGCCACCACACTCAGCTAATTTGTAAATTTTTTGTAGAGACGAGGTCTCATTATATTGCCCAAGCTAGTCTCCAACTCCTGGACTCAAGCAATCCTCCCACCTCGGCCTCCCAAAGTGCTGGATTATAGGCATGAGCCACTGCACCCTGCCAGTTATGTGTGTTCTGACTGCATTGTCCACCATCCATTCCCAGCTCGCTCCTTCTTCTCAGGCCTCTCTATTACCTGATACACAACAATATTGAAATTAGGCTAATTAATAACCATGCAGTGCCCTATACATGTTCAGGTGGAAAGAAGAACTGCATGATTCTCACTTTCAATCAAAAGTCAGAAACAGCTACCTTTAGTGCAGAAAGCATAACGAAAACCGACCTAGGCTGAAAGCTAGGCCTCTTGTGCCCATTAGCCAAGTTGTGAAAGCAAAGGAAAAGTTCTTGAAGGAAATTAAAAGTGCTTCTCCAGTGAATACACAAATGATAAGAATGCAAAACAGCCTTGTTGCTGATGTGGAAAAAGTTTTAGTGCTGGTTAGAACATCAAATCACCCACAACATCCCCTTAAGGCAAAGCCTAATCCAGGGCAAGCCCCTAGCTCACTTTAGTTCTGTGAAAGCTGAGGGAGGTGAGGAAGCTGCTGAAGAAAAGTTTGAAGCTAACAGAGGTTGTTAGTTCATGGGGTTTAAGGAAAGAAGTCATCTCTATAATATGAAAATGCAAGGTTGGCCGGGCGCGGTGGCTCACGCCTATAATCCCAGCACTTTAGGAGGCCGAGGCAGGTGGATCACAAGGTTGAGAGCTCGAGACCAGCCTGGCCAACATGGTGAAACCCCGTCTCTACTAAAAATACAAAAATTGGGCCAGGCACGGTGTCTCACACCTGTAATCCCAGCACTTTGGGAGGCTGAGGCAGGTGGATCACCTGAGGTCAGGAGTTCAAGACCAGCCTGGGCACTGTGGTGAAACCCCGTCTCTACTAAAAATACAAAAATTAGCCGGGCACAGTGGCACGTGCCTGTAATCCCAGCTACTCAGGAGGCAGAGACAGTTGAATCGCTTGAATTGGGAAGCAAAGGTTGCAGTGAGCCGAGATTGCACCATTGCACTCCAGCCTGGGCAACAGAGCAAGACTCTGTCTCAAGAAATAATAATAATAAATAAATAAATAAATAAATAAATAAATAAATAAACTGGGCGTAGTGGCATGCCTGTAATCCTAGCTACTCGGGAGGCTGAGGCAGGAGAATCACCGGAATCTGGGAGGCGGAGGTGCAGTGAGTTGAGATCACACCACTGCACTCCAGCTTGGGGGACAGAGTGAGACTTTGTCTCAAAAACAAAACAAAAAAAAAAGTGCAAGGTGAAGCAGCAAGTGCTGATGTAGAAGTTGCAACAAGTTATCCAGAAGATCTAGCTAAGATCATTGATAAAGGTGGCTCCACTAAGCAACAGATGTTCAATGTAGAAGAAACAGCTTTTTGGTGGAAGAAGATGCCGTTTAGGACATCCCTCCTAGAGAGAAGTCACTGCCTGGCTTCAGAGCTTCGAAGGACAGCTGACTCTTCTCAGGGGCTAACACAGCTGGTGACTTTAAATTAAAGCTGTTGTTTGTTTATCATCCCAGAAATGCTAGAGCCCTTAAGAATTACGTTCAGTCTACTCTGCTTGTGCTCTGTCAATTTAACAACAAAGCCTGGAAGACATCTGTTTACAGTGTGTTTTGCTGAATATTTTAAGCCCACTGTGGAGACACACTGCTCAGAAAAAAAAGAATTCTTTCAAAATTATTATTTCTTTTGGACAACGCACCTGGTTCCTCAAGAGCTCTAATGGAGGTGTACAAGGGGAGGAATATTGTTTTCATGCCTGCCAATACAACATCCATTCTGAAGCCCATGGTTCAAGGAGTGGTTTTGACTTTCAAGTCTTATTAGTTAAGAAATACATTTTATAAGGCTAAAGCTGCCACAGATAGTGATTCTTCTGATGGACCTGTGCAAAGTAAATGGAAAGCCTTGTGGAAAGGAGTCACCATTCTAGATTCCATTAAGAACATTGATGAGTGCCAGGCACGGTGGCTCATGCCTGTAATCCCAGCACTTTGGGAGGCCGAGGTGGGCGGATCACCTGAGGTTGGGAGTTCGAGACCAGCCTGGCCATCATGGAGAAAACGCCATCTCTACTAAAAATACAAAATTAGCCCGGTGTGGTGGCACGTGCCTGTAATCCCAGCTACTTGGGAGGCTAAGGCAGGAGAATAGCTTGAACCTGGGAGGCGGAGGTTGCAGTGAGCCGAGATGGCGTCATTGCACTCCAGCCTAGGCAACAAAAGCAAAACTCTGTCTCAAAACAAATACATATATGGAAGCAAACTAAGTGTCTATAGATGGATGAATGGATGAATAAAATGTGGTATATATATGCAGTGGAATGCTATTCAGCCTTCAAAAGAAGGAAATCCTGCCGTTTATGACAATGTGGATGAACCTGGAGGACATATGCTAAGTGAAATAAATCAGACACAGAAAGACAAATATCATGTGATCTCACTTCTCTGTGGAACCTGAAAAAGTAGAATTCACAGAAACAGAGTGGAAGGGTGGTTACCAGAGGGCAGGGAGCGGGGGAAATGGGAAGTTGTTCGTCTAAGGGTAGAAACTTTCAGCTGTAAGTTCTAGAGATCTAAGGTAGAGCATATGACTATAGTTAATAAAAATACATCGTATACATCCCAGCACTTTGGGAGGCCGAGGTGGGCAGATCACAAGGTCAGGAGATCCAGACCATCCTGGCTAACACAGTAAAACTCCGTCTCTACTAAAAATACAAAATATATATATATATATATATATATATATATCTGGGCATGGTGGCGGGCGTCTGTAGTCCCAGCTACTCGGGAGGCTGAGGCAGGAGAATGGCGTGAACCCGGGGGTGGAGCTTGCAGTGAGCCAAGATCGCACTGCTGCACTCCAGCCTGGGCAACAGAGCGAGACTCCTTCTCAAAAAAAAAAAAAAAAAAGGGGCCAGGTGCGGTGGCTCATGGTCTAAAAAGCCATCAGGGATAAAGGTTTCTCTGAGTGCTGCTAAAAGAAACCAAGACTGGGGCCCAGTGTGGTGGCTCATGCCTGTAATCCCAGCACTTTGGGAGGCCAAGGCAGGCTGATCACTTGATGTCAGGAGTTCAAGACCAGCCTGGCCAACATGGCGAAACCGCCCTGCCCCTGTGTCTACTAAAAAATGCAAAAATTAGCCAGGCATGGTGGTGCACACCTATAATCCCAGCACACTAGGAGGCCGAGGGAGGTGGATCGCTTGAGCCCAGGAGTTCGAGACCAGCCTGGCCAACATGGTGAAACCCTGTCTCTACTAAAAATACCAAAATTAGTCAGGTGTGGTGGCACGTGCCTGTAGTCCCAGCTACTGGGGAGGCTGAGTCAGAAGAATCACTTGAACCCAGGAGGCGGAGGTTGCAGTGAGCTGAGATTGCGCCACTGCATTCTAGCATGGGTGACAGAATGAGACCCTGTCTCAAAAAAAAAAAAAAAAGAAAATATACAATGCCTGGATTTCCTTTAAAATAATCCAGGGAGGGGAGAAAGGGTGGAGACTATAGATGAGATAAAACTGCCCATGAACTGATACTTGTTGAAGCAGGGTTAATAGTACATTATATCATTCTTTCATATACTATTATTTTGTATTTTTTGTATCCAATAGTTTTCATAATCAAAAGTTAAGTTTTCATAATCAAAAGTTAATTCTAAAATCTGAAAGAATATGCACAAAAATGTAGGAAGTCAATGTGAAATTACACTAACACATGAATACTTTCCTCCTTTTCTTCTTCTTCTTTTTTTTTTTAAACGGAGTCTTGCTTTATCACCCAGGCTGGAATGTGGTGGCTTGATCTCGGCTCACTGCAAGCTCCGCCTCCCAGGTTCAAGTGATTCTCCTGCCTCAGCCTCCCAAGTAGCTGAGACTACAGGCTTGTGCCACCAGGCCCAGCTAATTTTTTGTATTTTTAGTAGAGACAGTGTTTCACCGTGTTAGCCAGGCTGATCTTGATCTCTTGACCTCGTGATCTGCCCGCCTCGGCCTCCCAAACTCCTTTTCTTCTTTTTCTGTAGCAATGAGCATGCATAATCAGAAAGAAAAATAATGTTTAAAAGTGGGTTTAAAGTCTCTGTACAAGTTGTGGCTAAAAGGGGCACCAAAAGTAGCCACTTGTGGGCAGGATGCTCCCTCCTCCCTCCGGGAGAAACACAGGTGCTGCTTTGTGCCTTTAGCTCCTGGATCCTGGGGCTGAGCTGGGAGGGAGTAAAGGAGAGGGGGATGGGAGGGTGTGTACTGGGGCCTGTATTCTACGCTGGGCAGAGTCCCAGCCACTCCTCATGCAGCTTGTGAGGAAGCCTTTGGTGGTCATCTTTAACAGGTGAGTAAACTGAGGCTCAGAGAGATCAGTGGAGTCATCTGAGAGAATGTGCGTTGATGCATGTTCCCTGCTGGGCACTTCCTCTCTCATCTAATCCCTGAGGCCAGCCCTGTGGGGTGGGTATCATTCTCCCCAATTTATAGAGGAAGAAACAGCACCAGAGAGGGGAAGGGACTCACCCAAGGCAGGGGATCCTGAGGGCTGGTCTGGATCCTTTCCCCAAGTGCTTAATCCCACAGTTCAGAGGGCCCTGAAAGGCGCTAGGGGCTTCTATCTTAGCACAGGGCACTTCTGCCAAGGTCGTGGCAACGACTGGGGGGGCAGGAGGCCTGGATGCTTTGTGAGGGCTCTGCCTTGGCACCACCATGAGATCTGAGCTTTTCCCTCACCTGGGCAACTGGAATGAGCAATAGCCATCCGTGGCTAGGTGGGGTTGTGGCTTGTAAACTGTAAAGTCCTATGCAATGTGCAGGGTGGTGGAATGAGCATCTGTGTACCGCCCCAGACTGCAGTCTAGTAAGTCACTTGACATGAGTCACCCCGTCTGAGCCTCACCTGTGAAGGGGCAACATTAAGCTGAGGGGGGAGGTGGGGGGAAGAAAGGGGACAGCGAAAGGCAAGGAACCCAGCTAATGGAGTACCCAGACAGCCTCTCCCTCCCGCACAGCTCTCCATCTCCATCCAGTCCCCCGTCTCTACCCCAAACAGCTCAGTTCCCCAGAGAAGCTCCCTGGAAACCAGGAGGCTGACTTCTTCACCAACTGCAGAACCACCTGAGGCCACGTGGCAGGTGAGTCGGTGGCCTTTCTCCTGGACTCGCCTGCCTGGCTCCTTAAGGCTGTGCTGGGCTGGCCTGGGTCACTCACCCTTTGGAGTCTGGCTTCTTAAGCAATGTCCTATAAAGCCAGGGCTGAGCCTCCGCAGCCCTCTGAGATGGAGCTGGCCTCCGGGGCTGCCCGACCCAGCAGCTGTGACCTCCCACCCCAGATCCTGGCTCCTTCTCTCTTGCCAGCTCTACTCCAGGCATCGAGCTTCCCTCTCTCTCTCTTTTTTGGTCTCTCTCAAATCTTTCTCTTTTCTTATCCTCTCTCCCTCCACCCCTTGCCATTTTAGTCAGTCTTTCTCTTTCCTTCTTCTCTTTTGTCTCTCAAACTCTTTTTTCTTTCTATCTTGGTTCATATCTGTTCAGGGAAAGCCTCTCTGTCTCGGCCTCTCCTTTTTTCCTTTTCACTGTTTATTCTTCCCTCTCTCCTTTATCTCTCCGTTGCTCTACTTCTCTGCCTTTTTCTGAGTCTGTTTCCTCTCACCATCTCTCTCTCCATCCGTCCCTCCCTGTATCTGCCTCTCTCTCCATCTCGCTGCTGTGTCCAGCTCTCTCTCTCGCTCATTCCTTCCTCGCCATCTGGGGATCTCCCCGGCTCCGTGTCCCCTGCAGTGCCCCGCGCCCCAATCACCGGCCAAAGCGCCCGCGGAGCAGAGCAGGGCCAGCCCGGCCAGCGCGCAGAGCAGGGGCCGCATGGTGCCGGCCTGGCTGAAAGCAGCACGGCATGTGCCCGCAGCCGCCCTTCCCGGATCGTGCCCGGCAGGCCCTGGAGACAATGCTCTCAGTCCGAGCCAAAATTCCTGGGCGGCTCCGGGCTTTCTGGCTGGAGAGAACCCGCCCCCTCCAGAGGCCCCTGGGCACCCCGTGGGCAGCGCAGAACCCAGAAACCCCCGGGAGCTGAGGCACCGACTTGCCACCCGGGCGCCTTCGGAGGAAAGGGGGCCGCCCCCCGAGTTGAGTTGGATGGAGGGGTTGGGTGAGGTCATGGGCTCAAGGCGACTGAGCCTGGGATCAGGAGTTTGTTATGAGCCCATTTCACAGGCAGGCGAACTGAGACTAGAGAGAAGTGTCTTCCTCAGCATCACTCTCAGCCATGGCACAAGATCTGAACCCTTGTCTCCTGGGAGTGTGGAAGGTTTTCTCTGCCTACCAAGAACAAGAAATTAATTCTAATTACATGGAACAGTGTCTGCCCCTAAGAGGGAGACCCAGACACTCACTGCTCTGGTAAGGAAGTGATAGCAATGTGAAAAGGTACTTTTCAAAACAAAAAGGTAAAGTCATGACTCTCGTAAAGATATGAAATTAGCATATACTAAAGGTTTTATTTAGTTCATTATTAATGAGGGAACAAGTAAGATGGTACAAGCAGTCCAAAGTTTAGAACACAGTAGTGGAAACTTCCCCTATGGGACATGCCCATCCAACAAGTGCAACAAGAAATTAAGTTTTAGTGAAAACACCAAGCAAAAAAGCTACAGCTCTAACTTCTCTGCTGCAGAGCCCTGAGTGCCTTGCCTGGCTGTAAGAGGAATACTTTCATCACCAAGCCTAGGAGAGTGCCTTTGTCCATCGAGGGTCCCCATTGGGGTTAACTGGAGCCCTTGCAGATCAAGGCTGCCTCTGCCTTCTGTGTTCCTGTCTGTGGCTGTGCTGTTGTCCCAGTCACCACCGTAACCAGTGATCCAGTTCTCACTCCCTCCTCCAGAGCAAGATAATAGCCTCAGATGAAGAAATTCTGGTTCTGAGCCCGAGAATCTGAGACAGACTCAGATCTAAATCTTTTTAAAGCCTTCAAGGAGATTATGATGCCCACGTGAGCTGGCTCAGAAGAAGAATTTATTTCAGGAATGCCAAGAATTTCTCATGCTTGGTGGTAGGACATTCCTTGATAATTTAGCCAGGTGAGAAGTTGTCAAAGAACTGCCAAACCCATAAGGATTCTTGTAGCTCACAGCCAGGAGGCTACCTTATATTTTGAATTTAAGATTAAGGGGAAAAAAAACACAAAAAACATATACAATACATTCTTGTTGTGGTCGAGCATAAAGTAATTAACTATACAGAGAAAAACATGAAAGTCTTTTCTGTTACGAATTCCCTCTGTCCAAGATTCAGGTCCAGTCCCCTCGGCTTGCTAGGCTCTGCCTGTTCCACATCTATGCATTCCCCATCTATCTAATGTATATTCAGACACAAATGTATATACATGAGATCAAATCATAGATATTTTGAAGATTTGCTTTCATTCATGTTTACCTCAGTCATAACATTAAATCTTGGCTGTGTGTAGTGGCTCACGCCTGTAATCCCAGCTCTTAGGGAGGCAGAGGTGGGAGGATAGCTTCAGCCCAGGAGTTCAAGACCTGCCTGGGCAGTATAGCAAGACCCTGATCTCCACAAAAAGGAAAAAAAAAGTATAAAAAATAAAATAAAATAAAAATAATAAATAAATAAAAATAAAGAAGCAAAAGTTTATACACTTAAATTGTGCTTCATAATGCATGTTTTAGTCTTTCATTTTTCCTAGAAATTATTTATGTACCCAGCAAATATCCATCAATTAAATGAGTACAAGGTTTTGAGTTACCTAAAGATCTTTGAAATTATTCTAAAGTGGGCATACCATGAAAGATAACTTTTTTTTAATTTTGAGATGGAGTTTCACTCCGTTGCCCAGGCTTGGAGTGCAGTGGCACAATCTCGGATCACTGCAACCTCTGCCTCCCAGGTTCAAGCGATTCTCCTGTCTCAGCCTCCTGAGTAGCTGGGACTACAGGCCCACACGATCACATCTGGCAAATTTGTAAATTTGTAAATTTTTAGTAAAGACGGAATTTCATTATATTGGTCACAGTGATCTCAAACTCTTGACCTCAGGTGACCCACCTACCTCGCCCTCCCACAGTGCTGGGATTACAGGTGTGAGCGACCTCGCCCAGCCAAAAGATAACTTTTGAAATAAAATTCATCAGTGCAATAAATCAATTTTGTTAAACACAGATTGACGTTTACATATTTAAACATGATGTAAAAGCAATGCTAGCTTATTTTATCAGTAAATATGTATAAGTTTAAGAAAAAAATATACAAGCAGAATAAAAATGTATGCTTGCATTATACAATAATATGGGTGTACATTTCCAGAGTTCTTGTATTCATACACTGTATAAGAAGATGACAAACAATTTTGCAATGAAAAATCTTGTTCATACATTTTTGGCATGCATCAGAATATATCTGTATTCCTGAGTCAAAGGGTTTGTGCATTTGTGATTTTGATTGATAATGCCAAATTGCCTTACAGAAGAAGTGACTTTAATATATCCTCTCATCCTCAGTGTATAGAAATGCTTTTTTCCTCACACAGCTCTAACAAGCATGTCATAAAACTCTTTTTTTTTTTTTGAGATGGAGTTTCACTCTTGTTGCCCAGGCTGGAGTGCAATGGCACAATCTCAGCTCACCACAACCTCTGCCTCCCAGGTTCAAGCGATTCTCCTGTCTCAGCCTCCCGAGTAGCTGGGATTAGAGGCATGCGCCACCATGCCCGGCTAATTTTGTATTTTTAGTAGAAATGGGGTTTCTCCATGTTGGTCAGGCTGGTCTCAAACTCCCAAACTCAGATGATGCACCTGCCTTGGCCTCCCAAAGTGCTGGGATTACAGGCATGAGGTACCGCATCCAGCCATAAAACTCTTAAATATGTTCCTCAACATGATAGGTGGAAAATTGTTCCCTTAGTACAGTATTTTTTTGTTTGTTTTTTGTTTGTTCATTAGTTTTTGTTTGTTGTTGTTGTCTTGTCTTGTTTTGTTTTAGACAGAGTCTCACTTTATCGCCAGGCGGGAGTGCAGTGGTGCAATCTCGGCTCACTGCAACCTCCAGCGATTGTCCTGCCTCGGCCTCCTGAGTAACTGAGATTATAGGCACCAGCCACCATACCCACCTAATTTTTGTGTTTTTAGTAGAAACGAGGGTCCACAATATTGGCCAGGTTGGTCTCGATCTCTTGTCCTCATGATCCGCCTGCCTCGGCCTCCCAAAGTGCTGGGATTATAGGCATGAGCCATCGTGCCTGGCAAATTTTTAATTAAAAAAAATAAAATAAAATGTCCAGAACTGTTTGTATTTCCTTTTCTGTGACCTAGATGTTTATATCCTTTACTTCTGTTTATTATTTTTGTGTTGGTAGGCTTCTTCCTATTGAATAGTGGAAGCTCTTTATGTATTAGGGAAGTTCATCTCTGCCTGTGATATGATTGCACATATTTCTCCCAGTTTCATGATTGTTTTCTCAGTTTGCTTACAATAGTTTTAACACAGAACTTTTTTATATTTCTACATTGTAAGATTTGCCAATATTTCCATTAATATCCCCCTATGACTTGTGGAGAACAGAGCTTTGGGCCCCAGCTGAATGGCAAAGAGCACAGTCCCTCAGTGTGGAAGACCCACTGCAGGTGACCTTGATGCCAACAGGCGGCGGGCCAGGGGGATGATGTTGATGACAATCTTCAACTACACTTGAGGATGAAGTGAGACATGGGGTCTCACTTCGACAGGGTGAGAATGAATTGGCCCAGAAACCACTCATTTCTCCTTTCAGCAAACATTCTTTGTGAGGTCGCCACAGTCTTTGCCTATGTTTTACAAATGTGACTGAGAACAGATGAAAGATCTGCCCAAGGTCACACTGGATTCTAAAACCTGTTTCTAACTGTGTCATCCTCCAGAACGTGAATGTGCATCTGGGAGGATGATCCCCAACCAACATGTGATCTGAAAGTACATATTGCCCATTAAAAAAAAAAAATAAAAAGGCCAGGTGCGGTAGCTCATGCCTGTAATCCCGACACTTTGGCAAGCCAAGGTAGGTGGATCACTTGAGGTCAGGAGTTCAAGACCAGCTTGGCCAACATGGTGAAACCCTGTCTCTACTAAAAAATACAAAAATTAGCCGGGCATGGTGGCAGGCCCCTGCAATCCCAGCTACTCAGGAGGCTGAAGCAGGAGAATCACTTGAACCTGGGAGGTGGAGGTTGTAGTGAGTCAAGATGGCACTACTACACTCCAGCCTGGGTAACAGAGTGAAACTCCGTGTCCAAAAAATAATAATAATAATAGCTTATGTGGGGAATGGGGTTGCTTGTTTCTGACTGAGGTATAAGTTCATTTGTAATGCAGTGTTGAAATGATTGCTTCTCCTAAAAGCAGATCTTGAGAAAAAAAAAAAAAAAAAGAAAGAAACAGTTGTTGAATTCTCAGTGCTGTCTGATGGTGAGTTCCCAGCAGGCCAGATAAGCAGAGAGGACTGCAGAGGGAATTCTGCTGGGTGACAGCTGGGGCAAAGGTTAATATGTAATTGGGGGTCAATGTTAGTGGGGAAACTTGCCTCAAAGGAGCAGAAGTGTGGATTCAGGACCAACAAGAGATGAGTTTCGTGTGACACAGGGGTGAGGTTAGATTAGAATTTTTAGAATATCATAGGCAGAGTTTCGTTTAGAATAATTGCCACTCTTGGGAATCTCCAATTTGCTGTAGTTGATGCATAGGCCTTGATTAAAAAGAGATATATTCAGAACAGAAAACTGAGGGACTGTCACATGTAAGCGACTGCAGTAATGTGATTTAGTTAAAAACAAAACAGAAGGCCGAGGCGGGTGGATCACGAGGTCAGGAGATCGAGACCCGTCTCTACTAAAAATACAAAAAATTAGTCGGGCGCGGTGGCGGGCGCCTGTAGTCCCAGCTACTCAGGAGGCTGAGGCAGGAGAATGGCGAGAACCCGGGAGGCGGAGCTTGCAAAAAAAAAATAAATAAAAATAACAGAACATCAAGCACTGGCCTGGAAGTGAGGACTCCATGCAGATGTTTCCCAGCTGTGCCACTTGTTTGTTCTGTGACGTTGGGTAGGTAGCTTGCCGTTTCTAGGTTTTAGCTTTCACCTTCTGTAAAATAAGGCTGCCGGTGAAGGGCTCAGAGCATTTGCAGCCCAAGCAGCGGAAAGCAGCCTCTTTCTGCTGCAGGCCGTGGGAAAGTGGCCTTGTTGGCAAGCCTGCCGTCTGCATTCCATGCTCAATTTCCTGCCCTGGAGAGGGGTAGGAGGCAGGCACGTCACCTTGCACCCAGATCCCAGGCCAGTGGGAAGACATGCCCATCCCAGAACCCGGAGGCTGCTGACAGAATTGGGTGGTGATTAGGACTTGCTGGGGGCCACAGCAATCTGATTTCCAATCTCCATCTCTCTCTAGCTGTGAGCTCTCTGGTTAGTGCTGCCCCTGATCTGAGTAGCCTCTGCACAATGGGGATAGTACCCACTCCCCATGCAGTTACCGAAAAGATCAAATGAGATGTGTGTAAATGCTTAGAGCAGTGCTGGGCACGTATTACATACTCAGTGCTATTTTTTATTATTGGCTTAATTATTTAAATCAAATATTAACCTCCTATCTAATGTAGGAATTCTCTCTACAGCGTATCAGACAACTGGCTATTCTCACTCTGCTTGAATGCTTCCAGTGACAGGGGACTCACTACTTCTCCCAGTAAATTGTTTCACTAGTAGATAGTGCTTCTGGAATTTTATGGAATTTTAAAGCTGAGAGGAACGTTATAAATCAAGTGTAACTGCCTCAAGAGAAAACCCAAGTTCAAGAGGTGAAATGAGGCCGGGCATGGTGGCTCACCCTGTAATCCCAGCACTTTGGGAGGCTGAAGCAGGTGGATCACCTGAGGTCAGGGGTTCGAGACCAGCCTGGGCAATATGGTAAAACCCTGTCTCTACTAAAAATACCAAAGTTAACCAGGCATGGTGGTGCATGCCTGTAATCCCAGCCACTTGGAGGCTGAGGCATGAGAATCACTTGAACCCAGGAGGTGGAGGTTGCTGTGAGCCAAGATTGCATCACTGCACTCCAGCCTGGACAACAGATCGAGACTCTGTCTCAAAAAATAAATAAATAAATAAATAAATAAATAAATAAATAAATAAATAAATAAAATTCTACCTTCAAAATTACTGTCTCCTAATACTTTATAACTACTATGTAGTTTGAAGATGATCTGTTCTCTCTCTGGAAGCTTTTAGAGCTTTCTCCTTGTCATTATTATTATTATTATTATTATTATTATTATTATTATTATTTTGAGAGAGGGTCTCACTCTATGGCCCAGGTTGGAGTGCAGCGGTGCATGATCACAGCTCACTGCAGCCTTGACCTCCTGGGCTAAAGTGATGCTCCTGCCTGAGCCTCCCCAGTAGCTAGGACTACAGGCAAGTGCCACCATGACTAGCTAATTTTTTTGTTAATATTTTGTAAAGATAGATAGGGTCTCAAAATGTTGTTCAGGCTTGTCTCGAACTCCTGGCCTCAAGTGATCCTCCCGCTTTGGCCTTGCAAAGTGTTGGGATTACAGGCATAAGCCACTGTGCCCAGTCTCCTCATTATTTTTATTTATTTACTTTTTTACTTAATATTTTTAAATTTTATAGTTGTACCTAGGAATTGATTTTTCCTTATCTCTTCTTAGCTCTTCTTTATAAGTCCTTTCAAATAAGGTCATTTTTTTGGAAATGTATCTCCACTATTTGTTCAAGTATTTCCTCCACTCTGTTTTTACTTCTTACGCCAGCTGAATTTATTGCTCAGGTGTTCGCACTTTTATGTTTATCATCCACATTTCCAAGCTTTTCTTCTCTATTTCTTATGTTTTAGTCTTATTGTGAGACCGCCACAATCATGTGTTCATATATTCTTTCTTCAACTATATCCATTCTATTTCATTTGTCAAATTTGATTAATTTCCATTTATCAAATTCTTTGTTTTAACTATTTTATTTTTCCTACCTAATATTTTCACTTAGTTTTTTTTATGATATCTTGTTCTTGCTGCATATTGCTAACATTTTCTGTTGTCTCCTATTTAAGGAGCATTATTAGATTTTGGGACCTTCTGCTTCAACATATGTGATCAGATGATACATGCTGCTTGTGTAGACTTTTCCTCCAGTTATTTGGCTGTGGGCTCATTTTCCTTTGGGAAAATGTTTGGTCATATGTACTGGGAGGGGCCAAGGCCAGCCTCATCTGTGTTGGTCCCGGCCATGTGAGGACTGAGAATCCAGGGATCACAGACCCCTTAGTGAATCCCCGTCTGAGGCCAATCCACTAGTCATTCCTTTGGCTGGAGTTTTCACTTTTAAACCCTTAGGAGGAAATAAGATAATCTACAGTCCTGGCAATTTGGTTGGAAGCATGGTGAAGGAACTACCTGAGGGCTGTCTGTGTCTATTTTTGTGAATTCTCTCCCATGCCCCCGCAGAGTTTGTGTTGCTGATATGAGTGGACAGTGCTCCGGGCACTGTTAACTGTCATGCTGAAGGAGTCAGGCTGATGACTGTCTCTCTGAAGGCAACTTGAGGGAACAAGAGCGGAATGTAAAGGCTGCCCAACCAGTTCTTCATGATGCCCAGGCTCCACCCCCACACTAATTTCAGTAGTCTTCAGTCTCAGAGAGGGTAGTGAGAAATTCCCTAATCTCCCTGCTTAGTGTTAGGAATCCATGTGTCTCTCTCCTGTCCTTCCACTATCTGTTTAGGGTTGATTTTGAAGATCTTGGCAGGGATTCTCTACCATGTAGTATCTTATTTATGTATTTATATAGAATGAATGAATGAGGTGGTGTGTTATTGTCTTTTTCTTTTCCTTTTTTTTTAAAACAGGATATCACTCTGTGGCCCATGCTGGAGAGCAGTGGCATAATCACGGCTCACTGCAGCCTGGACATCTCTGCGCTCAGGTGATCCTCCCACTTCAGCCTCCCCAGTAGCGGAGATCACAGACATGTGCCACCACGCCTGGCTAATTTTTTGTAGAGACTGGGTCTGGCCATGTTGCCCCAGGCTGTTCTTGAACTCCTGGGCTCAAGCCATCCTCCTGCCTCAGCTTCCTGAAGTGCTGGGATTACAGGTGTGAGCCACTGTGCCCAGCCAGTATCTTCATGTTTATAATATTTTATAGTATCTTCAACTTGAAATGGGGATAATGGTCACCTCAAAGAGCAGTTGTGGATTTTGGATATTTTATATCAGTTTCCAGAACAAAATAAATATTTGAAAAGTATTGAGTTTTTTTTACTTTCAAAAGACCTAATGCCTAATTTTTCTTCTCCGGGAAGGAGGAGTATGCGGATAGGTCAGTTGGCTAATTCCATCAGCATTTTCAGCCCTGGAACAACGCTCTTTGCCAGATTGTATTATGGCTCCAAATACTATTGACATTAACTACTAACCTCCCAGGAACAGTGCCTAGCAGTTTTTCTTATTGACGGTGTTGGTACATATAGAAACCAACGCTAAGCCTCAGAAATCAAGGCTGAACCATGTGATTTCTAGTTCTAAATTTTCTCTATTTTGCTACTCAAAAGTGGTCTATCCATCCATGTGGTCAAGTATGAGGAGCACAGGCTGCAATGTGGTCAATCACAAACCTTCCAGGAAAACTGTACTCGTGCTTTACGTGTTATAGTTTACAAAGTTTCTTTCTTTCTCTGCTTTATTTTCCCTCCCTCCCTTCCTTCCTTCCTTCTTTCCTTCCTTCCTCCTTCCCTCCTTTCTCTTTCTCTTTCTCTGTCTCTCTCTTTCTCTCTTGCTTTCTTTTCTTTCTTTCTTCTTTCTTTTTTCTTTCTCCTTCTTTCCTTCCCTCCCTCCACCCTCCCTCCTTCCCTCCTCTCTTCTCTTCTTTTCTCTTCTCTTCTTTTTCTTTTCTTTCTCTCCCTCCACCTCCAGGGTTCAAGTGATTCTCCTGCCTCAGCCTCCCAAGGAGCTGGGATTACAAGCAGGCACCACCATGCCTGGCTAATTTTTGTATTTTTAGTACAGACAGGGTTTCACCATGTTGGCCAGGTTGGTCTCAAACTCCTGACCTCAAGTGATCCGCCTCCCCCGACCTCCCAAAGTGCCATACAAATTTTAGGATCTTTTTTTAATTTCTGAGAAAAAATATCGTTGGAATTATTACTATTATTATTTTGAGATGGAGTTTCGCTCTTGTTGCCCAGGCTGGAGTGCAATGGCGCCATCTCGGCTCACCACAACCTCTGCCTCCTGGGTTCAAGTGATTCTCCTGCCTCAGCCTCCTGAGTAGCTGGGATTACAGGCATGGGCCACCACGCTTGGCTGATTTTGTATTTTTAGTAGAGACGGGGTTTCTCCATGTCGGTCAGACTGGTGCTGAACTCCTGACCTCAGTTGACCCACCCGCCTTGGCCTCCCAAAATGCTGGGATTACAGGTGTGAGCCACTGCACCCTGCTCTATCATTGGAATTATGATGGGGATGGTGTTGAATCTGTAGATTGCTTTGGGTAGTATGGATATTTAAACAATGTTAAATCTTTCAATACATGAACATGGCATGACTTCCCATTTATTTGCATCTTCAGTTCCTTTCATCAATGTTTTAGAGTTTTCAGTGTAGAGATCTTTCACTTCCTTGGTTAAATGTACTCCTAGGTATTTAACTTCTTTTTAACTACTATAAATGGGATTGCTTGCTTGCTTTCTTTTTTTTTTTTTTGATAACTTGCTGTTAGTGTATGAAAATGCTACTGATTTTTGCATTTTGACTTTGCATCTTGCAACTTTACTGAATTTGTCTGTTAGTTCTGACAGGTTTGGGGTGGTATTTCAATTATTTTAATGATGAAACCAAGGTCCGGAAAGGTGACAAACTTGTCTAAAATCCTGTGGCTAGAGCCAGGTTAAATCTCATCTTCAATCTCAACTAGTAGGGTAATACTTTCTGATTTTTAAGTGTGTCAAATGTATCACCAGTATGCATGGTGATTTTAGGTAATAATTATCCTTTCTTTTCATGTGTATTAGAAAAAATATAATGAACAAACCGAGTCTGGAATTTCATAGTTATTCTTGTTTAGGAAATTTTTTTTAAAAGTGAATTTCTGGCCAGGTGCAGTGGCTCATGCCTGTAATCCCAGCACTTTGGGAGGCTGAGGCCGGCAGATCATTTGAGGTCAGGAGTTTGAGACCAGCCTGGCCAACATGGTGAAAACCCATCTCTGCTAAAAATATAAAAATTAGCCGGGCATGGTGGTGGGTGCCTGTAATCCCAGCTACTTGGGAGGCTGAAGCAGGAGAATCGCCTGAACCTGGGAGGTGGAGATTGCAGTGAGCCAAGATTGCACCACTGCACTCTAGCCTAGGAAACAGAGTGAGACTCAGTCTCAAAAAAAACAAACAAACAAACAAAAAAAAAAACCAAAATACTTGTAATCATAAATAATAAATTCAGATGTATTGTAGACATGATTAAAGTTGTGGAGGTGACCCCTATGTGCTTGAGATTTAGGTAACTCTTCCTTACCTTACATTATAGATGCCATTCCTCTCATTTATAACAATGTTAAGATTTCTTCAATTTAATCCTGTGCAATGTATGAATACAAGGAAAAAGTAAGTAAATGTTCATTCATGAATATTTCCCTGAACAGCATTTTTGTTTCTTTCTTACTTTTAAAAATTACTTTTCCATTTCCCACACCTATGTGACTGAACAGCATTCATTGTATACCAGAAGTATTTCCCTTAATCCAACATAATGACTTACTACAAATAGAAATGAGGCAATTGATGTACTTAAATCCTTTATAAAAGCTTAGAAGCCATCTTAAAATGCTTCGCAGAAGTAGCAAATACAGTATTTTGAGTAGGATTTTCAAATGCTTACTGTGGGATCAGAGCACAAATCTCCTCTCCAAGAAGAGAAATGTGAACATTAAAGACTCCTATTGTCCAGCGTGGATGAAAATGGAAACATAATTCACAATTTGTTGTGGACAAGGAGCCTCACAGAGAGAATGTTTCCATTGTCTTAAAGTGTGTTACTCAGCTACCCTACTAGCATTTTTTTCACTGTGCTGACAAGAAAGGGAAGGAAAAATATTCACAACCCAGGTTGCTAAACTAAGAGCTTTAATTAATGAGACTCCAGAAAGGGCCCTAGCAAGATAAAAATGTGATTGCACTGTGCTCTCTGACCTCAGTTGCAAGTTCTTTGACTTCTCTTTCGTGTTCTCAGACCCTCAGTGTAAAGATATAAGGGCTTTCTGAGATTGCAAGTTGTTTTTCTAAAAAGCCTCTTTACACATCTGGAATATAACCTCTTAAACCTAACCCAGGCTTATGTTAACACCGTGGCTTTAAAGCATGTTTAGACTGCGTGGAATCATAAACATGTTGAATGTAGGAAACACTGTTAGTTTATAAATTGGGCCTGCTATTAAGTTCTGAGGTCATTAGTCTGGTTTTTTTTTGTTTTGTTTTGCTTTGTTTTTGTTTTTTTGTTTTTTGTTTTGTCCTTACTTTTTTATTTTTCCAAACTATATGTGCTTTGCAAATCTAAGGGGTGGGTAAGAAAACAGTTTAGCCTGGTTTTTTTCCATGGTTGCTTCCACCAAGATGGCTCTGGCCTTTTCTCATCCAAAATCAACATAAAGCTGTTTCTCCCATATCACCACCATGACTACCACACAAAGCCAGGATGTCTATTTTTAAATTTGTTGCTTCACAGACTTACTACTAAACTCCTGGATAATGGGGGAGGTGGGCAACACGACGCCCAGAGTCATGTCTGTCTGTGTGATACTGGGCAAGTTACTTTACCTCGCTGAGATGTTTATGGTTCTATGAATGGAATGATCTGCACCATTTGCTCACTAGATCCCCCTTTGCAACTAAGCCATGATAATACCCCAAATAAGATGACAGGATTTTATACAGGCATGCCTGCATATTGACGTTTTGATCAATGACACACAGCACGTATGACCCTGGTTCTATAGGATTAGAACACCACATTTTTACTGTACCTTTTCTATGTTTGGCTATTTTTTGCTTGTTTTGTTTTTTGAGAGAGTCTCGCTCTGTTGAACAGGCTGGAGTGAAGTGGCCCAATCCTGGCTCACTGCAAGCTCCACCTTCCGGGTTCAAGCCATTCTCCTGCCTCAGTCTCCCAAGTAGCTGGGATTACAGGCACCTGCCACCATGCCTAGCTAATTTTTGTATTTTTAGTAGAGACAGGGCTTCACCATGTTGGCCAGGCTGGTCTTGAACTCCTGACCTCAGGTGATCCGCCCACCTCGGCCTCCCAAAGTACTGGGGATTACAGGCGTGAGCCACCGTACCCAGCCTATTTGGCTTTTTTTTTTTAAATCCCATCCTAAAGAAAAGCTAGGTACACAAATACTTACCATTGTGTTACAGTTACCTTCAGTATTCAGTACTACTCTATATGCTGTATGGGTTTGTAGCCTGCGGGCAACAGACTGTACCATATAGCCTCAGTGTGTAGTCAGCTCTGCCATGTAGGTTTGTGAGTACACCCTATGAGATCTGCACAGTGATGCACTCACCTAATAATGCATTTCTCAGAATGCATCCCCATTGTTAAGTGATGCATCCTGGGCTTTGTGCATTAAAAAAATGCCAGAACACTCCATACTTAGTGCATAGACTTTATCAAATGTTGAATAAAAACAGAAACAAAAAGGAGACAATCCTACAATGAAAAGGAGACACTCATGTCTACCCTAGTGATTCACTGTACGTGGAGGAGGTAAGTGGGGCATGGACAGGTCTACAAATATAATACATATATACCCGACAACCACAGTGCTTTGCATTTCTTTATCAGTGAAAAACAAACTGAGATCTGAAGTGTATAAACAGTTCCTTAGTAAAGTCTGTTTGAGAAAAAGAATCAAATGTGCATCAATATATCAAAACTGACAAATACAAGAAAAGCCTTCAGCTAGAGATAATTCACAGCATTTTATTCAAGTTAATCCATTTCATTCAATAATCTTCCATATTGTTCCCAGCACCACTATTACTATCATTATTTCTCTTCGGAGAAGACCAGGTATTAAGAAATCGGGTTTGAATTTCCATGATGCCTAACTCTATGGTCAAAAATCCTTTTCCTTACCAAAAACCAACTTCTTAATCACCAGAGAAAAGAGGGAAAGACTGAGATATATTTGCAGAAATTTATGTCCACTAAAGACAATTCATAGTTCATAATCTTTCAGGCTTGTGCTTTACTTGGTGACTCTCTTTTGGGGAGGGGCTTGTTTCTTATAAATGTTTGTCTAATACAAATCACTTGCCCCACTGTACCATGGAAGGGAAATGAGGGCTAGTCCCCAAAGAGCAAGCAAGCAGTCCTCCTGGGAAGAAGCCCTAATGGCTCCTAGTGGTGACACAGTCATTCTGCCTCCCCAACCTGTGAGCAATAATAAAATATAACCAAGTGAACAGGAGAGGTACTAACTAGCTGGATAATCCATGGTGGGCTAGAATCTCTAAACAGGAATGTTTATGTGTTTTGAATAAATCAGAGCTGGAAAGAGACACTTTTGGAGAAGTGATGGAGAATAGAAAAGTATGAAAAAGATAAAGGTTTCTCACCAAGGAACCCACAAAAAAGGTAGTACCAGTCAAAGGTAGTCTTGGGCTTTTCTTTTGAGATGAGTGTACCCCACGTGGGTTGTGCCATTTTCATATAAAAATTGGAATGATAATGAACAAGTGAAAGTGAAATCAGTTTCCCTCCTTTGTTCAATAAACATGGATAGAGTACCTGTGTGCAAGGTAGTGGGACAGGTGCTGAGGGGAAAGGTAAAGCTGTTTAAGCTGTGGCCCTGAGCGAAAAAGCAATCTAGCAGCACCATCAGACTGCACACTACAGAGCAGAGTGTCCCAGGGGCCAGGTGGAGGGAAGGATCACTTCCAGCTGCAGCATCAGGGAAGGCACTCTGCAGTCTCCCCTGTGGGTTCTCAGTGTGCCTGTGTGACAGCTCAGCCTGCCCCATTCCAGGCACTTGCTCATCTTTCTTATCTTTCTCTCTAGCGTGAGAAGTGGAAGTTTAAGAGGATAAGATCCTGCCTCACAGGTACCTAATAAATGTGTGTGGAATTGACGTATGGTGGAGGTGTCACTTTATCTGGTGCAGCAAGGCGGAAAGAGCTTTGGGAAAGGAGAGCAAAGATGGTGGTGGTGAGGGTAAGGTGTTTTCATCAGAAGGCGAGAGCAAGGGTATACAAACCAAAAAGTCAATTTAGTATGTGGCTTAGCCCAGAGCACACGAGGGCACCAACACAGCCAAAGTCCATAAGAAGGTAGCTGAAGTCCTCTGCCAAATAGGACTGAAAAGCTAAAATCTTTCTCAGTTTCTTTCTTAAGCAACAACTGGTCTATTCAAGCTCAACCAGAGCATATAAGAGAAAAAATGACTAATGAGAGGCTCTTAAATAGTTTTGAAGGACAGACACTTTCTAGAAAGTAGAAAAGATCACTGAGTAAATACTGCACCTCCCTTACCCCACAAACACACACAAAAAAGATGAGGATGTGTAGAGCAAGCTTGTGGACATCCTCAAGTTTGGTTTTGATGCTTCTGTTGGTAAGCAGTCAAGATGGTGAGAGATGCCATCCCAAAGAGGAAAGTCTGTAGGAACCAGAGTAGCTGAGCATGACCACTTGTGATGCCTTTATGCCTAAAAAAGAAAAAACAAAATTTAAACACCAGAATGTTAATCTTACAGTTTCATGGGAATTATTGTCTTCTATATCATTTTTTAAAATTTATACTTTCCATTACTTTCATTGGGTTTATTTTGCTGCTTTTCTCTGGCTTCTTATCTTGGATGGTTTGTTTATTTTTCTTCTTTCTTGTTTTCTAATAAATGTATTTTGGATGGTACACTATTCCTGAGAACCAGTCTGGCTGGCTACTCTCTGGGGCACAGTATTATAAGACTGTTTCTCATGTGATTCTGATGGGTGGATGGAGTAAAACGCACTGGTATGGCTTCAGATCAAATGTTTTGAAGATAGACCAGATGTAAATCCTAGCGTGGCTACCTACCAGCTGTGACCTGGGCAAATCACTCAGTATCTCTCCGAATCAGTTTTCTCAGCTGAACAACAAGAATGGCAGTAGCTAGCTCATTGAGTGTTGAGATAATTTATGGGATAATACACACAAAGTGCTCAGAAAGGAGCCTGGCACACACTCATGATAAACACCTGCTTATATTGTCATTGAAATTCAATTGCTTAAAACGAAGTGCAAAAAAAAAAAAAAAATGACCCAATGGAAGTGAATGGCTTGCTACAGTCTCATCTGTATATAAATAAGTCTCATTTGGATGACTTTTATTTATAATTTTAAAAACAATATACGTAAAAACAGTATAATTTTCTACATTAACAGATTAAAGGAGAAAGATCACATGAATATCTTAATAAATGCAGAAGTGGCATTTGATAAATTCCACTATCTGTTCTTTTTCCACCCCCTCAGAGATGGGGGTCTCACTCTGTCACCTACAGCGGAGTACACTGGTACAATTACAGCTCACTGCAGACTCAAATTCCTGGGCTAAAGTTATCCTCCCACCTCAGCCTCCCAAGTAGCTGGGATCATCACAGGCATGCACCACCATGCCTGGCTAGGTTTCTTTTTTTTTTTCTTTTCTTTTTTTGTAGGGGCAGTGTCTTGCTTTGTTGTCCAGGCTGGTCTTGAACTCCTGGCTTCAACTGATTCTCCTGCCTCAGCCTCCCAAAGTTGCTGGGATTACAGGTGTGAGCCACCTGCGTCCACACTTGCCATCCATTTTTAATAAATGTTCTCAGCAAAGTTAGAAATACAATGGAACTTCCCAATTTTGATAGAGGAGATCTACAAAACTCTAGAATAAACATGACGCAAAATGTTGAAAGTTCTCCTTTGAGGTCAAGAACAGGGCACACTTCTAGTCAGCACTGCTGGAAGTTCTATGCAATAGAATAAGGGAAGAAACATAAATAAAAGTTATACACAATTGAAAGAAAGAAATAAAACTATTTCTGGACAGTTTTATACCTGAAAAACTGAAAATAATCTACAAACTATTAGAATTAATAAATTTATTTAGCAAGGTTGCTGGGTATAAGGTCAATATAAAAAATGGACTATATTCATAAAAACTACCATCAAACAATTAGAAAATGAAAAACAGCTGAGATCATGCCACTGAACTCCAGCCAGGGCGACAGAGCTAGACTCCATCTCAAAAAAATAAAAAAAGTTGGTGCGGTGGCTCAGGCCTGTAATTCCAGCACTTTGGGAGACTGACACAGGCGCATCGCTTGAGCCCAGGAGTTTGACACCAGCCTAGGCAACATAGTGAGACCCCATCTCTCTAAAAAAGTCATTTATAATAGCATCTCAAAGTAGAAGCAGCTGGAAATTAATCTAACAACAGTGTGTAAAACCTCTTAAAAAATATAGGTATATTAAAGGAGATCTAAATAAATAGAGACAGATCATTTTAACATTTAGAAGACTCAATAATAGAAATATGTGATGCTTTCCTGACCTTAAGGGGAAAGAAAAGAAAAAAAATGTAATGGAAATATGTCAGTGTTCTCCAGATTAGTTCACATGGTCAATCCAATAAAAATCTCAACAGCTATATTTTTTGTTTTTGAACACAGGACAATGCATAGAATAAAAAGGTGTAGGAAAAGGCAATCCTATTGCACAAGATGAGAGGACATGCTTTATCAGATAACAATGATTATAAAGTTGCTGCTATTAATAGAGTGTTGTGTTAGCCCAAGGATAAACAGGCCGATGGAAAAGAATAGAGTGTTAAGAAACAGATCCATACATATAAGCAAAGACAGGGCACATCAATGAAGACTGAAAGTCTCAAGAAATAGCTCTGGGATAACTGGGCATCCAGATGGAAAAGGTAAAGTTGGAAACCTTCTCTTACAAAAAAAAGCTCTAGGTAGAATGAAAACTTAAATGTCAAAAAAAAATTCTAAAACTGTTAGAAGATACTGTAAAAGAATATAACTTTAATACAAATAAATGAATAAAATTGACTAAATTCCTAAACTTCTGTTTATCAAAAGGCCCAACAGAATAAAAAGACCATGAGAAAGGATATTTGCAAAACATCTAAATGACAAGGTACTGAAGATCAGAAAAAACAAGGAGCGCCTATGAGAAGGTAAGCAAAGGACAGACAGCCCATTAGAACATTGGTGAGATTGTGGGGAAATGGGCATTATCATATACTTCGGTTAGAAGCATAAATTAGTCCCACAGTGTTGAAGGCAATATGGCAATACATATTATAATTAAAAGGTCATTCTTTTTTTTTTTTTTTTTAGATGGAGTCTTGCTCTATCGCCCAGGCTAAAGTGCAGTGGTGCGATGTTGGCTCACTGCAACCTCTGCCTCCCGGATTCAAGCGATTCTTTTGCCTCAGCCTCCTTAGTAGCTGGAATTACATGTGCCTGCTACCATGCCAAGCTAATTTGTGTGTGTGTGTGTATTTTTAATGGAGACAGGGTTTCACCATGTTGGCCAGGCTAGTCTTAAATTCCTGACCTCAGGTGAACCACCAGCCTCAGCCTCCCAAAGTGCTGGAATTACAGGCGTGAGCCACAATGCCCAGACAAAAGTATTCATTCTTTAATCTTCAAATTCCAGATCTTGGAATTTTTTCCAAGGGAACAAATACCAAAGTGGGACAAATACATGAAATTCATGTTCATTGCTGTATTGCTTGTAATAGTAAAAAAGTAGAGACTTAAAAGTCCATCAGAAGGAGGATTTCTTAAATACATTAAGGCACATCTATATAGTAGAATTC